>NT_187601.1:302222-604444 GCF_000001405.40 Homo sapiens
TTGCTTTGTCACCCAGGATGGAGTGCAGTGGTGCAGTCTTGGCTCACTGGAACCTTCGGCTCACTGCAACCTCCACCTCTCGGGTTTAAGCGATTCTCTTGCCTCAGCCTCCTGAGTAGCTGGGATTACAGGTGACCACCACCATGCCTGGCTGATTTTTGTTATTTTAGTAGAGACAGGGTTGCAGCATGTTGGCCAGGCTGGTCTCAAACTCCTCACCTAACTAAGGTAATCCACTTGCGTCAGCCTCCCAAAGGCCTGGGATTACAGGCATGAGCCACCATGCCTAGCTGTATTTATTTATGTTATTTATTTTGAGATGGAGTCTTGCTCTGTAGCCCAGACTGGTGTGCAGAAGTGCGATCTCAGCTCACTGCAACCTCCACCTCCCAGGTTCATGCTATTCTCCTGCCTCAGACTCCCGAGTAGCTGGGATTACAGGCACCCACCACCATGCCTGGCTAATTTTTGTATTTTTAGTAGAGACGGGGTTTCACCATGTTGTCCAGGCTGGTCCCGAACTCCTGACCTCAAGTGATACACCTCAGCCTCCCAAAGTACTAGGATAACAGGCATGAGCCACCATGGCCAGCCTATAGCAGGTAATTTAGTCCAGTCCTTATCAGATGCATGAGACCCCTCTAAAAGATGCTATCAAGTCATAATCTTTCTGATTTTCTTTTCTGGCCCAAGGTCAGGTCATCAGGCAGTAGGTTAATTACATGAAGATGTGTTCCTGTACCTTCTCCTTTGCATTTGTACTACCTCACATCTGGTACTAATACAAATAACTAAAACATGGACACAGTAGCATTTCTTTTCTGCATGAGATCAAGATATATTTTTATACAGTTATGTCATTAATACTGGAAAACATTTTATGCTTTTAATAATCAACACTTTTTGATGCTTATTCTGTTGGGCCCTATTCTAAGAGCTTTATGGAAATTAACTAATGTAATCCTCCCAACAACCCTATAAGATGGGTATTATTATCCAGATTTCACAGATAAGGAAACTGAGGCAGAGAAGTCAAGTAACTTGCCAAAGGTCACAGCGAGTAGCAGAGCCAGGGTTATAACCAGGCATTCTAACGCCATCGTTACTAACCACAGAGGCATAGCGCTTCTCACAAATGACAAATGTTTTAGCACTGGGTACTCTTTGCCCAGTCATGCCAAAGAATGGAAATGGCAATAGTATTGACAAGTTTTTCTCTATTTGTCTACTAGAAATCTGAAAGTTTCCTAGCAACCTCATCTTTCCACTACATCTGACTGAACCCGAAAGGAAGGCTGAGTATTCCATAGCAAGCTGTTACTTAAAAGATAAAGCAGGTACCTTTGTGATGTAAAAGTAGCAGATCAGATCCTTCAGATCAATTAGTCTCATTTATCTCACTGCCTCCAAAGGTCTAGTTACTGAAATGATATATCTTTTGATATAACACGTGGAATCCTCAAAGTAAGCAGCAGTTTGAAATACTTGTTTTTGTGAGGGTCAGATGACCAAATCACTTGCATCTTTTAAGTATTCAGTATGCATGTTACAGACATTGTTTATGAGTGATTTACATTTATTCTTCACAACAGTCCTGGGAGGCAGGTATTATACTGCTACTAGTGTCATTTTACAGAAGAAACCTGAAACACGTAGGAATAACTTGTCCATAGTCACATAGCCAGTATGTGAAAGAGCCGATTTGAACCTAGGATGTTGGCTTCAGATCTCCAGCTTTTTATCATTCTATACTGCTTCTCAAAAAGGAGAGTAATTTGAGGGAAATCATTGAGAGTTGCCAGTTTTATTAGTCTTGAGGCAGTGATTTAAGAAAATTATTTCAGTTTTGTTTTGTTTTATAAATGCTTTATGTAGGCTGGGAGTGGTGGCATCTGTAATCCTAGCACTTTGGGAGGCAGAGATGGGAGGATAGCCTGAGCCCAGGAGTTCATGACCAGCCTGGGCAACATGGCGAGACCCCATTTCTATTAAAAAGGGGTGGCTCATGCTACTCCCAGCACTTTGGGAGTCTGAGGTGGGCAGATCACTTGAAGCCAGGAGTTCAAGACCAGCCTGGCCAACGTGGTGAAACCCTGTCTCTACTAAAAATAGAAAAATTAGCCACGGCTGGTGGTGCATGCCTGTAATCCCAGCTACTCAGGAGGCTGAGGGAGGAGAATCGCTTGAACCCAGGAGGGAGAGTGGCAGTGAGCCAAGATCGCATGGGCCACAAGAGCAAGATTCCATTGCAAAAAAAAAAAAAAAAAAAAAAAAAGGTTATGTAATGCAAGGTTTGTGAGGTTGCCACTGGTATTGCAAAGTTTTCTTAATGAAGTTGATTCATCTCTTTTTATACTTCAAATTCTAGTATTTTGGGATTTGGTAAGCAAATGTTCAGTCCATCTCTATCTTTCAAGATTATATTGCCTTTTGCCTTGATAGAAGAAATAGTAAAATAATTAGAGTAGGATTAATGTAGTAAATTCAGTATTTCCAAATGTAATTACTATATTTCAGATTGCAGGTTTAATCTGCTTTTTGATTAGGAGCTATTTATCCAAGTTGTGGATTATTTCTGGTTTGTGGCTATTTAATAGTTCAAAGCATTTTTTAGGTAAGGTAAAGAGGGAAAAGTGAAATATATTTTTTAATCTGTTAGCTCTTGGATTGAGGAAGAGGTTGAAATTGATGGTTAGGAGACCTGTGTGTGATAGCAGATCATCATTTTTTTTTCTTTTCTTTTTTTTTTTTTTTTTTTTGAGACAGAGTCTCGCTCTGTCGGCTCAGGCTGGAGTGCAATGACGTCTCGGCTCCCTGCAACCTCTGCCTCCTGGGTTCAAGTGATTTTCCTGCCTCAGTCTCCCAAGTAGCTGGGATTACAGGCGCACGCCACCACACCTGGCTAATTTTTGTATTTTTAGTAGAGATGGGGTTTCGCCATGTTGGCCAGGCTGGTCTCAAACTCCTGACCTCAGGTGATCCACCCGCCTTGGCCTCCCAAAGTGCTGGGATTACAGGTGTGAGCCACTGTGCTCAGCCCATTTATTTCATGTTCACATCATAATACAAAAAGCAGTGAGTACAGGATTACTTAGTGAGATGAATGGCAAATAGAGTAAGTGCTTCAGGGATTTTAGGGAGTGGACATTCTAGGATTCATAACTAGGAAACACTCGCTTCCAGAGATGAGAAAAATAGAGCTATATCCTACAATGATTTGATAGGTGATTTTATTTGCAACTATATGTGAAATGAAGTAATCCTGTTGAGACTTTTCACCAAAACATGCCAGATATTTTTTCAAAAGTGCCAGTATAGGGAACAGAAAACTGAATTACAGAATCATGTAATTCATGGAGCTTTAGTCCCCATGTAAATTTTCTGGTTTTAAAGATGCTACCAGTTTTTAAGTTGTCTCGTTTTTTAATATTAAATTGTTCTTAATACCAGTTTTAAAGTAAAAGTTGTGATTCCTTGAAGGTTAGAATTTGGTTCTATTTCAAAATTTGTACAGTTAACAGAAAGCTTTTCTTTGGGGAAGTGCAGTCATCAGATAAAGTGCTTCTATGAGTAACTGTACCCACAAAGCCATGGAACCAGCATATTTGTTCATGGTGAGTAGGATTAGTCTTTTTTTTTTTTTTTAAAGATTATCAGCTGGGCGTGGTGGCTCATGCCTATAATCCCAGCACTTTGGGAGGCCGAGGCAGGCGGATCACTTGAGGTCGGGAGTTCGAGACCAGCCTGATGAACATGGTGAAACCCCATCTCTACTAAAAATACAAAATTAGCCGTGCGTGGTGGTGTATGCCTGTAATCCCAGTTACTCGGGAGGCTGACGCAGGAGAATTGCTTGAACCCGGGAGGTGGAGGTTGCGGTGAGCTGAGATCACGCCATTGCACTTCAGCCTGGGCAACAAGAGCGAAGCTCTGTCTCAAAAAAATAATAAAAATAATAAAAAAAGATTATCTAGTGTTGATTCCCATCTTGATGGATTTAACATTCTCAATCTCCAAAACACTGGCAGAAAAACTTACCACAATACCATGTCTCATCTTTGCAGCAAATATGTGCCATCATTTAATAAATTTTCCAACATAAAAAGAAGTGCCATATAATTTTGGACCATGATTGGGAATCATGATGCATTTGTATTTATGCTTTCCTCTAAGGCAGTGAATAGGTCTTAGACTGTGGCTGTATGTACATTAGAATTACCCAAAGAAAACTTCTTACATTTAAACAATGCCAGGGTCCCTTTCCAACCAGTTACATCTCTGGGATGGACCCCAAGCAATCTTCAAATGATTCTCTCAGGGTTGCAAATCACTGGTCCATGGGTTTTTATGTGCCGTTTACCAAAAACTCAACTGTCATGAGAATTGGGCTTGTCTTTGGAACAGCTTCAACAAATACGTTGCAGTTTAATTCACCCTAGCCATCTTAATTGCAAATCTTTAGAGTTGTCTCTTTTGATTTCGAGTCCTCTCCTCTCTTTTGATTTCGAGTCCTCTCCTCCAGTTTGTCCTGAATATACTTCTATCAGGCTTTTGCCTCCCACTCTACCAAAACTGCTGTCCTGTCAGGAAGTTGCTGGTCACTTACACATAACTAAATCCAATGGTCAAGTCTCAGTCCTCAAATTACTATTACTATTAGTTTTTGACACTCCCTGTCCTTGAGATACTTTCTTCAGTTGTCTTCCTGACCAGCACTGTCCAATAGAACTTTAGCAATGCTGGCGATGTTCTGTATCTTTGCTGTCCAGATCAGTAGCCAACAGCTACCTGAAAGGGGCCCTTGAAATGTGGCTAACATGAGCCTGGCATGGCGGCTCACACTGGCATGGCGGCTCACACCTGTATGCCGACAACTTGGGAAGCTAAGGTGGAAAGATACCCTGAGCCCAGGAGTTCGAAGCTGCGGTGAGCTATGATTGCACCACTGCACCCCAGCCTGGGCAACAGGGTGAGATCCTATTTCTAAAAAAAGAAATGTGGCTAATGTGACTGAGAAACTGAGTTTTAAATTCTAATTAAATAGCATATGTGGCACCATGTATTAGATGGTCCCATTCTAGATATTTAACTGGTTTGCCTTCTTCCTCACCAGCTTTTTTTTTTTTTTCCTTTTTTTTTGAGACAAGCTGTTGCTCTGTTGCTCAGACTGGAGTGCAGTGGTGCGATCTCAGCATACTGCAGCCTCCATCTCCCGGGTTCAAGCGATTCTCCCACCTCAGCCTCCCAAGTAGCTGGGACCACAGGCGCGTGCCACCATGCCCGGCTAATTTTTGTATTTTTAGTAGAGGTGGGGTTTCACTATGTTGGCCAGGCTGGTCTCCATCTCCTCACTTCAAGTGATCTGCCTACCTCGGCCTCCCAAAGTGCTGGGATTACAGGCATGAGCCACCACTCCTGGCCCTCAGCAGCTTCTTAAGTCTTTGCTAGTTCCTTGTTGGAGATCTGCTCAACCTCTAAATGTTGGAGTGCCCCAGTTCTTTTTTCTGTGTGTACTCCTTTGGACATCTCATCCATGACTCATGGCTTTCAATATATGAATTGGCCAGGCGTGATGGCATGAGCCATGCCTGTAATTCCAGCACTTTGGGAGGCCGAGGTAGGCAGATCACTTGAGGCGAGGAGTTGGAGACCAGCCTGGCCAACATAGTGAAACCCCACCTCTACTAAAAATACAAAAATTAGCCGGGCATCGTGGCACGTGTCTGTGATCCCAGCTACTTGGGAGGCAGATGTGGGAGGATCACTTGAGCCTGGGAGGTGGAGGTTGCAGTGAACGGAGATTGCACCACTGCACTCCAGCCTGGGCGACAGAGCAAGAGCTTGTGTCAAAATAAATAAATATACAAATTTATGTCACTACCTTGGATCCCTCTCCTGAGCTCCAGACTTGACTATCCAGTTGCCTACTTGATAGGCCTTGACATGGTGCTTGGTAATATGTCTTACCAGGCACATGAAATTGAACCTATTCAAATCTAAGCTGCCGATCTCTCCACCCATCAAAATCTGTTCCTCGAGTTTCCTACGAGTCTGTTATCATCCATGTGGTCAGGGGGATCCTTTTAAAATGTTACTCCTCTCAAAAATCCTCCCATAGCTTCCCTTCTCAGAATGAAAAGCAAAGTCCTTCACATGGCAAGTCCTAAGTAAATGGCCCTGCCCTGCCCTTGACCTCATTTTCATTTTATTTATTTATTTATTTATTTATTTGAAATGGAGTTTCACTCTTGTTGCCCAGGCTGGAGTGCAGTGGCCAGATCTCAGCTCACTGCAACCTCTGCCTCCTGGGTTCAAGTGATTCTCCAGCCTGAGCCTCCTGAGTAGCTGGGATTACAGACACCCGCCACCATGCCCGGCTAATTTTTGTATGTTTAGTAGAGACGGGGTTTCACCATGTTGGCCAGGCTGGTCTCGAACTCCTGACCTCAAGTAATCCACCCGCCTCAGCCTCCCAAAGTGCTGGGATTACAGGCGTGAGCCACCACACCCAGCCTTGACTTCATTTTCTACTACTCCCTCTGCCCTTGACTCCACTCCAGACACTGGTCTTCCTGCTGATTCTTGAACTCACCAGAATACGCTGCACTCAGTGTGTCTTCTGCCTGGATGCTCCACCCTGGCCTGCTGAAATGTCACCTTAGTAAGGCTGCCTCTGATGACCCCTATTTGAAATTAACCATCCACTTTCCGTTTTTCTCCATAGCACTTAGCACCATGTACTATGTTATATATTTTGTCAGAATCTGAAGTCTATGATAGCAGAAATTTTGTCTCTTTGTGCAGTGCTGCGGGCCCTATGCCTAGAACAGTGCCCAGCACATAGCAGTTGCTCAGTAATATTTTTATTGAATAATTCTTATTGCCACTGAACACTTCTTGCTAGACCACAAAGCAATCTAGTTCACTGTCCAGATAGAATAAAGGTTAAAAGTTAACATCTGGCTGGGTGCAGTGGCTCACACCTGTAATCCCAGAACTTTGGGGGGCCGAGGCAGGCAGATCATCTGAGGTCAGGAGTTTGAGACCAGCTTGGCCAACATGGCCAAACCCCGTCTCTACTAAAAATTTAAAAATTAGCTGGGCATGCTGATGCATGCCTGTAATCTCAGGTACTCAGGAGGCTGAGGCAGGAGAATCACTTGAACCTGGAAGGCGGAGGTTGCAGTGAGCTGAGATCACGTCACTGCACTCCAGCCTGGGTGACAGACCAAGACTCTGTCTCAAAAAAAAAAAAAAAAAAAAAAGTTAACATTTACTGTTAAATGCATAGTACAATCTGTCCCATCTTCTAGTTTAATTGTTGAGCTCTTTCATATTTCAGCATGTAGGGGTATATTATCTTCAAGGCCAAGATTTAAAATGAGTATCTCAACTTACTTATTTATTTTAGATCCAGGGACAGACCAGAAATTTTTTACTGACAGTTCTTGTAATATTGGTTGTCTTGGAATTTTCTTTATTTTTTGTTTTTATTTTTAGAGATAGGGTTTCACCACGTTGCCAGGCTGGTCTCAGAGCCCTGGGTTCAAGCGATCTGCCCACCTTGGCCACTCAAAGTGCTGGGATTACAGATGTGAACCACCATGCCTGGCCAATTTTCTTTACTGATGCAGAGAAAAACACATTCACAAATAAGGTTTAAGTGGTGGTTAGAGTCCCTGAGAAATTCTCAAGCTACAATCATGAAGATAATGGTTTTTTAAACCACCTAACATGCAGCAAGTATCACAGCTCTTTTTTTTTTAAGAGATGGGGTCTTGCTATGTTGCCCAGGCTGGTTTCAAGCTCCTGGGGCTCAAGCAATCCTTCTGCCTCAGCCTCCCAAGGTGCCGGGATTACAGGTGTGAGCCACCATGCCTGGCCAAGTGTCACAACTCTTAGAGCTACAGCACACAATTCCAGTACTCTGGTGTTCAATATCTTGGACTCATAAAGCACTCATTTAAACTACTGTTTCTAGAAGTTACTTCTATCCCCAGTAGAATTTTTTGCATTGGAATAAATCTCTATTTAAAACTGCACCCTATGGCCTGTTACTATCCCAATGTCAGCTGCTACTTTTTAAAAGATTTAAATAGAAGCTTACTGTCTAACTTCAGTTTCCTGGGCCATGTCTTTAAATAGAGCAATTCTGATCTCAAAGGTCACCTGAGAAGTGGAGTACTTATAGCAACATTGTGAAATTCATTTTATACTTTGAAAATAACACACTGGCTATAGGGCCATTGTTTTCAAGGTTAGGCACATCAGTTTCAGAAATACCTCTTCTCTTTTTTTATGGCATCTTATTTCTTAGCCTCCCAAGGTGCTGGGATTACAGGTGTGAGCCACTGTGCCTGGCCAAGGTGGCTCCTTTTTTATGGTATCTTATTTCATATTTAGCCCAGCTCTCCTACTCTCTGGAAGTTGCATTATCATTCTTTTTCTTGTTTTCTTTTTTGAAACAAGGTCTTGCTCTGTTGTCCAGGCTTGTCTAGAACTCCTGGGCTCAAGGGATCCTCCCACCTCCCCCTCCCAAAGTGCTAGGATTACCAGGGAGAGCCACCGTGCTGGGCTTTTCCTCCTCCTTCTGACAAAGTGGTTGGATGGGAAATGTGGATTTTTTTTGCTCTGCTTTTAAAGTCTGAACTGGTTATTTTTTGCCCTGAATTACTAACACGACAGTGTTTTAAACTGTTAATATGGCTGCTCTGTTCTTATTAAATCTAAAGCATAACTTTGTAAAATTAAAAATTGAAAGTTTTGGCTAGGTGAGGTGGCTCACACCTGTAATCCTAGCACTTTGGGAGGCAAAGGCAGGCAGATCATGAGGTCAGGAGATGGAGACCATCCTGGCTAACACGGTGAAACTCCATCTCTACTAAAAATACAAAAAAATTAGCCGGGCGTGGTGGCGGGCGCCTGTAGTCCCAGCTACTCTGGAGGCTGAGGCAGGAGAATGGTGTGAACCCGGGAGGCAGAGCTTGCAGTGAGCTAAGATCCCACCACTGTACTCCAGCCTGGGGGACAGAGCAAGACTCCATATCAAAAAAAAAAGAAAGTTTCAAAATAATGTTCTGTATTCAGGTAGAAAATTACATCCTTTTTTTAAATGGAAAAAGAAAAGGGCATAAAATGAAAAAACTCCCTCACTCCCAACTCCTACTCCCCTCCCTCTTCCCAGAGGTAGTTGTGCTATTCTTTCAGAGATATATGTCTATCTAGCTTATATTCCCCAATAGTAGCATTCTATACAGTTATCTTGCTAGTTTTTATTAAGCATATCTCAGAGATTGATCTTAAACAGCATATAGAGCTTTACCTTAGTGTTTTCCATAGCTGCACAATATTGTTGTACTAAGTTTCCTCTATTTTTATCTAATTATGGTCTTCTGATGAACAGTTAGGTTGTTTCCAGCCTTTTGTTACCAATAATGCTGCAACAAATAGTCTTATAAATAGATCTTTGTGCATGTGTGTTACTCTGTAGGACAAATACCTATAAATGAAATTGCTGAGTCAAAGAGCATGTACATTATATATATATATAATTATTATTATTATTTTTTGAGACACGGTCTCGCTCTGTTGCCAGGCTGAAGTGCAGTGGCTCACTCTTGGCTCACTGCAACCTCCGCCTCCCGGGTTCAAGTGATTCTCCTGCCTCAGCCTCCTGAGTAGCTGGCACTACAGGCACGCCAAAACTTTCAATTTTTAAAGTATTTTTAGTAGAGACGGGGTTCACCATGTTGGTTGGCCAGGATGGTCTCGATCTCTTGACCTTGTGATCCACTCACCTCGGCCTCCCAAAGTGCTGGGATTAGAGGCGTGAGCCACTGCCCCTGGACTAATATTTTAACAGAATTGTCGACTTGACTTTCTAAGAGCTTATAGCAATTTACACTCTCACCATCAATATATTATAGACCTCACATCCTTTCCAGCTCAGTACTGCATCAAAACTGTTGATTTTTCCATCTGAAAAGTAAAAAAATGGTATTGCATTGTGGTTTTAATGTTAACTTATTTGAAGTGCACTTTTTTTTTTCACTGAAAAGCCATGTGTATTTCTTCTGTGATCTTGTGGTTCCTTTCCTCTGCCTATGTTTCCGTTATATTTTCCTGACTAGTATATAAGGGATCTACATAAAAGAATTTGTTCTTAGTCATTTGTGCTAAAAATACTTAATACTTTTCCCTGTTTTTATTTTGACCATATTTACAGAATGTTCAGAAATTTTAGTTATTATGAATCATGTTTACTAATACTTTCCACTATGGTTTCTGGATTTTTACATTGTAGTATTATTAATTTCCCCAAACATGTTTATCTGCACCCATCACCAGTATGGATATAGTTTTGAACTGTGTGGTGCTCAACTACCAATCACAATAGTTCATACAAGGAATTGCTTGTAAAGATTTTGTCATGCCGGGCTCGGTGGCTCACACCTGTAATCCCAGCACTTTGGGAGGCCGAGGCAGGCGGATCACGAGGTCAGGTGATCGAGACCATCCTGGCTAACATGGTGAAACCCTGACTCTACTAAAAATACAAAAAAAAAACAAAATTAGCCAGGCACGGTTGCGGCCGCCTGTAGTCCCAGCTACTCGGGAGGCTGAGGAGGGAGAATGGTGTGAACCAGGAAGGCAGAGCTTGCAGTGGGCCAGATGGCGCCACTGCACTCCAGCCTGGGCGACAGGAGACTCCGTTTCAAAAAAAAAAAAGTTTTGTCGTAACACATAGAGGTTGACGACTGAGTTAAAAAGCTTAGGTTTTCAGGTTGTCTTTTTTTTTTTTTTTTTTTTTGAGACGAAGTCTTGCTCTGTCACCCAGGCTGGAGTGCAGTGGCACAATCTCGGCTCAGTGCATCCCACACCTCCTGGGTTCAAGCAGTTCTACTGCCTGTCTCCCTAGTAGCTGGGATTACAGCTGCACACCACCATGCCTAGCTGATTTTTTGTATTTTTAGTAGAGACAGGGTTTCACCATGTTGGCCAGGTTGGTCTCGAACTCCTGACCTCAGGTGATCTGCCAGTCTTGGCCTCCCAAAGTGCTGCAATTACAGGTGTGGGCCACCACGCTCAGCCACAGGTTGTCTTATGTATGTATCTTATTGCAATATAAGAAATGATAGTCTATACTTACATTGATGGAACAATTTGAGAAACAGTTGCATCTTTAGGTTAAATAGAAACTAGATAAAAGTACTACATAATAAACTGAGGGCCACAGACATCTCCAACTGATTTTCTCATTTGGAAGAAAACATAAACTTTATTTCCTTTAGAAGTACAGGCTTTTTCAATTAAAAAATTCAAAAGTTCTCCTGAAGCAAATGTTTAAACTGAAACCTAAAGGATAAGTAGATAGACAAAGGAGGTCATTTGGCCCAGGATTTGAAAGGCAACTAGTGGCAGAAGCATAAATCCTGAGTCTAAGCTGGGCATGGTGGCTCAGGCCTGTAATTCCAGCTCTTGGGGAGGCTGAGCTGAAGAGGATCACTTGAGGCCAGGAATTAGAAAACAGCCTAGGCAACGTAACTGAGACCTCCCCCGTCTCAAAAAAAAAAAAAAAAATAGCCAAGCGTGATTGCATGCACCTGTAGTCCTGGCTACTCTATAGGCCAAGTGGGAAGACTGCTTGAGCCCTGAAAAATCTTGAGCTATTGAACTCAAGATTGCTTGAGCCCTTACCTTCCAAATGAGTTTGAAGTTGCAGCGAGCTATGTTCATGACACTGCACTCCAGCCTGCATGACAGAGACCATCTCAAAAAAAAAAAAAAATCCTCTGATTCTGAATGCCCATTTCTAAATGGAGAGGCGGGGGAATTGATTTCCTCACATACATTTTTTTTCCTACTTTTCCAAAGTAAGTTTTTCTTCCCAAAAAGGTTTAAATGTCTTAAAATTAATTTTGCACCAACCTAATATTATAGCCAAGCAACCACAACCTATTATAAAAAAGTTCTCGTCCTTGGCCACAGAATTCTATTATTAAAATAAACATTTCTGTGACGCAAAAGGACTTACTTTTAGAAAACACATCTATCTTGCATAAATTCCATATGTTTCACATTTTAAAAGATTTATCTAAGTCTAATGTCAAGCTTATTTTTAGGTAGGATTGTGCGGCTGACTTTCCTGTTCAAAAGTAAAGTTGGAGCTGTTTCAAAGAGTAACTTTATTCTGCTTGCCTGTGGCTGTTTGTACCACAGAAGGCAGATTTGTCAGGTGCGGTGGCTCATGCCTGTAATCCTAGCACTTTGGGAGGCCAAGGCAGGAGGATCGCTTACAGCCAAGAGTTTTAAGACCACCCAGGGCTACAAAGCAAGGCCCCCATCTCTACAAAAAATTAAAAAATTAGCCTGGCAGCTGGGCACGGTGGCTCACACCTGTAATCCAAGCACTTTGGGAGGCCAAAGTGGGTGGATCACCTAAGGTCAGGAGTTCAAGACCAGCCTGGCCAACATGGTGAAACCATGTCTCTACTAAAATACAAAAATTAGCCAGGCGTGGTGGCAGGCACCTGTAATCCCAGCTGCTTGGGAGGCTGAGGCATGAGAATCGCTTGAACCTGGGAGGTGGATGTTACAGTGAGCCAAGACCATGCCATTTCACTCCAGCCCGGGCAAAAAGAGTGAAACTCCATTTCAAAAAAAAAAAAAAAAAAAAATGGCCGGGTGCGGTGTCTGTAATCCCAGCACTTTGGAAGGCCAAGGCGGGTGGATTACCTGAGGTCGGGAGTTTGAGATCAGCCTAATCAACATGGAGAAACCCCATCTCTACTAAAAATACAAAATTAGCCTGGCCTGGTGGCGCATGCCGGTAGTCCCAGTTACTTGTGAGGCTGAGGCAGGAGAATCGCTTGAACCTGGGAGGTGGAAGTTGTAATGAGCCAAGATTGCACCATTGCACTCCAGCCTGGGCAACAAGAGCGAAATTCCGTCTAAAAAAAAAAAAAGAAGAAATAAGATAAAAAATAAATTAGCCTGGCGTGATGGCACACACCTAGTGCTTGGCTGCTTGGGAAGCTGTGGTGCGAGGATCACCTGAGCCCAGGAATTCCAGGCTGCAGTGAGCTGATTGCGCCACTGTACTCCAGCCTGAGTGACAGTGAGACCCAAGAGCAGCAGCAGATTAGGCAACTTGGCAAAGCATTTCTTCTATACTGGTCCATCTTTGTCAAACACATGGCTTACTTATGAAGAAGACAGTATTAGAATTGAAATCAGTATTAAAATTAATTAAAAGACCAATCTTATAAATCAGAACCTAAAAACACTGGGACACAAACACAAATATTATCTTGAAATTTCTTCTTTATAACCACATTTTCCAAAGGAGGAAACATAAAATGTTCAGAGAAAAGGTTCAAATATCAGTTTAACAATGTGCTCTCTTTTCAGTATATACAGGTAAGTTTTTTTCTTTTCTTTTTTGAGATGGAGTTTCGCTCTTGTTGCCCAGTCTGGTGTGCAATGGCACCACTGGCTCACTGCAACTTCTGCCTCCCAGTTTCAAGCTATTCTCCTGCCTCAGCCTCCCAAGTAGCTGGGAATACAGGCATGTGCCACCACACCAGGCAAATTTTGTATTTTTAGTAGAGACTGGGTTGCTCCATGTTGGTTGGGCTGGTCTCGAACCCTCGACCTCAGGTGATCCGCCCACCTCGGCCTCCCAAAGTGCTGGGAATACAGCCATCAGCCACCGTGCCCAACCAGTTTTTTCTTTAATGATTGTATAGAGATAACAGTACTATAATAAATAAGTTAAATGTTAGAAACATCAACATAAACTAAACAAAGATAATTTCTGACCATCCATAACTTTTTCTAGTTGGCACTGTTTTGATTGCCCAAGAGTACTTAGTGGAAGGCTGCTTGCTGTTCCAACTAAAACAATATTTCAAGGATATGAAAAAGTGTGTAAATTGAGTTTCACTTAAATTATTTCACAATAAAAGTGATTCATAAAAGTTGATTAGTCCGGGCATGGTGGTTCACGCCTGTAATCCCAGCACTTTGGGAGGCAGAGGTGGGCAGATCCCTTGAGTCCAGGAGTTCTAGACCAGCCTGGGCAACGTGGTGAAACCATCTCTACAAATACAAAAAAATTAGCCAGGTGTGCTGGTGCATGCCTGTGGTCCCAGCTATTTGAGAGGGTGAGGTGGGAAGATCACCTAAGCCTGGGACTCGGAGGTTGCAGTGACAGTGAGCCGCGATCGTGCCACTGCACTCCAGCCTGGGTGACAGAGTGAAACCCTGTCTAAAAATAAAAATTTAAAAAAGAAAGAAAGAAAAAAAGGCTACGCACGGTGGCTCACGCCTGTAATCCCAGCACTTTGGGAGGCTGAGGCGGGCGGGTCACGAGGTCAGGAGTTCGAGACCAGCCTTACCAACATGGTGAAACCCCATCTCTACTAAAAATATAAAAATTAGTCGGGCGTGGTGGTGTGCACCTACAATCCCAGCTACTCAGGAGGCTGAAGCAGGACAATTGCTTGAACCTGGGAGGTGGAGGTTGCAGTGTGCCCAGATCGCACCATTGCACTCCAGCCTGGGCAACAGAGCAAGACTCCATCTGAAAAAAAAGTTGACCCTGGGAAAAAAAAAAAAATTGACCTGGCGTGGTGGCTCATGCCTGTAATCCCAGCACTTTGGGAAGCCAAGGTGGGTGAATCACCTGAGGTCAGGAGTTCGAGACCAGCCTGACCAACATGGTGAAACCCCATCTCCACTAAAAATACAAAATTAGCTGGGCGTGGTGGCACATGCCTGTAATTTCAGCTACTTGGGAGGCTGAGGCAGAAGAATTGCTTGAATCCGGGAGGGAGAGGTTGCAGTGAGCCAAGATTGTGCCACTGCACTCCGGCCTGGGCAACAAGAGTGAAACTCTGTCTCAAAAAAAAAAAAAAAAAGAAAAAAAAAGTTGATCTTCTCTCACCTTTTATCAGCTTAAAAAAAATCTAAAGGCTATTTATGTAACCCAGTTTGTCAATGGTTAGCTCTGTAATCTGAGGGCAAATACTTATCCTTAGATTTATCTCTGAAATAAATCACATAATTTGTAAAGTGACTTCCAACTCTAAAATTCCATGACTATTTGTATTTTACTAGGTACATGCTACTTGATTTCTTTGCATTGAAGCTATCTAAATCAGGAAGGATGCACAGCAAATAAAAATGCCTTAGTCCCACTGACGAGCAGAAAAGAAACACACACACATACATATTTTAGGAATATATATTTTTAAAAGGATTCAATAATCTTTTTAAAGCAAAATCAAAGTATGGCTACAGGAGGAGAGGAAATATCCAAATTGTAATCAATGCAGATTGTTTACTTAAGGCCTTATATTTGTACCTGTATAAATACCATATCACAGCACAAAAACATACCCCATCTGGCTCTCTTAAGGTACATGATAAATCAGACTAATGCACATTCATCAAAGTGGCATCATCTCAGGATATGTGCATATTTGACGTGGGTATGAATTCAGGGTTTCCTTGGGTCTCTTTCAAGGACTCTCCTTTCTCGTCGGTATTTCTATTTCCTTATTTTCCTTCTGTTTATGAAGAACTGTTATTTTTATATTTAATGCCCAATTTTCACTACTTGTTCATGTCAGTTCTCTGAAATGTTACTGCCTATGAACCGTGACATGTACTCTTTATAACAGAACCAGAAGTTAAAAGATGTAGACATCACACAAATCAATGATTATTTTAAAAATAGAAAACAATGATAAAAATTCAGTTGCCAACTTAGAGGATTTTATACATTATGAAGTGTTCTATTTTCCTTCCAGGGTCTGAAATTTATTTCTCAAGAAAACAGATTTTATTTCTAAGCCTTTACTATCTTTGCTAGAAACAGAAAAACCAGTTTTCTCTTTGACAAAATTGTCCCAGGAGAACAACACAAATGCTTTTTCCAAATTAGAGCATAAGTCTTCCTTAAATGTCCTAGTGTGACAATAAGGATACAACAGCCATCTTTTAAATGTCATGAAGGCTATTGTTAAGACGGTGTTTTTGGCCGTTTTGCAGATGGTCCATCGAAGTTAGTTCTGTTATCAATGTTATTTTCATCTTCTGCATCATCTTCATCATCACCTTTTAAAATAAATATTTGTTGTATGACAATACGTTCTATGGCTGAAAGAAATATATATAGCTAAAGTGGTTGATAATGAGACCATTTCACTTTAGGGATTAATAAAACCTGCACATTTTAGATTAAAATGATTTTGAGAATTTCAGTGTTTAAAATCTTTATTTTCTATCACTTTCCTCTTTGGAAATATTAGTTCATTCACCATAAAATCCACTCTTTTTTTCTTTTTTTTTGAGATAGTCTTGCTCTGTCGCCAGGCTGGAGTGCAGTGGCACGATCTCAGCTTACTGCAACCTCCGCCTCCGGGGTTCAAGCGATTCCTCTGTCTCAGCCTCCCAAGTAGCTGGGATTACAGGCACGCGCTACCACGCCCGGCTAATTTTTTGCATTTTAGTAGAGATGGGGTTTCACCATGTTGGCCAAGATGGTCTTGTTCTCCTGACCTCGTGATCCGCCCGCCTCGGCCTCCCAAAGTGCTGGGATTACAGGTATGAACCATTGTGGCTGGCCAAAATCCACTCTTTTAAAAAGTGTACGGCCTAGTGGTTTTTAGTATATTCACTAGCTTGTGCAACCATCACCTAGAACACTTTCATCACTCCAAAGAGAAATGATATGCCCATTAGCAGTCGCTTTCCATTCCCCTCAGCCTTCGGCAACCACTAATCTACTTTTTTTCCCCCTTATTAGAGATAGGGTCTTGCTATGTTGCCCAGCTAGACTCAAACTCCCAGGTTCAAGTGATCCTCCTGTCTCAGCCTCTAGAGTAGCTGGGACTACAGGTGCCCACCACTGCACCTGGCTCACTAATCTACTCTATCTCTATGGATTTGCCTATTCTGTACATTCATATAAACAAAATCATGCAACATGTACCCTTTTGTGTCTGGCTCTCACTTAGCATAATGTTTTCAAGGTTCATTCATGTTGTAGCACATGTTAATACTTCATTACTTTTTATTGCTAATAATAGTCCATTGTATGGATATACCACATTTTGTTAATGCACTCATCGGTTGATGGATATTTGCATTATTTCTATTTTTTAAAATTATCATTTTTAGAGATGAAGAGATGAGGCCTCACTCTGTCCTCCAGGCTGGAGTGCAGTGGAGCAATCAGCCCACTGCAGCTTCAAACTCTTGGGTTCACATGATCCTCCCACCTCCTAAAGGCGCAACACCAAGCCCAGCCAATTGTTGTTTCCACGTTTTAGCTACTATAAATGCTGCTGTTATCAACATTCATGCGTAAGTTTTTGTGTGAACATACGTTTCCAGTTTTCTTGGGAGGACTACCAGTGGAACTGCTGGGTCATATGGTAACTTCATGTCAACTTTTTGAGGAGCTACCAAACTCTTTTTCCCAGTGGTTACACTGTTTTACATTTCCACCAACAATGTACAAGGTCTCCAATTTCTTCACATTCCAGCCAACACTTGTTATTGTTCTTTTTGATTATAGCCAACATCCATATTATCAAGATGTATTTCCCAAGATGGAAGGAAAGTACAGTTTAAGCTCTTCTTACATAATTGTAAATCCTGACTCTAATATCTAGTTCTTGGGTTTTTCAGCTCAGGACGGTTAAAATGTACCTGCCTGGCCAGGTGTGGTGGCTCACGCCTGTAATCCCAGCACTCTGGGAGGCTGAGGCGGGTGGATCACGAGGTCAGGAGTTCGGGACCAGCCTGGCCAACACAGTGAAACCCTGTCTCTACTAAAAATACAAAATTAGCTGGGAGTGGGGGCGGGTGCCTGTAATCCCAGTTACTCCGGAGGCTGAGACAGGAGAATCGCTTGAACCGGGGAGGGAGAGGTTGCAGTGAGCCAAGGTTGTGCCACTGCACTCAAGCCTGAGTGACAGAGCTAGACTCCATCTCAAAAAAAAAAAAAAGTACCTGCCTATTTCTGCATTCGAGGCAATTTTTTAAAAATAATGCAGTTAAACTTCATGTTTCTACTTTCAAACTGCACCTACAAAACTGGAAAGGCAAGGGAGTCTCTGGGAGTTAATACGTGATAAAATGAAGTCTGTCCCAGTCTTTGGAACCTGTTCCTACTCTGCGATAGATTGTACTCTTCCAAGTATGTCTGTAGTTTCACACCTGATAAAACTCCTTTTTATTCAACACCCAGCTCAAAAGTCTTATCCTTTCTGAAGACTTCCTAGGGTGTCTGGGTTTGCAACAGTTACAGAGGACCACAGAACCACTTTCACTTTTTTTTTCTTTTTTTTTGAGACGGAGTCTCGCTCTGTCGCCCACGATAGAGTGCAGTGGCGCGATCTCGGCTCACTGCACCCTCTGCCTCCAGGGTTCAAGCGATTCTTCTGCCTCAGCCTCCCGAGTAGAGTAGCTGGGACTACAGGAGCATGCCACCACGCCCAGCTAATTTTTGTATTTTTAGTAGAGACAGGGTTTCACCATATTGGCCAGGCTTGTCTCGAACTCCTGACCTCGTGATCTGCCTGCCTCGGTCTCCCAAAGTGCAGGGATTACAGGCGTGAGCCACCAGCCCGGACCACTTCCACTTTTAATAAGAGTGTCTGCCTGTCTAGTCCCCTTGTGTTTCACAAGGGCAGGAACTGAGTCGCATTCACCTCATTCTTCCTCCAGGGCTCAGCTCAGGGTTTGGCACATAATAGTAGGCATTCGACACGTTTTTTTGTGAAATAAACGAAATAGCGATGAGTTGTGGAAACGCTTGAGTAGAAGCAGCCCAAATAAATATAGTGATAAATGCCAACAATTTTTATTTTTTAAATTATTTTAAAAATAATAATAGAAACGGGGTCTCGATATGTTGCCCTGGCTGTTCTGGAACTCCTGACCTCAAGTGATCCTCCTGCCTCGCCCTCCCAAAGTGCTGGGATTACAGGCGTGAGCCCCACTTCGCCTAGCCCGCCAAAAATTTTTAGATGCAATTCTTCTTTCCTCGAGGCTCACTTTGTCCAAGTCTGCCACTCTACACGGGCTCCCCAAGCCAATTTCCCCTGGGCGCCCGCCCCGTCCTCCGGTCACTGCAGCACCGTCTCAGAGCTCACCGTCCAAGTCCTCGTCTGGAGCCGCCGCCACCCGGTGCTGCACTTCCCCCTGTACCAGAGGGTCGAATAATTCCGTTACCATGTCCTTCATCTGGGCCACGCCAGACAACAGGCCCTGGAAAGGGTCGCCGTCACCCGGCGCCTCACAGGACACCCGCAGCTTCTGCGGCTTCCCTTCCTGCCCGACGTACTCTCCCAGCAGCTCCATGGTGACCGCTAAGCTTCCAGAACACGACACCGGGAAGCGCCACCCGGAGGCGGAAATCAGCCCGCGTCCGGCGCAGGCGGGAGAAGGGAGAGGAGTGACATCCGTTTGTCGGAAGTCGCTCCTCCCCCTTCCTTCGCTTTTTTTCCTTGTCATTGGTTCCTGGCACTCGGGCCCCACCTCCTCCGGCTACGCCCCTCACGGCCGCTTTTCCCGCCTCCGCCGGGGCCGAGCCGCTGTTCGGCTGACAGTTGAGGATGGCCGGAGCCGAGGGCGCCGCTGGGCGGCAGTCGGAGCTGGAGCCCGTGGTATCGTTGGTCGACGTCCTTGAGGAGGACGAGGAGCTGGAGAATGAGGCGTGCGCTGTCCTGGGCGGCAGCGACTCCGAGAAGTGCTCCTACTCTCAGGTGGGCGCGCGGCCCGGGCCTCCTCTCCCCCGGCTCCCGCCGAACCTCCCCTTCCCGGCCCGGCTGTCCCTATTCCCGCCTTGCCGCAGTCGTCTCCCCAGTGGTGGTCCGGGGCCGCCGTTAGTCTGCCGCTTCCTCACCCCAAGCTCACCCTTCCCTTTTAACCCCAACCTCCTGGGCCCCCTTCAGCCTGTGTCCAGCAGGGGCCCCCCTCTCCCCTGTCTCCAACTCTGTCCGGCCCGCCAGGAAGGGCCCTGGAGCAGCTGCTCTGTCCGTCCTCTCCAGCCTCTTCTTGGTGCACCACTGCTTTTCACGAAACCACCCCGCGACCTCTCAGATCCAGACATCTTTGTCCCTGATTTTCCCATCCTAAGATTATTTATTTATTTATTTATTAGGGACCGAATGGGAGAGTCAGGTTAAAGAGATTTTCAAATCCATAGGGATTTGCGGTGAGCTCCTTGACAGCTAGTTCCTCTGCAATTTAGTTGGACAAGTGCTAGCTAGTACTTTTTCTTTCTTTCTTTTTTTGGCAAAATGAAGCAAGTACCCATGTCTATCTGCAGTCTGCCCCCCTCCCCTGGAAATAGACCGGAAACAGAACAGCAAGTGGCTCTGGCAAGGGAGGGGAGAGAGGAGAAAAGGATCTGTTTGGCATTTGGAAGACGTTGTGAGTGAGCAAGTGTTTGAGGGGGTGTGATGTGGTGTTTAGTGACTCACCCTACACTTCGAGGTACAAAAATGGAAAAGGATGGGTAGGAAGAAGACTGACAAAGGATGAGAATTGGTAGGAAGAAGGGTTACCTAGGAAGAGGGGTGGATTGGAACACTGGGGAGATGAGGGGAGAGACTTGTATTCATTATGTGGTATGAACTGAGATCATAATACCAGTTCTCGTTGTTGACCAAGGTTAGTTTACACTGCAAAGTGCTAGATTGTTGAATAAACCTGGTATCCAGACATAGCCCCAGGTATTTTAAAACCTTTGGTCACCACTAAAACAATTTTTCCCCTGCTTTACTTAAAAAAAAAAAAAAGAAAAAAGTTATGTCTATATGTAAACTATTTTTGAAGTGTAGTTACCTTTATAAAATGGATTCCTTAATATTTTCTTTGTGGTAAAAAAAAAAATACGGAAATTTGCACAAATCATGTACACAGCTTGAAAGGAAAGTGTGCGTGTTCCCACAACCCAGATCAACAAATAGAACATTAGGAGTGCAAAAGGCTTATTGGAATAGAACTTTAAAAAAAAAAGAAAGAAAAAGAAATAGAACCTTACTGGCATCCCGGAAGCCTCCTTATCTATCTTCCTCCTTCCTAGAGGAAGGTAACTATACCTCTTATACATATTCACTTTTTTTTTCTTTTTGAGATGGAATTTCACTCTTGCCACCCAGGCTGGAGTGCAATGTCATGATCTCTGCTCACTGCAACCTCCACCTCCTGGGTTCAAGTGATTCTCCTGTCTTAGCCTCCCAAGTAGCTGGGATAACAGGCGCCCGCCATCACGTCCAGCTAATTTTTGTATTTTTAGTGGATGGGGTGTTCTAGAGATGAGGTTTTCACCACGTTGACCAGGTTGGTCTTGAACTCCTGACCTCAAGTGATCTGCCCACCTCGGCCTCCCAAAGTGCTGGGATTACAGGCGTGAGCCACCGTGCCCAGCCTACATATTCACTTTTTAACATTTTGTCACATTTGTTTTATCTCCTTTTCTACTTAAAATTTGCTGTTTTAAAATTTTGAACTATTTAAAAATAAGTTGCAGACACGATGACACTATACCTCTAAATACTTCAGCAGGCATCTCCTAAAAATCAAAGGGATTCTTTGCATGTGTTGATTCTTTCTTTGGTAGATTTACAAACATTTTCCAGGATGAAAGTGTGATGTTACTTACATAAACCTGTACATATGCTCCTGTGTTTTCACATATTAAAATGATTAAACAGATCCATTTATTCACAGCTGATTGACAAATTCAGACTTCCTATCACTTTAAGAAAGAAGTGCTGGCTTGTGTCGTGGCTAATGCTTGTAATCCCAGCACTTTGGAAGGCCAAGGCAGAGAATTGCTTGAGCCCAGGAGTTTGAGACCAGCCTGGGCAACATAGCAAGACCTTATCTCTGCAAAAAATAAATAAGGAAGAAAGAAAAAAGTGCTTGCATGAAAAAAAGCACTAGTATAAAAATGAAACTTGCAACGCAACTGTGTTTTGGTTGATGCTCTGTTGTGTAAACTTTTTAGTCTTAATGGTTTTTACAGAAAGATCTTGACCACAGATAATCTGATTTTAATTATTTTTCAGTTCCTAGTGTGGGTATTAGGTAAACCATGCTACTACATTAATTCTCTTTTCCATTTTGGGGGCTTTCAGGGCTCAGTAAAGAGACAAGCACTATATGCCTGTAGTACCTGCACCCCAGAGGGAGAAGAACCAGCAGGAATTTGTTTAGCTTGCAGTTATGAATGTCATGGAAGTCACAAACTATTTGAGCTATACACAAAAAGGTAAACATAGTCAAGAGATTGTTACTAAATGCTTTTGAAGTATAGATTCTTTCCCATCTACACTTTTTCCTAATCTTGTTTTTTCATGCAAAGCAGTTGAACACTAATGAAATTAATTAATTAATTTATTTATTTATTTATTTTGAGACGGAGTCTTGCTCTGTCACCCAGGCTGGAGTGCAGTGGTGTGATCTAGGCTCACTGCAAGCTCCGTCTCCCGGGTTCACGCCATTCTCCTGCCTCAGCCTCCCGAATAGCTGGGATTAAAGGCTCCCACCACCACGCCCAGCTAATTTTTTGTATTTTTAGTAGAGACGGTGTTTCACCGAGTTAGCCAGGATGGTCTCGATCTCCTGACCTCGTGATCCGCCCGCCTCAGCCTCCCAAAGTGCTGGGATTACAGGCGTGAGCCACCTCGCCCAGCACTAATGAAATTTAATGTAATTATTTTATATAATTGGAGAGAGTTGTTTCTAGAGCCTTTAAAAACATAATATGGTACAAACTCAAACCATTTATCTTTCCCTGCCATCATTTTACTTGTGTGTTTGTATGTGATATAAATATTTGCTTTTGTACATATTAATTTCCCGAATTGTGAAGTCTTACTATGTGCTTGAATGCTTGAAGAAATTTTAAATTGGATTTTGTAAAAAGAAAAATAAAATTGTTATTTCCTCCTTTTTTCAGAAATTTTCGTTGTGATTGTGGAAACAGCAAGTTTAAAAATTTGGAATGCAAATTACTTCCTGTAAGTAAGCACTGTAACTATAAATGCATTTAGAGCAGCTGAGGTTAATATTTGCCAGAGTGGGTAAAAAAACAAATACCTGTATTTTCCAAAAAAAGAAGTTCTTATGCTTATTCTTTGCAGATGGCCATTTCATTTTTTACTTTGTTAGAAAAACTATATAAACTGTTGAGAGCCTACAAGATAGATGGTAATTAATATGAAAGGTTTGGGGGAGAGATGTACTTGAAAGTAATTCAGGTTTAATTATATTGGTTGTACTTATTCTCTGAGGCTTTTAAATCAGCGGATATGACTTAAAAACAATAAATAGGGTCAAGAGATCGAGACCATCCTGGCCAACATGGTGAAACCCTGTCTCTACTAAAAATACAAAAATTAGCTGGGCATGGTGGCACCCAGTCATCTACTCGGTCAGCTACTTGGGAGGCTGAGGCAGGAGAATTGCTTGAACCCAGGAGGCGGAGGTTGCAGTGAGCCGAGATTGCGCCACTGCACTCCAGCTGGCAACAGAGCAAGACTCCATCTCAAAACAAACAAACAAAAACAATAAATAGGCCGGGCACGGTGGCTCACACCTGTAATCCTAGCACTTTGGGAGGCCGAGGCAGGTGGATCACTTGAGGTCAGGAGTTCAAAACCAGCTTGGCCATCATGGTGAAACCCCCCCGTACTAAAAATACAAAAAATTATCTGGGCATGGTGGTGCGTGCCTGTAATCCCAGCTACTTGGGAGGCTGAGGCAGGAGAATCGCTTGAACCCAGGAGGCGGAGGTTGCAGTTACCCGAGATTGTGCCACCGCACTCCAGCCTGGGCGACAGAGCGAGACTCCATCTCAAAAAAAAAAGAAAAAGAAAAACCAATAAATAAGGCTGGGCGTGGTGGCTCATACCTGTAATCCCAACACTTTGGGAGGCCTAGGTGGGAGAATGGCTTGAACCCAGACCAGCCTGGGCATCATAGTGAGACCCCATCTCTATCAAAAAGAAAAAAGAAGTACCTTGAAATTCCAGGCCAATATCAGTTCACATAGATTGATAATTAATATTTATGATTAACTTTTATCTCCATTTTATTGAATAGGTGTATTTAATTTCTCCTAATTACCACAAAAAAAAACAAAAAAAAATTATTTTTTCCCTGTGTCCTGAAAAAAGTATCCCTTTAGTGGTAGTGAGTTTTTTTTTTCCTACTTTGAAAATTAAAGATCAGCCTCTTGGGGGAAATAATGTGGAAATGTATTGAATGCATAAATTTTATAATGTGTGAAATTATAGTTAAAATTAGACCATATTATTATTGAAATCAATATTATATTTCAGGACAAAGCAAAGGTAAATTCTGGCAATAAGTACAATGACAACTTTTTTGGATTGTACTGCATTTGCAAGAGACCTTATCCTGATCCTGAAGACGAGGTAAGAGAATTGGAAGTTAAACCTGGGGGTGTGTCCCCTCTAGCCTTGATTCCTCAACTGCTTGTCATATCCGAGCCTCTGGCTCTTCAAGAGGCAGTGTGGGATGGTGAAAGGGCTCTAGATTTATCTTTTCTTATGAATCTGGGTTGGATCTATAATTGGTACACATCTCAACCATTCTTTTCATTTTTACATCATAAGAATGAAATATTGGAGAGGACTTTCCCAAAGCCAGAGCTTCTTCCCTTCCTCTCCTTCCCTGACTGCCTCCCCCAGTCCCCAAACACTTTCTAAGAAATGACCTTCAACTTCTTTTGTCTCTTTACGGAAAAAAATGGGGTATACAAACAGCATCCTCTTAAAAACGTCAATGAGAAGTATATGCAAAATTCAAAACGAGTTCTTCCTCACTTCTGCACCTCTTACCTCCCAGGCATAACCACTGTTAACACTTTTGGTGTGTATATTTTTAGTCCTTTTTCTGTGCACATAGAAGTGTTTGAGTGAATGTGTGTTTCAATGTGTAGTTTCCTTTCTATTAACAGAAGTGAAAATTCTGTACACTCACTTCTGCAGCTGGCTTTTCTCACCAGTATATCATAGACATTCTTTCATGTCAACAAAACACACTTACCCCCTTCTAACTGCTGCAGAGTATCCTATAATTTCATATGCCATAAGTTAGTCAACCTGATTGTTCTTCTACAGCAGAATGGCATTGTGTAATTTTTCAATATTATAAAGAAAGCTAGAGTGAACATCCTCATACAGTAATACAACTGAGTATACTCCAAGTATTTATGTAGAATGGATCGGTATAATTGACGGATCAAAGTGTATTTGTGGCATTTAAAATTGTGATTGGCTGGGCACTGTGGCTTATGCCTGTAGTCCTGGCTACGCGGGAGGCTGAGACACAAGAATCACTTGAACCCATGGGGCAGAGGTTGCAGTAAGCTGGGATTGCGGCACTGCACTCCAGCCTGGGTGACAGAGCGAGACCCTGTCTCAAAAAATAATAATCATAATAAATAATAAAATAAAATTGTGATCATATCTGCCAAAAAAGTTGTACCAGCAACAGTATATGATAGTGTTTTTTCCCCAACACTTTTGTCAACCTTGCATATTACCAGTTCTTGAAAATTTTGCCATTCTGATAAATGAAGAATAGTATCTTTTTTTTCATTTTTTTTTTCAGACGGAGTCTCGCTCTGTCACCCAGGCTGGAATGCAGTGGCGCGATCTCGGCTCACTGCAAGTTCCACCTCCCGGGTTCATGCCATTCTCCTGCCTCAGCCTCCTGAGTAGCTGGGACTACAGGTGCCCGCCACCACGCCCAGCTAATTTTTTGTAATTTTAGTAGAGTCAGGGTTTCACCGTGTTAGCCAGGATGGTCTCAATCTCCTGACCTCATGATCCGCCTGCCTCGGGCTCCCAAAGTGCTGGGATTACAGGCGTGAGCCACCGCGCCCAGCCAAAGAATAGTATCTTAAATTTTTTTTTCTTTCCCTGATGATAAGTGAGGTTATGCATCTTTTCATAAGTTCATTGGACATCCATAATAACCTTCTCTCTGAATTGTCCTTTCATATCCTCAGTCCATGTTTTGATTGGTTTGGGTTTTGTCTGGGTATTTACCGATTTGAAAGAGTACTTTTTGTCTTTAGAGATATTAGTCTTCTGCCTTCTTCCTTGCTTTCTAATTGCGTTGGAACTATAATTATTGAACCAAATTATATAGAGGGACAGATTGAAAGTCTCTTTGAGTTAACAAAAATAAAACCTTAAAACTGGATTTTTTTTTTCTTTTTTTTAAGACGGAGTTTCGCTCTGTCACCCAGGCTGGAGTACAGTAGTGCGATCTCAGCTCACTGCAACCTCTGCCTCCCAGGTCCAAGCGATTCTTCTGCCTCAGCCTCCTGAGTAGCTGGGATTACAGGCACTCGCCACCATGCCCGGCTAATTTGTGTATTTTTAGTAGAGACAGGATTTCAGCATGTTGGCCAGGCTAGTCTTAAACTTCTGACCTCAGGCGATCCACCCACCTTGGCCTTCCAAAGTGCTGGGATTATAGGCGTGAGCCACCACGCCCAGCCAAAACTGGATATTTTAAGGCATGTGGTAAAGTGTTACAGCTCCTCCTGTTCCACAATATGTGCTTTTTTATTCCCTTTAAGAAGCCTACGATAGGAAAAGGACAGAACAACATTGGGATGTTAATTAACAGTTATGAGAGCCTGGGAGTAAAAGAAAATCATCCCCAAAATAGTCTATGTCCTTTGGTATATTATTTTCCTAGGGCCAGCATTTAATTATTTAATTTATTCAAATTAGAGGAGTTATCTATCGAGGTTTTTCATAACATTTACTTTTCAGTGTACTTGGCAGGATGGTTCTTCTGCAGCAGAAAGGCATTGTCTAATTTTTCAATATTATAAAGAAGGCTGGAGTGAACATCCTTATACAGTAATACAACTGAATATTGTATTAAAGGATGGTGTGGTAAAAAGTCCCAGTTGTCACTGTCTGCACTGGTCCATTCACATTACTTGCCTGGGCCTGAGTTTTGTATAAAATGGGAATGCCCTCCTTGTCTACACAGTTTTGTGAGAATCAGATATTAAGTAATGGATGTGAAAGAGCCTTGAGATTGTTTGTAAAGTGCTTATCTCAATGTAAGCCTTTGGAACACCAGTTCATGTAGAACAAATATTTAGTATCTTATTTTACTGTGTGCCAGGTTATTTCCATGTTCCCGAATTCAATGTAATCCTTAACAAACTGCTTTTCTCTGTTAGATTCCAGATGAGATGATCCAGTGCGTAGTCTGTGAAGACTGGTTCCATGGAAGGGTAAGGAAAATGTTCCACCTTTTGAAACCATTGTTGTCACAAAAAGATAAAGGTTATATTTTACATTATAATTAGTCTTCTAAAAATAAATTCTAATGATATGATCAGTGTATTATTACAGTATTTATAAAATAATGGGCATTTTGGACAATTTGGCAATCACAAGAAAATTTTTGGTGTTCTATATTCACAGCATCTTGGTGCCATTCCCCCTGAGAGTGGGGATTTTCAGGAGATGGTATGCCAGGCCTGCATGAAACGTTGTTCTTTTTTGTGGGCTTATGCTGCACAATTGGCAGGTAGGTATCTTTGTGAAGTTGGTGTGCCACAAACTTGTGCTTGTGAAATTTGTATGTTCAATTCAGAATTTTTAGCAACTATTTTTAACTGGGCTCTGTGGTTATAAAATAGTATATGTTCTGGCCAGGCATGGTGGCTCACGCCTGTAATCCCAGCACTTTGGGAGGCCAACAAGACAGATGGATCACCTGAGGTCAGGAGTTCGAGACCAGCCTGGCCAACATGGCGAAACCCCATCTCTACTAAAAATATGAAAATTAGCCTGGCGTCACGGCGCTTGCCTGTAATCCCAGCTACTCCAGAGGCTGAGGCAGGAGAATCACTTGAACCCAGGAGGCAGAGGTTGCAGTGAGCCGAGATCACGTCACTGCAGTCCAGCCTGGGCAATAGAACAAGACTCCATCCTCAAAAAAAAAAAAAAAAAAAAAGAATAGTATGTGTTCTTTCTCCACAAGGTGCATAGATTTGTTGGGATACTACCAAAAACAAATTTATACTTAAATGATATGATGCAGAGTATTGATGAGACCAGAGTTAGAGAATGGAGGAGGCAGTTTTTGAATGGGATTTTGAAAGATAAATAGAACTGAAATAAGTTGTTAATTCTAACACATGGTATCAGTTGGGGAGGAGGTGGTGTCTTAGTCTGTCTGGGGTGCTAAAACAAAATACCTTAGGCTGGGTAATTTATAAACAATAGACAGATATTTCTCACAGTTCTGGAGACTGGGAAGTCCAAAATTCAGGTGCCCGCAGAGTCAGTGTTTGGTTGAGGGCCCATTCCTCATAGACAGATCCTTCTACGTGTCCGTACCTGTTAAAAGGGGCAAACAAGCTCGCTTGGGCCTCTTTTATAAGTCAGAGCCCTCGTGAATGGGATTAGTGCCTTTATAAAAGTGGACTACAGGCACACACTACCATGCCCTGCTAATTTTGTATTTTCTGTAGAGACAGTGTTTCACCATGTTGCCCAGGCTGGTCTTGAACTCCTGAGCTCAAGTGATCCACTCATCTTGGCTTCCCAGACTGCTGGGATTACAGGCATGAGCCACCATGCCCAGTCTATCTGGTGCTTTTATTATACACTAAGAAATTAAATCAAAACAACTAATTAATGAATGGTCCTGAGGCATTAACTATCTTATTGGTAATGCTTTATGTATTTCTTTATTTTTAAGGTGGCAGTTACTCATGGTATCTGCTGCTTAGGCTTCATAATTTCTTGCCTTTCTCATCTTTAGAGACCAGTTCACCATACAAACCATGAGCAGCATAGCCATACCTCTGATCTCATCCTACAGTTTAGATTTGCCTTAGAGTTCTTTTGTTTTTCTGCCTTTTTTTTTTTTTTGAGACAGAGTCTCACTGTGTTATCCAGGCTGGAGTACAGTGGTGCTATCTCGGCTCACCTCAACCTTGCCTCCTGGGTTCAAGCGATTCTTGTGACGCGGCTTCCAGAGTAGCTGGGACTACAGGCACATGCCACCACACCTGGCAAATTTTTGTATTTTTAGTAGAGACAAGGCTTTTACCATGTTGGCCAGGCTGGTCTCAAACTCCTGATGTCAAGTGATCCACCCGCCTCGGTCTCCCAAAGTGCTGGGATTACAGGCATGAGCCACCACGCCCGGCCAGTTTGCCTCAGAGTTCTTAAGTGCTGCTCCCTTTCTGTTCACACCCTTTCCAGTGATCTCTCTCACTGTCCACAGATGCTGAACCTATCTATGTGTAGTTCTCATTCATTGGGTTTTTTTGTTTTTTCAAGACGGAATCTTGCTCTGTTGCCCAGGCTGGAGTGCAGTGGCACAATCTCTGCTCACTGTAACCTATGCCTCCTGGGTTCAGGCAATTCTCCTGCCTCAGCCTCCCAAGTAGCTGGGATTACAGGCATGCACCAGCATGCCTAGCTAATTCTTCTATTTTTAGTAGAGAAGGGGTTTCACCATGTTGGCCAGGCTGGTCTCGAACTCCTGACCTCAGGTGATCCACCCACCTTGGCCTCCCAGAGTGCTGTGATTACAGGTGTGAGCTACCATACCCAGCTTAATTGGGTTTTTTAAATTGATCTCCTGCCTCTCCCTTCATTTCCTCTCCCATCAGCAGATGGCTTCATCTCCTATTACATTGAAATGCTGGCATCCAATGTGAGCTCCCCTATCGTTTCTCTTCTCTGTCTCAGAGTATATCTGCCACTACACCCATCATTTTTTTTATTTCTTCCTCCCATAAAGAAAAGCTGTTTTTAAAAAATTACCCTTCTGTCTGTGTTTACAATTCAATCTCTTCCTCCTGCTTCTTGTATTATTCTGTCTCTAACAAGTACAGTACAATATTTTCTCCTTTATGTGTAAAGTGCTTAAGCAGTGATTGATATTTTCAAATAAACTGTTTAATTATTTGAATTCTTTGGGTTAGGCAGACATAACCTAAAGAAGCGTTGGAATTTTCTTTCTCAGTATTTCGGAGACTACGGTGGACTAATCTCTTTTTCCAGATTCTGAAATATTTTAATATCAGAAAAAGTGATTTTAGGTCAGATGTGGTGGCTCATGCCTGTAATCCCAGCACTTTGGGAGGCCGAGGCAGGTGGATCACCTGAGGTCAGGAGTTCCAGACCAGCCTGACCAACATGGAGAAACCCCATCTCTACTAAAAATAAAAAATAGCCAGGCATGCTGGTGCATGCCTGTAATCCCAGCTACTCAGGGGGCTGAGGCAGGAGAATTGCCTGAACCCAGGAGGTGGGGGTTGCAATGAGCCAAGATCACGCCATTGCACTCCAGCCTGGGCAACAAGAGCGAAACTCTATCTCAAAAAAAAAAAAAAAATAGCAAAAGCTATTGTATGCCTGATGTGGTGGCTCACACCTGTAATCCCAGCACTTTGGGAGGCTGAGGCAGGCAGATCACTTGACATCAGGAGTTCAAGACCAGCCTGGCCAACATGGCGAAACCCCGTCTCTACTAAAAATACAAAAAATTAGCCAGTCATGGTGGCACGCACCTGTAGTCCCAGCTACTCGGGTGGCTGAGGCATGAGAATTGCTTGAACCTGGGAGACAGAGGTTGCAGTGAGTCAAGACCATGCCACTGCACTCCAGTGTGGACGACAGAGTGAGACTCTGTCTGTAAAAAAAAAAAATAATAATAATAGAATAAGTGATTTTATTGTCTGTTGGGATTTTATTGTCCGTTAGGTCAGTGGATATGTGTGTATGTGTTTTTCTTTTTCTTTGAACTCACAGTAACCAAAATATCCACTGAGGATGATGGATTGGTGCGGAACATTGATGGAATAGGTGATCAGGAAGTTATCAAACCTGAAAATGGAGAGCATCAAGATAGTACCCTCAAAGAGGATGTTCCAGAACAGGGAAAGGATGATGTCCGGGAGGTTAAAGTAGAGCAGAACAGTGAACCATGTGCCGGCTCTAGTTCTGAATCTGATCTCCAGGTAATGTGTGAAGTACGAGCCATCAAGAAATAAGACTGGGCCAGGCGCGGTGGCTCATGCCCATAATCCCAGCACTTTGGGAGGCTGAGGTGGCGGATCACCTGAGGTCACGGGTTTGAGACCAGCCTTGGCAACATGGGTAAACCTCATCTCTACTAAAATTACAAAAACTAGCCAGGCATGGTGGCACATGCCTGTAATCCCAGCTACTCAGGAGGCTGAGGCAGGAGAATTGCTTGAACCCAGGAGGCGGAGGTTACAGTGATCCGAGATCATGCCACTGCACTCTAGCCTGGGCAACAGAATGAGATTCCGTCTCAAAAAAAAAAAAGAAAACTGAAGTGGAATTAATTCTGTAAACTTATGGCTTTGGATTTCAATTTTATCCTTTGCCTAAAGAAATCTCTTTACAAAATCTAAACTATGAAAACTATGGTAGTTTAAAAAACATGCTTCAAAACTTAATTTTATTTCAGACAGTGTTTAAGAATGAAAGCCTCAACGCAGAATCAAAATCTGGCTGCAAACTTCAGGAGCTTAAAGCTAAGCAGCTTATAAAGAAAGACACTGCCACCTATTGGCCCCTGAACTGGCGTAGCAAGTTGTGTACCTGCCAAGACTGTATGGTAAAGTATCTGATTGTGCTCAGTGTTAGCATGTTTTGTGTACTGGTGCCCCAAAATAAGAACACCTGGGGAAAACATTCAATTTTTGTACCAGAGGAAGAAAGGAAAATAAAAAGAACACCTGAACAATATATTTATGAAATTAATGTTTAGGAGACCCTCCAAATTTTTACATTAAGCAAATTTATGACATAGTACTTACAGTTGGAATGTTTGTGGAAGAAATGGATAATTATGCAGTATTTTAAATTTACTTATTTTAATTTTAGTTTACTTATCTTTGTTATATCAAAGTTGCTTGGAAACACTGGTTGAAAGTTATAGTAAATTGGCCAGGTGCTTTGGCTCACGCCTGTAATCCCAGCACTCTGGGAGGCCAAGTTAGGTCTCGATCACCTGAGGTCAGGAGTTCGAGACCAGCCTGACCAACATGGTGAAATCCTGTCTGTACTAAAAATACAAAATTAGCTGGGTGTGGTGGCACATGCCTGTAATCCCAGCTCCTTGGGAGGCCAAGGCAGGAGAATCGCTTGAACCCAGAAGGCGGAGGTTGCAATGAGTCGAGATCATGCCATTGCACTCCAGCCTGGGCAACGAGTGAAACTCCATCTCAAAAAAAAAAAAAGTTAACAGTAAATCAATGGTTTTTAAATAAAGATCTCATAGACCATATGACATCTGGGAAATTGGGAGATTTCTGAAAGAAATTTAGGCAAAAAGAATAAATCCTTCTAGCAATTCTGTGTTAAAGACGCTCCAGTTTTTCTAGGTCTTAATATAAAAAAATTACATTTTTAGTGATTCTCAGGAAATTGGCTTTCTGAGAATGATAAACAGTTCTAATGGGGAAACTCCTCTTTCTTTTTTTTTTTTTTTTTTCCCTAAAGAAAATGTATGGAGATCTAGATGTCTTATTCCTGACAGATGAATACGACACAGTTCTGGCTTATGAAAACAAAGGGAAGATTGCCCAGGCCACTGACAGGAGCGATCCCCTAATGGATACCCTTAGCAGCATGAATAGAGTCCAGCAAGTGGAACTCATTTGTGGTAAATACTGTGTGTGTGTGAAAATTCATCATTTCCTTCACTATGTAAAAAAATATAAAGGGGGCAGTAAACACCTATATTTTTAATTTAATACAAAGAATTAAAATTTTGAATTTTAGACCATTGCTTGATTTTCATATTGGTGGGTATTCAGCTGCTTTTACCATTGAATCAGAGTTACATGCTAGAATAATTACATGCTTGAGAAACCACAACATATGCTATTCTGATTAAGGGTAGATGGATGAATGCAAATTTTCCATCCATTGAAACAATTTTTGGACATTATGTGTCATGTTCTTGAGCAAGGCATGTCACCATTTTGACAGTTCTTGAGGTTGCTTCAGTGGTTCACAGGAAACCACTAGAGGAGAAAATACCCCCAAACCCTTGATTGAAGGCTTTTACATCCCCCCACCACCACCCAGCTGCAGCAGGCCAAACTTATTTCAGTGGTTTCTATCCCAGCCATTTCCACTTGGATGCCACCACTTTTATGTGACTTTTATAGCATCAGTCATTTCTGTCTTTTATTATTTATTTATTTATTTTGAGACAGGGTCTTGCTCTGTTGCCCAGGCTGGAGTGCAATGGTGCATTCTCAGCTCACTGCAACCTCTGCTGCCCAGGCTCAAGTGATTCTCCTGCCTCAGTCTCTCAAGTAGCTGTGACCACAGACGCATGCCACTGCGCCCCCCCAATTTTTTTTTTTTTTTTGAGATGGAGTCTCACTCTGTCACCCAGGCTGGAGTGCAGTGGCGCGATCTCGGCTCACTGCAACCTCTGCCTCCCAGGTTCAAGTGATTCTCCTGCCTCAGCCTCCCAAGTAGCTGGGATTACAGGCACCTGCCACCATGCTTGGCTAATTTACTTTGTATTTTTAGTAGAGACAAGGTTTTACCATGTTGGCCAAGCTGGTTTCGAACTTCTGACCTCAGGTGATCTACCTGCCTTGGCCTCCCAAAGTACTGGGATTACAGGCATGAGCCACCATGCCCAGTCCCCACTAATTTTTGTATTTTTAGTAGAGTCAGGGTTTCACCATGTCACCCAGGCTGGTCTCGAACTCCCGAGCTGAGGTGATCCACCTGCCTCAGCCTCCCAAAGTGCTGGGATTACAGGTGCAAGCCACTGCACCTGGCCGTGTCTTTTATTTATAATTATTAATTTCTTTTTGCCTTTATTAGAGTAAAAACTTTTCAAGGATAGAGGATGCACCTAAAAGATACTTGTAGCCCTCAAGGTACCTTGTACATAATATAAACTGTTAAGTGAGTCAGTTTGCTTGGGCTGGGCGCCATGGCTCACGCCTGTAATCCCAGCACTTTGGGAGGCCAAGGCAGGTGGATCACCTGAGGTCAGGAGTTCAAGACCAGCCTGGCTGACGTGGTGAAACCCTGTCTCTACTAAAAATATAAAAAAGTAGCCAGGCATGGTGGCGCGTGCCTGTAGTCCCAGCTACTCGGGAGGCGGAGGTTGCAGTGAGCCGAGATCGTGCCACTGCATTCCAGCCTGGGTGACAGAGTGAGACTCCATCTCAAAAAATAAAATAAATTAAATTAAATTAAATATTCAACAAGTCCAAGGTTATTTCAGCTACCAGAATTCCAGAGAAATAGGAAGCCCTTTTAAAAATTCTTAATCTTTATGGGATTAGGATATCTCTGCTTTTTATGCTTTTTAAAAAATTTTGCTTTTTTTTTTTTTAATGAAAAAGGGTCTCATATCAACATGGTAGACGTACAGATAATTTGGGAACGAGTTTCTATGCAGCTTTCACTTAAGAAAATTTTTATTTAGACTACATTATTAACAGACTCAGGTGTCAATGGCAAAGAATATTTTGTTTTTGAAAGCAAATGGTTTATCTAAACTTAAATACTTTTGTGGTTTTGATTTAGAATACAATGATTTGAAGACTGAACTTAAAGACTATCTCAAGAGATTTGCTGATGAAGGCACGGTATGTTGAGTTAAAGAATTCTAATCATAGCCCTGTAAGTTTTGAATGAAGGGTTTATTTCCTTTGACGATTAAAAATGACTGCGACTGGCGGGGTGCGGTGGCTCACACCTGTAATCCCAGTACTTTGGGAGGCCAATGTGGGTGGATCACAAGGTCAGGAGTTCAAGACCAGCCTAGCCAATATGGTGAAACCCCATCTCTACTAAAAATACGAAAATTAGCCAGGCGTGGTGATGGGCGCCTGTAGTCCCAGCTACTAGGGAGGCTGAGGCAGGAGACTCACTTGAACCCAGGAGGCGGAGGTTGTAGTGAGCCGAGAACACGCCACTGCACCCCAGCCTGGGCGACAGAGCAAGACCCTATTTCAAAAAAAAAAAAATGACTGCGACTTAAGTGGGTACTTGAGAGTTGAATTCAGGGACTGTTTTGAGCAAATTGGCAGGCTAAGGGGAATGAATAAGAGGTAGTGAAACATCAGAGTTACATTGGCAGTCCTTACCAACCCCAGCTAAGCCGGGAAGAATGATGGGAGGGCGCAGTCCCACAGCCTCTGAGAGAGTACTTGTAGCTTAGCAGAAGGTCATTGGAAGGAATCCGCAGTACTGATTCTGCTGGTCCTGACCTTGAAGCATGGATCTTTGGGACGGGGAGGGGAAAATGACTGGACAGGAAAAATTAACACCAGACCCAGTTTCTGGAATTCTAAGTTCCATGGTTTAGAATAGAAACTGGGCATGGTGGCCGGGTGCAGTGGCTCACGCCTTAATCCCAGCACTTTAGGAGGCTGAGGTGGGTGGATCACCTGAGGTCAGGAGTTCAAGACCAGCCTGGCCAACATGGTGAAACCTTGTCTCTACAAAAATACACAAATTAGCTGGGTATGAGGGCGGGTGCCTGTAATCCCAGCTACTCCGAGGCTGAGGCAGGAGAAACGCTTGAACCCCACAGGTGGAGGTTGCAGTGAGCCAAGATTGTGCTATTGCACTCCAGCCTGGGTGACAGAGCAAGACTCCATCTCAAAAAAAAAAAAAAAAAAAAGAACTGGGCATGGCGGCTTGTACCTGTAGTTTCAGCTACTTGGGAGGCTGGCTTGAGCCCTGCTTTCTTAGAAGATGTCATCTCTGTCTACCTACTTTAGGTCATTTTTTCCTTTTTTTTCTTTTTTGGGGTGGGGGGCGTTCCTGAGTTTATTTGGGGCACACCCGGGCGAGGGCCCTGCCCCTAGAAGAACGTGTTGGGCCTCTTGGTGGTGAAGCGTGGCTTGGGCTGACGGGCAGGACCCGGTGGGGCAGCGGGAAACTTGATCTTGGAGTCGTGGAACTGCTTGATGGCCGGCCGGCTGGCGGCACTTGCTGGCTGCGATCTCCTTCACCTTCAGGATCTCGATGGAATGGGCCCAGGTGCGGTGCCAGGCGCCCATAGACCTCTCGGTAGCACTGGGTAACAGCGCCCGCGGTGGTCAGGTCCCGGTATTCCCGGTACATGTTGGGGGCGCCGCTCCGGGAGTCATAGCTCAGCCAGATGCCGAAGTTCTTGACCCGCGGTGGGGACTTCTCAAACACCTGCCCACAGTAGACAATCTCCCCTGAAGACTTCTTCATCTTTTTTAACTGAGATACGAAGTACCAGAAGTCCCGGGACTTGGCGACAACGTGATTAGGCGCAAAGATTCGCATGTGGTAGAGGGGCGGTGTGTGGCATTTGGGGGTGGGCAGGCAGTGACCCACCACCTTGTACTCTCATAGTGTGCCCGAGGCCTTCATGGCGTCCTCTCCGCGCTCGCCACCACCCGCAAAAGGTTAGGTCGTTTTTTTCTTTGTCATAGATGTGGGAAGAACATTTAACTGCCTGAATTTCTGGACAGGGTCACAGTGCTGCCTGCTGCCTTTCTGCAAAATGAATTGTAAAGTTAAAAGAGCCTTCTTCTAAGTGGTTTTCTCAGTTTTTAGAGACTTCTTCACTATCACTGAGAACAATTCCTACTTCCTTACAGTTCTTTTTTTTTTTTTTTTTTTTTTTTGAGATGGAGTCTTGCTCTGTCGCCTAGGTTGGAGGGCAGTGGCGTGATCTCGGCTCACTGCAACCTGTGCCTCCCAGGTTCATGTCATTCTCCTGCCTCAGCCTCCCAAGTAGCTGGACTACAGGCACCCGCCACCACGCCCGGCTAATGTTTTGTATTTTTAGTAGAGACGGGGTTTCACCGTGTTAGCCAGGATGGTCTCGATTTCCTGACCTTGTGATCCGCCCACCTTGGCCTCCCAAAGTGCTGGGATTACAGGCATGAGCCACCTCGCCCGGCCTTCCCTACAGTTCTTAAAACTTAATGTAGTTATTCTTGTTTCTGTTGCAGAGACTATCCTCTGGTTAATACAGACTCAAGCTTCTTTGGTGCTAGAACTAAGAATGTTCATGGGTGTAATGGGGCACTCTGCCTCAGTGTGGTAACCTCTGAACTGTCAATGGACATTTGAGGTGTTTCAAATAGTGTGCAGGCATGCCCTCTTGATGCTGGTGCTGTTGCACCTCCACTCTTTTGTGGTCGGTTTTCTTTATTTTATCACAAACATATACTTAAAATTACATAAAAGAAAAAAGTTAGGCATGTTCTTTTTCATGCACATTGGAGACTTTTACTCAAGGTCTTCACAGGTATCTTCAACATCCGGGTCCTTGTTATCACTAGCGCCACTCTTTAGGAGTCTTTAGGAGAGAATTTTTTATCTGACCAGATAATTTAAAAGGTCAGAAAAATGTGGTATTTTTGTTGTTTGTTCCATGACATTACTAACCAGATCTTCACAGAAAAAGAAACAAAACCTCAGGTTGCCATAAAGCTTATCTGCTTTGGTTGTATTTGTCCATAGGGATAATGTTAATAAGTTCTAGCTGTTCTTAGATGGTGGACTGCCTTTTATTTAATGTTTGTATCTAACAAAACAAAAACAAAAACCAAAAAAAAAACCACTTAGACTGGGTGCAGTGTCTCATGCCTGGAATCCCAGCACTTTGGGAGGCTAAGGTGGGAGGATTGCTTGAGCTCAGGAGTTCAAGACTAGCCTGGGCAAGATGATGAGACCCCGCCTCTACAAAAAAAAAAAAAAAAAAAATTAGGCTGGCATGGTGACGTGTGCCTGTGGTCCCAGCTACTTGGGAGGCTGAGATCGGAGGATCGCTTGAGCCCAGGAATTTGAGGCTCCAATGAGCTATCATCACACCTCTGTACTCCAGCCTGGGTGACAGAGCGAGACCCTGTCTCTAAAAAGCAATAATAATTAATAAACTTAGAAACTACACATTTTCTGAAATAAATTAAAAAACTGATTTGTTATTGAACCCAAGTATTTATTCACTAGCGTTTCTACTCTGCACGTTAGCTGTGACCATTTGAGGATATCCAGAAACCAAAAGCTGCACAGTCTCATTTGTGTGTTGTTAGGTCTCCTCCTACAGTATCCTTGCTAGAGATATTTCCTTTTACTTACGGGCTTTCTGTGGCTAATGTTTGTAATCCAGGGTAGGGACAGATCCTTCATTTTGCAACTTGCAAGTATCCTATTTATTAGCATTTTGTTAAGTGTAAATTCCCGTGCCATTTAGCCAAGTACATTAGAATTTTGAGCTGCAGTCATTTCAGGATGTGTTCAGCCTCTGCATCCTGAATCTGTTAGGGGTTTGGATTCCTCACTGGTTGAGCAGCAGTATTACTGTTGGTGCTTATGAAACTGGTGTATCAGCTACTGGTCTGAGAAAATTATTCCAAGTTAGCATTATTCCAAGTTGCTCTTTTGAGTATGGTAGCCACACTTACTAGGGAATGAGAGGGAAGTTTTCACTTTATACCCCTCTTTCTTACTTTCTCTTTATCTCTTTCCCTTTTTGCTCGAATTCATTCACGTGCTCTATTTTTCTTTCTCTTTCCTTCACTTTCCTTGTCTCACTGTCCTTCTTTCTTAACAATAAGCATGTGTTACCTCAGTAAAAAATAAACATGCTGGGTGTCATGGCTCACACCTGTAATCCCAGCATTCTGGGAGGAAGCGGGAGGATCACTTGAGCTCAGAAGTTTGAGACCAGCATGGATAATATAGTGAGACCTCGTATCTACACAAAATTTAAAAATTAGCCAGGCGTAGGCTGGGCACGGTGGCTCACGCCTGTAATCCCAGCACTTTGGGAGGCCGAGGCAGGCGGATCATGAGGTCAGGAGATCGAGACCATCCTGGCTAACACGGTGAAACCCCGTCTCTACTAAAAATACAAAAAAAAATTAGCCGGGCTTGGTGGCGGGCGCCTGTAGTCCCAGCTACTCGGGAGGCTGAGGCAGGAGAATGGTGTTAACCCGGGAGGCAGAGCTTGCAGTGAGCCGAGATCGTGCCACTGCACTCCAGCCTGGGTGACAGAGCGACACTCCATCTCAAAAAAAAAAAAAAAAAAAAATAGAAAATGGAGATGTTATCATTAACATAATTCTTAACAGTATCATTTGACTTGTTTGTGAATGCTATGACCTCGGATTGCGATTCTGTTACTTAGTTCTCTTTCATAATCTTTGCTTTTCAAAAACAGGTTGTTAAGAGAGAGGACATTCAGCAGTTCTTTGAAGAGTTTCAGTCAAAAAAGAGAAGAAGAGTGGATGGGATGCAGTATTACTGCAGCTAGAGTGGAGTATGAAGCTTTCTCATTCAAGCCAATGAAAATGCGCTTCCCATTCTTGGAATAAAAGAGGTGTGGTTCACATTTGGCCCCCTTTCCGTCCTCCTCTGTTTGGAGAGGCCTCGCGCTCCCTTCATTCTCTTTAGCTGCAGTAGCCACCGTGTGGATGCTGACTTCACAGCCAGCGTCCTCTGTGACTCAGCTGATGCAGCTCATTCCACAGACTTCTCCAGTGTACTCCTACTCCAGTGCACCCAGGGTTATTTGCATAGTTTTTAAGTTTGATTTTGTTTTGAGAAAGCAAATTGGTGTCTTGTTTAATGATCTGTTATTTCACTCCCAGATGTGTGTGTTTTGCCACAGAGCTGTTGCCTTCCAGAACCTCCTCCGCAGGCATCACGGAAGGCTCTCTTCCCGTCACCTAGAACCTCTACAGGTCCCCTCGCCCCTATGATCGTGGTGCCTTGGGTCAAAGCTTCCTCAAGCCTGGTCTGCTCCTTCTTTCACGTCCCTGTTTTCTGAGGTTTGGTCATAGCTTAGAAAGGATCTTGGGGCTTGTTTTCTCTAGGCCCAACCTCCAGAGTAGCCAGGACTGATGGTTTTCTGGTCTGGATGTCTGTCACAGGCGGAGAGATTAACAGATGACAGGGTTGAGGAAGCAAGCCTTTGTTATGAATTTTACTAATACAGTTCAAGTGAAATTTTCGTTCATGATTCTATTGGCACTAGAATTAGAATTTCAGTACTGTAGTGCTCACAGGGCTTCCTGGAGAACATTTGCCCGTATACTAGTCCCTTCTCTGCTGCCTAGAAAACAGACCGGGTCTCACCCCTGTGAAATCTTGGTGGTTTACGAAGTCCTCTGGATTTCTTGATATTATCAGGGATATTCATAAGCATATATCAAAAATGGACCTATTTTGATATTCTGTTATGAAAATGTTATTAGAACCCCAATAAATTATTATTTTTCCCCCTTGAATCTGCTAAAGAAAACAGATCCTGACTTAGCTTACTTGAAATAAGCAGGGCAGGGAGCCCTGTTTTGGAAGAGACAGACTGTGGAAGAGATTACAAACAAGGCCCGAGGCTGCACGAATGATGAGTTTTGTGTATATAATGTTAATGTCCACCGCCACTTCCCTAACGACTATGAGATCTTTTTTTTGAAGATCCTCATGGAAGGTTGTACAGAGCCCCACATTTGAGGGGAAGTCCTTTCAGTTGATATGAGATCTCTTTAACACCCCTCAGTCTATGTAGGAAATGCCTTGTGATACATAGAGAACCCTCAGCTTCTCTCTGCCTCTGGAGGACCAAGGTCTTTCCTGACAGTCGGAGACACACCTTGATGTATGTTAATAAAAGCATTTCAGGCTGTGGGGCCACCATGTATATTAATACTCCTTATGTGTCCAGCATCTGTGTATTCATTCGAGTGCCCAATCCCTGGATGAGATGAACTAGGCCTTATAAAAAGTCAAAGCCTCAAAGAAATGGCACAACCATGTTCTTCGGCACTCAGGCTCCTAATTGCAGATCCTCACGAAGGGTGGTATGTGGAGCTGGAAGGTCTTGTGGCCACAGGACATGCTGGTGAGCCCTGAGCTGGCCTTGTGCAGAGGGCTCCGTTCAAAGGCTCGGGGTGTCTTTGAGGTTGTTTATCAAGCTGGGGAACTCTTCCAAGTCTGACAATGTTTCGAACCCTTTTTGCAAGGTTGCACTATTAGTATACCATCATGTCCGGAAAACTTTTAATCTTCTCAAATATCTGATGTAACTACCAGAAAGTCCCTTACTTCCTATGACCAATCAGGACCAAGTCTTGGAGGTGATGTGTTACATTACGTGCAGCACAATAGTACCGATCAGTTAACTCAGCGCTGAAGGGCTTGTTTTATGAAAGGTACTATTCCTTCTTTCACATTAACTGGAAACCTCTTTTTTTACCTGTTGTTCACAACTAGTTTTCTTATTGACTGTATTGGACTGTCTCTTCTTGTAGAGACTGATTTTGGCCAACATATTAATGCATGTTTTATGCAAAACACAAATATGATATTAGTTGCTTTTAAGGAGTTCTGGCATTGTATGTGCATTTTTGTAGAAATTGTTACTGGACTTATAATTACATACTTAACTCTGATCAGGTTTCTGTAAAATTTAAATAAAACCAATACAAAATAGTTGCTTTTCAGATTGTTTTTAGTATATTTAAGTCTACACAGCCTCCCTCTGCAGGTTTTAAGAAAATGCAGGCAGGGCGCGGTGGCTCACGCCTGTAATCCCAGCACTTTGAGAGGCCGAGGCAGGCAGATCACGAGGTCAGGAGATCGAGACCATCCTGGCTAACATGGTGAAACCCCATCTCTAATAAAAATACAAAGAATTAGCTGGGTGTGGTGGCGGGCGACTGTAGTCCCAGCTACTCGGGAGGCTGAGGCAGGAGAATGGCGTGAACCCGGGAGGCAGAGCTTGCAGTGAGCCGAGATCACGCCACTGCCCTCCAGCCTGGGCGACAGAGCGAGACTGTCTCAAAAAAAAAAAAAAAAGAAAAAATGCATAGAGCCGGGCATGGAGGTTCACGCCTGTAGTCCCAGCTACTTGGGAGGCTGATGCAGGAGGATTGCTTGAGCCCAGGAGTTGGAGGCTATAGAGTGCCGTGGTTGCACCTGTGAATAGCCAGCCACTCACTGCACTCCAGCCTGGGCAACAGAGTGAGACCTCATCCTTCAAAAGAAACGTAATGGTGTATTCTAACAGCTCTTCCTGCCCTGAGGTCCTGCCCTCAAAGCAGAGGGACTGGTTCACGACATTGGGTAGCTCATTATTCTGCTGTTCTGTAAAATGCAGCCTGATCCCAGGTCCCCCGAGCAGAGCTCCTTCATCCCCCCGACTTCACCATACCCCCTGGGGTCTAATAATTGGGGTCTAGATGAACAGCAGAACAAAGCAATGGGCTGGGCTGTGACCAGTCACAGTGTTCAGGTACTGCTGCATGCAGAGGGAGAGAGGGCTGGAGCCCACATCCTGAGGAAAATGTGAGGTCCACCCTACACAGTAGCCATTATTTCTAAGTAAATATAAAAGCAACCCAAAAAGCCAGTATAGTGGCCCATCTTTGGCCTCCCCACAACTCCTGCTACCTTGGATGTGGACTTACGGTCATCACCCATGGTAAGTTCAGAGGCCAGATTGCAGAGGGCAGGGTGTGGGCTGCAAGAAGAGGCCACAGTTGGCACTACTGTGAGGGGACAAGGAGAGGGCGCGGCTGCAGAAGGCCAGTCCAGGGAGTTGCTTGTTGAAGTTCAGAGACACTTGGGCCAACGCACATTCTTAAGGTGGAGCCATTGCTGAGAGTGGACCGCAGGTGATGTTGGAGCTGTTAGAAGATGGGATAGGATGGGACAGAAGGACCACCAGACCTGGTGGTGGGGGATGCGGGTGAGGGTGTTGGAATGAGGCCTCAAAATCGAGGGAGTTCCATAGGCAGCCTCCATTTCCCTGGGAGGTGGGAGGGGAGGAGTGAGCTGGAGCATGGCTCAGGTAAGAGGAGGTGGGGGGAAGGAGTGCGCTGGAGGGCGGCTCAGGTGAGAGGAGGGGGCGGAAAGTGGCCCCGAGGAGAACACGTTAAGGCTGACCCGCAGGACTCAGGCACACCGAGCCACGGGAGGCTGGGGACCACAGGTACCACGGGGGCGTGGCTGTCTTCAGTCTCCCAAAGCTGAAGATGGACACACTGTTTATGGGTTGAGTTGGGCGGGGAGGATGGGTCGCAGCTGGGCATGGTGAGACGGCTGCCACCTATGGAAGCTGGGCCATCCTGGCAGGGGAGCAAGGAGGCCAGAGTTCCAGAGGAGGACCAGGGAGAGGCTCTGGACAGGAGGCGATCCGGCCTGAGAGCGGGCAGTGAGGTTAGCATTTCAAAGATGGAGATATTCTGGGGACAGGGGAGAGCTGTGCCATGGACAGGTAGCTGGAGACGGTCTAGGCAGCTACCAGGATGACACCAGGGATTGGAGGGAGAGGATGTTAGGTTGGAGCCAAAGCCTTCAGGATACGAAAGGAGTGACTGGGGGTGGCAGCTGCAAAGGTGGGAGCGGGACACTGGGCCGTGGGGGCTGGAGAGGTGCTGGGGTGTTAGAGACGTCACCCGCCGCCCTTCCTGACACAGAGTCCGTGGAAAGAGCGAGAAGGAGCCCACGTCCTGGGAGAGGGCTAAGTGGGCGAGGAGGAGCTAGGAGGGCAGCCAGGACAGGAGGCAGGAGGGGAGGGGTAGGAGCACAAGGACGCTGGCACTGGGGGGCAGGGAGGACACCCTGAGCAGGCTGGAGAAACAACCGTGGGTGCGATCAGGGGACTTCTGTAGGAAGAAGGCTGGCGAATGACTCGGGAGAGCGGGATTGGCAGGCACAGGGTCACCTGACTGCAACTCTGCAAAGAGCCCAGTCCCATCAGCCCCGGGAATGGTGGGATGCTGGGGGCACTGAGTTCTCTCGGGATCACTTACAGCTGGACTTCCCAGGGACTCCCCAGGGATTTCAGTGGCTCCGTTGGAACATGGAGAGATGGGAAGAACAATTGCTTTTAGTTCAGTCTCAGAGGGCAGGGAGGCATTTATGGTGCATCTGCTAGAACAGGGGGCCCACGGTACCGTCCATGGCCCGTTAGGATCGGCGCCACACAGCAGTAGGTGCGCGGCGAGAGTTATCGCCTGAGCTCCGCCTCCTGCTAGATCCGCGGCAGAATTAGATTCTCACAGGAGAACTCTATTGAGAACTGCGCATGCGAGGGATCTAGGTTGCGTGCTCCTTATGAGAATCCAATGCTAAAAGTAATGCGCTTGAATCATCCCGAAACCACCCCCCCGACCCCTGTCCGTGGAAAAATTGTCTTTCATGAAACCGGTCCCTGGTGCCAAAAGGGTTGGCAACGGCTGTACCAGAAGATTCCAGAGATGGAGGATATTTGTGGAGCTAGCTAAATGAAGGGTAAGGAATTCCAGGAGAGTACAGGCGTCAACAGGTGCCCACAGGACCCCGCAGCAGCCCTCCAAGGTGGGTATTGAGGAGGAGTTTCTTCACCTGAGCCTGAGGATGAGAACTATTGCACACGGTGACTTGAGGATCGCGAGTCAGACATGGAAATTTCGCGACCAGCGCTCAAGAAGCGCACTCGCATCATCTCCAGCTTAAGGATGAGGAGACTCAGTTAGGCGCTTTGCCCCAGCTTCCACAGCCAGGAAGTGGCAGAGGCAGGCCCAGCCCTGGCCCTGCCCTGGCCCTGCCCTGCAGGCGCCCCGAGGATCCCCCAGTCCGTGCCTTCCTCCCTCCTCCCAGGCAGGCTTTCCTGGCTCCGCCTCCTCACCCTCTCTGAAGACCCCCCGACAGGCCAGCAGCGGGCACAGGAACACTCCCCAAAGCTTGGAGACAAGGCATGACAGCCCAGAATCCAAGGCTCTGCTAGATGAGGCTCAAAGCAGCGGCGAGCTCTCCGAGGGACACAGCTTAGTCCCAGGCCGGGGGAAAGGCACCGGGCTGGCACTGGGAGGAAATGGACGTGGTTGTACGGAACTGGTGAGCTCTGGGTTTCAGAGACAGAATAAAAAAGGGTCCATGGCCAAGAGGCTTGGAGACAGAACAGATGGACCTGTTGGGTGGGCCATGGAGCTAAACTCCAGACTGGGGTGACGCCCGTGAGAAACCCCAAGACCGTGAGTGCCATGTATAAAGCCAGCTGTGGAGCAAGGACAGTTAGCTGACCACAGGGAGCGTGGAAACACATGACTGGCTTCCACACTTTCTGTGAGAGGACAGCCTTGAACACGCAGAGCAAAAGCAGGCGAGCACGGGCGGAAGGAGCCGGGAGGCCCTGAGGACGTGGCCTGGAAACTATTCACAGCACACCGCAGGCAATCTATGCAGGACGACCGACGACCGAGAGAGAGACACGGGCCCCAACGCCAGAAACGACCATATATCTCAATTCATTTGCTTTTGTACTTTTAGGTGGGGGATGGTAGATTCTGGAAACTATGGACTGGTGACCTGACAGGTGTCCCCTAGAGGCTTCTAAAACAAACTAGCAGCTACTGTGGAATGATTTCTGAACCCCAGGAGAGAGGAGCTGAAAATAGGAAGTGAGGAGTCCTTAAGAACAAATGGTGCGACCCAAATGCCCATCAACAGTAGACTGGATAGAGAAAATGTGGCACATGTACACCATGGAATACTATGCAGCCATAAAAAGGATGAGTTCATGTTCGTTGCAGGGACATGGATGAAGCTGGAAACCATCATTCTCAGCAAACTTACACAGGAACAGAAAACCAAACACCGCATGTTCTCACTTATAAGTGGGAGGTGAACAATGAGAACACATGGACACAGGAAGGGGAACATCACACACCGGGGCCTGTCAGAGGGTCGGGGGTTAGGGGAAGGACAGCATTAGGAGAAATACCTAATGTAGGTGACGGGTTGATGGGTGCAGCAAACCACCATGGCACGTGTATACCTATGTAACAAACCTATACGTTCTGCACATGTAACCCAGAACTTAAAGTATAAAAAAAAAAAAAAAGAACAAATGATGCAGAGCCGACTTCCTTCTCCTGTTGATAAGTCAACCAGCTTCCCAGGGGACGAGGGAAGCCTATGTATGTGACAAGGTCTCTCATGACTGGCCCACAAGATGACAGTAATGATGACCCCATCCAGCTTCCAGGGACAGCTCGGTCGGGTCTCCTCACTCCTCAAACGCCTTCAGTTTCCCTCCTCTCCACCACTAAGCTACTCAAAAAGGCTGTCTACACAGATCATCTCCACCTTCTCACCTCCCACTCAGACTCGCATCTGCCCCACCTGGCTTCTCTCTCCAGCTGCCGCCAAACTGCTCTTCCAAACACCTTCACCTTGAGGCTGACCCAACCCGCCTTAGGGGCCTGATCTTCCAAAACCTCGGAACAGCAGCCACAGGGTTAACTTTTGGATAGCAGTGAAATTGAGCCTTAATCTCTTACCTTTAATTAACTTGAAAAAGTAATACCTGCATATCATTTAAACACTCAACCAGAACAAAAAGGATGCCATTAATTGGCAGTTGCATGTATTGTCAATGACCCTCTCCAGAGGGAGTCCTGTGCACATTCTTGCAGATTTTTTTTTTTTTTTTTTTTTTTGAGACTGAGTCTGTCTCTATTACCCAGGCTGGAGTGCAGTGGTGCAATCTTGGCTCGGTGCAATCTCGGCTCACTGCAATCTCTGCCTCCTGGGTTCATGCGATTCTCGTGCCTCAGCCTCCAGAGTAGCTGGGATCACAGGCCCCTGCCACCACACCAGGCTAATTTTTGTATTTTTAGTAGAGATGGGTTTTCACCATGTTGGCCAGGCTGGTCTCGAACTCCTGACCTCAAATGATCCACCTGCCTTGGCCTCCCAAAGTGCAGGGATTACAGGCGTGAGCCACCGCGCCTGGCTGCAGAAATGTTTATGTATGTATTTGCATTCATTCCTTTTTTTTTTTTGTCTTCTCTCCAAGTGGGAGCATATGGATGCATTATTTTGTATACTGCTTCTTTCACTTCATTTATTCTAAAGATCACATTCCCTCTTTTCTCAAGTTGTCCCAGCCTGGTCTTCTGTGCAGCACACTGCTGGTTTTCTTTCTGTCTGCTAGGCTGCCCTTGGCCAGCAACTCCCTCCAGCTGGCTTGGAAAGGTTGGAGTCCCCCAAGTTCATCATCCAGGCCCTCTTTCATCTTCCTTTAAACCTTTCCCCTAATCACACCATCTACTCCTAAGGCTGTAAGTGCCACCCATATATGTGGACAACCCCCACACAGCCTCCAGCTAGAATCCTTTCCTCTGACTCCCAGCTGACACCTAGTTGCCACCTAGTAGTTGGCTGCCTGGCAATCATTCCCGCGTCAACATGACCAACACTAACGCCATCTTCCCCCCAGAGCTGGCTCCCCCTCCTTTCCCACACTGAGCAAGCACCTAGTCACGCAGACACGGCACCGTCAGCAGATTCCGAATCTGTTCTCTTTGTTGGCTGCTTGCAGCTCTCCCCTGGACGGCTACGGCAGCCTCCCGTCTGGACCTCTCAATCTACTCCTGCTTCTTTTCAACCACTTCCCATGCAATAGCCAGAGTGATTTGGAACATGCAAATCTGGTGAACCACCCCAGCCCTAGTAGCTTTTGAGTTGCCATTATAGCCAACTTCAGAAGCCTCACCCTGCCCTAGGAGGGTCCCACACCCCCTCTCACTCCCCTGAGCTCTGTCCAGGCTTGGTCTCTCCATGGAGCCCTCCCTCCCCACTCCTCACCCTGTTGCTCGTCTCTTCCTTCACCTGCACCTTCAAGGTCACTCCCACACAAAGCCTTCCCACCCCTGGGACCAGTTAGACATCGAGCCTTACCTGTGTAGTTCTTCAATGTCTTTTCTTCTTGGAAACTCAAACAGTTTTTGAGTGGGACTGTGACTGTTTTGTTCATGACTCTGCTGTCTCAGCATCTAGCAATGTTCGGAAAAACGGACTGGATGAACAACTGATTGCCATCCTTGAACCTGCTTCCACCTGTTGCACATTAGAGTCCCCCCCACCCCGCCCGGACCACCGGACTTCCTGATGCGCAGAACAACACAACGGCTGAGGACTGGGGTTCTGGAGCCAGGCTACCTGGGTTTGAGCCCAAGTTCTGCCAACTTTCTAGCTGTGTGACCTTGGACAAGGTGCTCAGTATCTCCGGGCTTTTCTCTTTTGTAAAATGGCACAAATAATAGTACTTAATTCACAGAGGATCAAAGGAAGGAGTTCCTAACTCAATGAGGGATTAGAAAAGATTACATTGTTTAGTGTTAGTGCTGCTTCCAGCATTTCTCCTCCTGTTTTCATTCCTGGTCCATTTCAAGCTGGTCTTCCCCTTAGCTGTGATAACTGCCCTGTATTTTTTGTTTGTTTTGAGATGGAGTCTCACTCTGTTGCCAGGCTGGAGTGCAATGGCATGATCTCGGCTCACTGCACCCTCCGCCTCCCAGGTGCAAGCGATTCTCCTGCCTCAGCCTCCCGAGTAGCTGGGACTACAGGCACGCACCACCACGCCCACCTGATTTTTCTATTTTTAGTAGAGATGGGGTTTCACCATGTTGGTCTCAATCTCCTGACCTCATGATCCACCTGCCTCAGCCTCCCAAAGTGCTGGGATTACAGGCTCGAACCACCGCACCTGGCCTTGTTTTGTTTTTAGGACAAAAGTCATTTCCAGCTAGAGGTGAGTTTCTGAGACTGGGGTTCCTGTCTGTTTGGTCTGCTGCTCCATATTCCCAGACTCCGGGAGGAGTGGACTCAAGAAATATTCCCTAATGGATTGAGGAGAGGTAAAGCCTAAAGTGGCTTGGGAAGCTAGCCCGAGTTCATTTTTCCAGGAATAATCCACAAGTACAGAAATGAATGTTGATTTATTCAATTTTCTTGTTTAGATTTAAGAAGCTCACCCACAGAAACCTTAGATTTTATTTTATCTTTATACCCTTCTGTTAAACCTAAGATGGTTACAAACTATAAAGCAATAACTTGTTAGTAAGGCATGAAGAGTGAGATGCTAGGACAGAATTTGGCACTGAAATGATAAAAAACATTTTAAAGAGCTCGCTGGTTGCAGTGGCTCATGCCTATAATCCTAACATTTAGGGAGGCTGAGGTGGGAGCATCACTTGAGCCCAGGAGTTTGAGACCATCCTAGGTAACGTAGTGAGACCCCCTCCTCTGTCTCTACAAAAAATTTTAAAAATGAGCCAGGCATAGTGGTGTAACACTGACTGTAGCCCCAGCTACTCGGGAGGCTGAGGTGGGAGGATCATTTGAGCCTGGAAATTGAGGCTGTAGTGAGCTGTGATCACACCACTGCACTCCAGCCTGGGTGACAGAGCAAGACATTGTCTGAAAAATAAAAAACAAAATAAGAGCTCTTTTGTAGCAATTTTAAAAAATGGAAATTAGAAAACTTTCCATTTTGCGTTTTTTTTTTTTTTTTCCAGAATCCTAGACTCTAGACCATGATCTCATTTCCTTTTGAAATTGAAAATATTACTGAGCCTGGGTGTGAAAGCAAAGGCAAAGCTCAGAATCTAGGCCAGGTCTCTGACCCTCGAAGGGCCCTGAAGAGCAGGACACATCCAGGTGCCTGGTTCACGTGGGTGCCATGCTGAGCTTCCTGCAATCCTGAAGACCCCTGTGAGAGGAACTTTCCGCTCAAATTTGTAAAATAAAATTTCTCAGAAATGTCTCAATGAAATAATAGAAAATAATGAACTTGATGATTCAGAATAAAATGTGTGATTTCCGAGAAAACGATGATGATGATGATGATAAAATGCCTCTGAATGATTGAAATCCTAGAAACAGAGAAAATCAACCTAGAAAACCTCCCAATTCTACCCTCCAGGGGTGCAATGACTTCTATAATTGAAGACTGTATGCTCCACTGCTAAAACAGACTGTATCCAACTCAGCAGATTCTATACAAGCCATTTATTTGAAATGCCAACTATATGTAGGATAAAGTCAGTGTTACATGCTTATCAGTAACAGTAGAAAAATAGAAGCAGTGAAAACCTCTGTACAACTGTAATGGTACTCAAAAGAGAAATGTATCGTTTTACAATGCTTCACACAGACGAATTCAAGTTTGGAGGTACCTAAATAAAAATACTATATATTTCTTTAAAAATCACTATGTACAATTGAAGCGTAAACAAGTTTTACAAAGTACTGGTTATGCAGGTTGTAGAAAACACTTGCATAGGACATGAAATCAGTTTAAGAAAAATTTCTGAGCCTTTAGCATTGAAGGCACTTGACTTTATACCAGTAACAGCACAACCACAAGAAACGCAGTGTTGTAGATGATTTTCCACCTCTCTGAAGTACAGATGTGGTGCATACACAGCAAGGAGAGTTCAGGAACCTTTATCTCTCAGCCACCCCATCGAAGAGCAGGACTTGGTACCGCCTGCCCATGTAACCCAGATACAGTTACATGTAGGTACAGATGATGAAGCTTCCAGAGCTTATCTGATCTCTTAGACAGAACTCACATAAACACACAAATACAAGAGGTTATTTTCAAGACACACACTTGCAAGTAATCTTTCTATAGAAATGGCCACAGCATTATAATATTCAAAATATGGAAGATTGACAGTCTGAGGATTTTCTAGAGGAAAAAAAAATCAAAGGACTTGCCAAAAGGATAACTACATAACAGATATGACAATCTACAGGACAAAAAGACAACATGTCACCAAATATTGTTCATACAACAGCGTTAATGGAAAACAGTAAAACACCTTTTAGCAGTGTGCATGTTAAGTCTTTTAGTAAGATTATCTGTAATGAGGTTTGAAAGTAAATCACTTAGTAGACAAAGTAAACCACCACAGAACCAGGAATAGCACCCATCACTGCTGCTTTGTCACTCCAGAAAGCTGAAAGTCAACCGAACAATGAAAAAAAGTCAAAGAAGCATTTCCCTTTGAATTCAGTCCTAAAAATATGAATGCCTTATAATTAATTTCAAAATAAGTATCTTACAAGTGTTTCATGAAACATTGTTTTCCTAAAAGGCAAATTCAACATTATGAAAATATATATTTTGCCGGGTAGTTACTGAGAAATGTCAATCCTTTCAACTCTAGAGAATGATGCATGGAGGTCGGCTTTGAGCCCCACTGCCGCTGGCGCGTGTTTCCAATTTGCCTTCTGCATCGGCACCTTAATGCAGATGTACAAGGACTAAGCTCATTGCTAGAATGGCAACAACAAACCAAAACAAAAATCCAATGAAGGATGGCAGATGCAATAAAAAGTTTCTGAGGAAGCAAAAACAAGAATTAGTTAAGGCTTCATAAAGAATTCTATAAGAAGATTTAAATGTCAAGAATTCACTGAAAAGCCTCAAAGCCTAACGGGTTATTGCGGTGTCAGGCTAGCTGAGGTCTAGTGACATGTTCCCAGAAATAAAGCTAAAGGGGGCATGTGAGAACGGGCGTGGAAAATTGAAACAATTACGTTTCAAATACTTTTTGCCTTTCATGATGCTGTTTTTTCCTTAGGAGCCACGGGTGACTCTGAACTTCAATTATTCATCAAAATCACAAAACTAAAACAATAACATAAGAAAAAAGACCAACAGCATCTTTAAGAAACTTGAACGTCCTCTCGGCTCTAGCGTGTAAACGGTAGGTCTCTAACCTCAACGCACAGCGGGCACTGGAAGCGGTGATTGTCCAAAGGCCTGATTGTCCACGATCTCAAAAGGAGATCTGGTATTTTTGTGATTTGGTTCTCATTAAATTCCTATACCAAGTAAAATGCCAGTTCCCATGGCCTAAATTTTATTTTATATATATATATGCTTTTTTTTTTTTTCTGAGAGCAACCTTACTCAGACTTCACATTTATCTTAGTACAGCATTAAAAAAGATTTAATAGATGGGTTCAAAAGCCAGAGGCATGTAGCTCTTGAACCTACCCTAGTAACCATACTTCACAAGATACATTAAAAGTCCACTAACACCTAACCTAACGCACACAAAACCCACGCCTGTTTACCTTCTGCAAGTCGCATCGGTCCGCAATCCCACAGATTAAAGCAAGTTTTCCCTTTATACGCAAAGTTTTAGCCAGGTAAGCTATTGTATGATTAAAAGCAAACTTTATAAACTAAATAATCTTAGGAATAGTGGCCACTTACTTTTATATTTCAGGGATATGAGAGAATAGTTCATGAATTTTCAGAAAAATGAATGTGTGGGATCAACAGCTCTGGTCTAACATTTGCGGGGGGGGAAGGGTCAGGGATGAGAGTTTTTCTCCCCATCCAAATTAGGTCTGTTGAGTCTTACTTGCAGTACCGGCGCAGTACATGAACATGTCAACATACATATGTGGCAGAAACACACATCAAGGAACATGACGGCATTCACTTTTGTTTCTGAAGACAGACAGAGACTGGGCTTCAAAAGACACCGTCTTCTATTATGAGTCAAACTTCTTACAAATGAGAACAGAGGCCTATGCTTTTCTCTTTAAAAAAGGAGCCTCGAATGCGATGCACAGCCGACCTGCAGATTAGTGTTAACTCTGGGAGCTCGGGAGCGTGCACCACCACCAGTGTCACCGAGCGCACCCGCACAGCAGCTAACCAGTCAGGCAGCAGAACGAGTGGCGGCAGTTTGCCGGGGCGTGCAGACACACGACATGTTTCCCATCTTGGAGACTATCTACTGTTCGGCTTTTCTAAAATGTCAGATTATTCCTGAGTGTATATCCACAGGGTAAAGGAGGAAAAGACCGTAAGAGAAACTATAGTTTTGGGAGAAATCAGCGTTGTTGACACCCAATAGAAAACCTATTTACTTCAAAGTGCATGTAATTCATTTACCCGGTAGCTCATAAACGCTCCCTAGCCCTGCATAGTTTTCGAGTGAGTGTGAGTGATTCATAGTTTTTTATATATATACATACATAGAAAAGAGGATCCCAAATATCCTGCAGAGGAAGGAATGCTTAGAAAGCCTCTTTTCTTCTAAGTGCTACGGCTGTGTGTTTATGTGTTTGTAAAAATACAAAGTAAATGCTCAAATAATGTTGAAGTGATTTAAAAACTCAAATACTCATATATTTACATTGGAGAGTAAGAAAAAAAACAGTCCTTAGCTCACACATTGCCCTTCCAAGGGAGAGGATCCTGAAAGACCCCATGTGCTCAGTGGTTTAGTAAATGCCAAACCAGCGTCCCAGTGGAGTTCAAGTAGGACATGTAGTGTTTAACTGAAAACAATTTTTTTCCTTTTTTCTGTTGGTGAGAAAGCATTATGCATTACACAACACCAAAATTTAGACATATTTTGAAAATCGTTTAAAAGAAAACGTATCTTTACAAACACCAAATAACATCCATGAGACTGAAGCCCTTTTGTTTTTTTCCCATAGAGAGCAAGACAATTAAAGGCAGCAAGCAGTCAGTTCCGCCATCACAGCTGGAGAGTTGACGCTCAGAACCAGAAATTCTGTCAGTGTGACCTTTAAGTTACTTCTCTATTTCCACTGCCTTTTTTTTTTTTTTTGAGACAGGGTCTCACTGTTGCCCAGGTGGGAGCACAGTGGTGCAATCTTGGCTCACTGCAGTCTCAACCTCCCAGGCTCAAGCGATCCTGCCACCTCAGCCCCCCAAGTAGCTGGGACTACAGGCACGCACCACCACGCCTGGCTAGATTTTTTTTTTTTTGTATTTTTTATAGAAATGGAGTTTCGCCATGTTGCCCAGGCTGGTCTTGAACTCCTGAGCTTCAGTGATCTGCCCGCCTCGGCCTTCCGAAGTGCCGATCACAGGTGTGAGTCACTGCGCCCGGTCTCCACTGCTTTCTAATTCCAAGGGATGCGATCTGTTTAGAGCCTCATCTGGTGACTCTAATCCTTATGACCAGAATGTGCAGGGATTCTGACTGCATCCACACTGTGGAAATGTAACAGCTTTAGCCTGGGCACAGAAGGCTTTTCTCTTTCCTGTTCTTTCCTGAACCAGCAAACTTCAGGACCCTGACTGGACTCCCGCTGGAGGAATGAAGCCCAGCTCCTAGGACTTATTAAAAAAAAAATGACATTAGATTTATGGAGGCTGAGCGGGAAGATCTCTGAACTAAAACAATTACTGAAAAGAGAGGAGCATTCTGATGTGCTGTTCTTTGGAATTTCTATAATTAAAAAATAAACACAGAACTATTTCGTAAGAAAATACATCTTAGTGTGCAATCCAATGCACATGGATTGGTAGATGAAAGGTAAAATGCAAAAAAGTATGAAAATACAGTCCTTTAAATGTGGCAATAAAGTTTAACATACTGATATAAAATCAATACAGAGAAAATAAATGTACAAGTGCAAAAAAATTCCATCATTTGTAAAGAGAAATAAAAAGTGCCAGCCTGCTTGTTCTTAAAAATGCCTCCCGACATAATTGTTCAAAGACAAATTAGACAGATGCAACATTAAAAAAAAAAAACAAAACCTTCTTAGCATGCCATGTCTAATAAACACATATATACACAAAAACTAGAACAAAATCATGTGAAACCGAGTTATCAGCTGGCATTGATGAACTGGTCTGTAAGTTGTTGGGTTACATCATAAAATGGGATGTTTCACATCTCAGGCACAGACGACTTGGAGGTTGCTCTCAGAGGGCAGACTTTTTGTAGAGGAAGTCCGGCTTGCTTGGTGACCTCCTTCCTCTGCTTATTGAATCTTCCCTTTCCAAATCTGTATTTCTCTGAGCTCCATGGCCCAGGGACTCACTGTCTGCCAGTCTTCTACCGGATCTCTCTTCGGGAGCTTCAGAGCTACATGCAGAAAGTGAAGGTCTGTTAGGAGTCAGCCCAAAAGTCAAGTCAGTTTCTACTGCAGTTCGTCCCCTGACATGGGCTGGACCGGTACTAGCATTTTCTGGGGCTGCCAAAGGAAAGTCTGACCGCTGGGGAGGTTGCTCAACGACATCCAGGTGTATCGGCTCATTCTTTTGTCTGTGTAGATGCCCGTCAGGGGAAAGTGGATATTCTCTCCTAGCTTCTTCCTGTTTTTTAGGAGACGTCTGACCAGGTAGGTAGGCTGACTTTAAGCCACTTGGTGATGCCTTATTGTGGCTGTACAGATCGGGACCAAAATATCCACCTTGCGAAGGGGAAGGGGTGCGTCTGCTGAGAGCAGGAGTAGAAGGTCTGCAAGCAGCATTTGAGAAGTCATAGAAATCCGGATATTCCTGTGGATTTTCTCTGGTGTCTGTTTTTTGCTCTAGTGTGTGTTTTTTCCGAGAAGTGTGTGTATGTCTCTGTGGAATACACGACAGATGCTGGGGAGGCCCTGGTCCTGCTTCAGAAACTGACTGGCTTAATTCTGTGTCTACAGCAAGCTCTGGAAGCCTCCTGTCCTTGAGTGACAGTGTGGACACACCCACCGCGATGTCTGGCATCAGATCATTCAGCACAGGTTGTGTTCGCTGCAGACAGAGACAAAAATGGTGGGAGGGTTAAAAAAAGGACCCATCCTCTGTAGAAATGATGTTCACTGATTTTGTTTCCCAATTATAAAATTAACACATTCTGTTTTTGTTTTTTTTTTTGAGACAGAGTCTCGCTCTGTCGCCCGGGCTGGAGTGCAGTGGTGCGATCTCAGCTTACTGTAACCTCTGCCTCCCGGGTTCAAGTGATTCTCCTGCCTCAGCCTCCTGACTAGCTGGGATTACAGGTGCCCGCCACCACGCCCAGCTAATTTTTTGTATTTTTAGTGGAGACGGGGTTTCAATGTGTTAGCCAGGATGGTCTCGATCTCCTGACCTCGTGATCCGCTCACCTCGGCCTCCTAAAGTGCTGGGATTACAGGCGTGAGCCACCGCTCCTGGCTGAATTTGTAAGAATTATAAAAATACAGAAAGCTATAAAGGCAAAAAAATCACTCCAACCTTTTGAACAGAGATACCACTGTTAGCATTTTGAGGTCTTTCTTTTTATGCTTTTCTCCTTTGCATATATACTGATGAAATTTAGTACCTATATAATCTGTCACTAAATCTTTGAGATCACCATTTTAAATTATTATGTGACGTTCTACTGCATCAATGAACCATTACTTAATCATTCTGCTACTATTGGACATCTAGGTTGTTTACCATTTTTCATTATTATAGTCAAGACTGCAATGAACAGACAAATAAATTACCTTTAAAGGGAGTTTTATTTAAAATATAAAGTAGTAGAACTTTTGTAATTGTAGAACTGAGGGCCTGGCCCAACAGAATGGGAATCTGGTTTATCAAACATGACCAACCTTCGCCATTCTGGGGTGGGGGAAGCAGGGAGGGGAGGTAGAGAGGTCTAAGAAGGCGAGAAAGGCTTTCTGTGCTAACAGTGCCCCTGCAAACATGGTGAACCTTCCTAAAACCCATCGGACTTTCTGTCACAGTGTGGCACACACCAATCCCACAAAGTGACACAGTAGAGGAAGGGCAAGGATTCTCTGTATGCCCAGGGAAAGCAGCATGACAGGAAGCAGAGTGACTATGGTGGGCAGACTAGGCTGATTTTCCCGAAAAAGGGTAAAACTACAAAGACTGTGCTGAAGGTTGAGTGCGCTGAGCTCAACTGCAGATCTAAGAGGATGCTGGCTATTAAGAGATGCAAGCATGCTGAACCCAGAGAAGATAAGAAGAGAAAGGGACAATTGATCCAGTTGTAAGCATCATCTTTTGTTTCACGGTAAAGATAATAAAATCTTGAGGTTGGCCGGGCGCAGTGGCCCACGCCTGTAATCCCAGCATTTTGGGAGGCTGAGGCGGGTGGATCATGAGGGTAGGAGTTCGAGGCCAGCCTGACCAACATGGTGAAAACTCATCTCTACTAAAAATACAAAAATTAGCCGGGCGTGGTGGTGCGTGCCTGTAATCCCAGCTACTCAGGAGGCTGAGGCAGGAGGATTGCTTGAACCCGGGAGGCGGAGATTGCAGTGAGCCGAGATTGCACCACTGCACTCCAGCCTGGGCAACAGAGTGAGACTCTGTCTCTAAAATAAATAAAGAAATAAATGAATAAATAAATAAAATCTTGAGGTTATGTTAAAAAGAAAAGTTGAGAAAGGATCATAATTGGACTCAAGCTTCCAATAAGCCATATTTTAATGAAGCTTCCCTGAACTGACAGGTGAATCTTTTCTTCTAACTTGCTACTGATAGCATGTGACTGAGTATGAAGACTTACAAATCTTACAAATCTTTTTTTTTTTTTTTTTTTTTGAGACAGTCTCCCTCTGTCATCCAGGCTGCAGGGCAGTGGTTTGATCACAGCTCACTGCAGCCTCAACAACCTCCCAGGCTCAAGTGATTGTCCCACCTTAGCCCCATGAGTAGCTGGGACTACAGGCACGTGCTACCACACTTAGCTAATTCATTTGTTTATTTGGTAGAGTCAGGGTCTCACTATGTTTCCTAGGCTGGGTCTGAATTTCTGGGCTCAAGTGATCCTCCCACTTCAGCCTCCTAAAGTGTTGGGATTACAGGTGTGAGTCATGGCACCTGGCCAAAAAAAAAAAAAAAACTTTTTAAAGTATATTATACAAAATCTCTAATACAGTGCAAAATCAAGCAAAGAATCCTCTATCAATTTACTACCTACTAGCCCTGGCTACTATGATTCTAAGTGAAGTGGGGGCTCTGCTGATGAGCTTCAGAGGCAGAGGCATGCCTGAGGCCCTGAGGCCTCATTTTCTGCTCATCTTCTGAATGGGGAGTTTTTTCCACATTATTCCTGACGGTATACTGTACTTAGCTATAAGTAGCTCTTGCTTCTTGTCCGATTAAAGCATGTGGTAGAACAGTGGATTTTACAGAATAGTAGAAGTTAGGGACAAATTGTAGACCTGTGCTTGAACAGAACATGAAACTGGTATATTCCTTTATGTTGCTCAGTAACCCCATTCCTTCCTAATCCTGCCAAATGAACATAAAGATAAGAAGATACTCAACTCCTCCATATACACCTCTTGGTCTCTCTCCTCCTGTCTTTTCTCATTCAAGTACACTAGCGTTTTTCCCTCTTTTCCATACCCCTCAAGTCTATGCCTTCCACTTGTCAGCAATACTTCTGGGCACTGCTGAGTCCCAGTGGGGCTCTTGGGGCCAAGAAAATTGCTTCTAATTCTCCATAAACCGAATTTGAAGCAAGTTACTGAAGTGTTGACTTACCACTTGCTTCTCAGATGCTGCTGCTGCTGCTGCTGTTGCTGTTGAGGTGGTGGTGGCGGCAGCAGCAGCCACCGTCTGTCTGCCCAGTCCTGCAGTGCTGGTACAATCAGGCGGTGCAGCTTTCACACTCGGCAAGTAGACTGGGGGAGGGCCAGCTTTAGGAGCTGTTCTGGAGTGGAACAGCGAATGATTACAGGGATAAGAAAATGAACGTGAAGGGTGCTGACTGGGAGGTCTTTGCTTCCAGCCTGCTTTGAGTTGGTTATGGATTGGGGTAGCTGGGGGGTGGTAGGGAGGTGGTGGAGGGGGCAAGGGTGGATGGAAGGCCACAAAAGAGTCCAGATCTGTAAACATGGTTTCTGCAGGAGGTGTACTGTTTACGCGACATCTCCCAGGCTGTCTCATTGTCAAGAGTGGACTTTCATCCCCAAAACGTTCATCAGGAAAGAATTTGTGAGGATTCTAAAAAAGATTAAAAAAAAAAAAAAAGGACATTTATTAGCAGATTTCATAAGTGGAAATTTATAGGCTGAGAGAATTAAGTGAGGTACTTAAGAAAACCACAGTCAGCAAGAATAAAAAGCATAATATATTTTTCTAGGCCAGAAGCCCAAGAAAAAAATCACCTTAGTTATAGTACAAAGGCACAGAGTGCAGCCTAGGACACAGCCATGAAAGAAAGCTGCTTGATCGAATGCTCCTCAAGCAGGTCACTCATCTCAGATTATGTGATAATGCAAAAACTGGTAATAAAACCAAACTCTAATATGTCTTTGCTAAGAGATTAACATTAAATGCCAAAGGGAGAAAGGAATACAACTGAGGATGTTCTAGAAACTTTCTGACAAGACATCTATGCCTGCTCTGTCTGAAATAAAAACTACAAAATACTATTCATTACCCATTATACATGACTAAGTCTGACCAATATTTTGGTAAACATTATAAAAGAATATGTCATGCAATTTAAGGTACCAAATTCAGACACAATTTAGAATGGCAAAGGGAAAAGAAATGAGTAGAAAACCAGACTATATATTTTAAGGAGAAAAACTGTAGCAAAAAATGAAAATCAACAATCTAAAACAAGAACCTAAAAATGTTCAGTAGAAAATTAGGACAGCAGGGGGAAAAAGAAGAAAAAGAACCTAAAAGTGGTTTGCTGACTTGCTGAAGAACCCTATGCCATGTTTATTCATTCATTCATTCATTCTTTTTTTGAGACAGGGTCTCATTCTGTCACCCAGGCTGGAGTGCAGTGGTGCAATCATGGCTCACTGCAGCCCTGACCTTCTGGGCTCAAGTGATCTTCCCACCTAATCCTCCCGAGGAACCGGGACTACTGGCGCATACCACTATGCCTGGGTAATTTATTATATTTTTTGTAGAGATAGGGTTTTGCCATATTGCCCAGGCTAGTCTTAAACTCTTGAGCTCAAGTGATTCACCTGCCTAGGCCTCCCAAAGTGCTGGGATTACAGCCATTGTGTCCAGCCTATTCTTTTTTGTTTGTTTGTTTGTTTGTTTGTTTGTTTGTTTTTGAGACGGAGTCTTGCTCTGTCACCCAGGCTGGAGTGCAGTGGTGCAATCTTGGCTCACAGCAAACTCGGCCTCCCAGGTTCAAGCGATTCTCTTGCCTCAGCCTCCCGAGGCTGGGACTACAGGCCCACGCCACCACACCTGGCTGATGTTTGCATTTTTAGTACAGACAGGGTTTCACCATGTTGGCAAGGCTGGTCTCGAACTCCTGACCTCAAGTGATCCGCCCACCTTGGCATCCCAAAGAGTTGGGATTACAGGCGTGAGCCACTGCGCCCGGCCACATCCTATCCTTTTAAAGGGTACGGATTAAAGGGGTTTGGAGTTTGTAGCAAGAAAATGAATCACCTAACCAGATGAAATTAAATTTTATTTAAGGCTCTGATTTAGTGGCTGTGATCAGACTAGTTTACAAATTCTATCTTAATTGCAAAACCAGTGCTATTGCTTTTGTATCTAATAATTACTAGAAATGAGTTTTTTCTTTTTTCCTGGTAGGTTAAAAAAGAAAGCACTTACTGTTTGATTCTCATGCTTGGGTTTGAACCCTCATGAAAGAAATTTCTTATAAGATGGAAAACAGAAACGAAAGTGGGCATGTGAAAGGTGTGTAAGTGAGGAAGTAGACCAAACCTCAAACCTAGTGACCAAACAAGGAAGAGAGAGCAGTGGAAGTTCAGACTTTTCTACTTCCATGCCATCTCTGGGCATGCACACTGTGGAATTTTTTTAGCAGTCCCCACTTGTATGCTTGCTACATACCAGAAATATAGCTGCTGTACAATAGCACTCTGGATCTTCATAACAATTTATATTACAGGTAAAAGAGCTGTTGATGCCCAGGGTGGTTAAGTAACTCATTCCAAGTTAACCAACTAGTAAGCAGCAGAGCCGGGACTTAAACCCAGTTCTCATCCTAGGCCTCTGCTCAGTCCACTCCATGACGCTGCCTCTCACCAGGAGGGACTTGCAGGTTATCAAAGACACCAAAGGCAGTGAAAAAGCACATACGACGAAAAGGAAATAAGCCAAGGACTCGTCAGGATGCCCACAATACTGCCTGTCTGGTGACTGAGGCTCCCTATTTTAAACAGTTTAATGTCATTTCCTACCTGCAACAGCTCTGCAGCAGCATCTGCAAGACCAAACTCTCTTAGCACTCGAATCTGAATTTCATAGCTGACAGTGGCGCCTTCCCCGCAGTTCAGGGCATAGGCCCTCTGCACCTGCTCCGTGTGCCGCAGTTCCTGCAGTCGTCTGACCATGTCTTTCATAATGAGGAGACGAGGAACTGGAAGGAGAACAACAGTGGGCAAGCAAAATTCCTGAGCTACACAAAAGACGACCCCGTGAGCCCAAGGGAAAAAAGCATGTATTTCATACCAGAATCTTATAAGTTTTTAAGATAGTATCTTAATTTCCTGGGAACACATTCATTTATATATCTCTAATTATTTTTCAAGGTTTTAAAATTTCACTATGCCCAAAAGGCTCTTGATCATACTGAACAGCCCGAGTTGTATTATTTAGTTTACAGTTCAAATACAATTTTACTTGCATGTATTCTTGTCTGAATCTCAGGATATTTCAGAAGTCTTTAAATATATTCATTCTATTATTCAAATAATTTTTTGAGTCCTGACTATGCACCAGGGATTGGACTTGGATATTAGGGTGCACAGAATGAAACACGATTCCTCTTCTCAAAAGTTTCTGGCTTAGTGATATGAACTAAACCAGCAGTAAACAAATACAATATAGGGTCATAAATGTTCCTGGAGAGAAATATGCAAAGGACACTGAGGGACTGGAAGGGGCACCCAGCCAGACTGGGGACAGACAAGAAAGGCTTCAAGGTGTACACAGAGCAGATTCTTGAAGAATGAAAGGAAACCAGATAGGCAAAAAAAAAAAAAAAAAAAAAAAAAGCTGTCTCAGCAGAAGGACTGGGTATGTGTAAAACATGCTGAGACAGCCTGGCAGAAGTGGTTGGCATGGCCAGCAGAACTTAGGGTTCAGAGCTGTAAGCAGGAAGAGTGTGAAGAGAGGAGGCAGAAAGATGGCTACTGGCAGATCATGGATAAAGAATTTAAATTGTACCCTGTGCACAACAGGCAGTCACTTTTGCAGGAGGATGACAGGATCAGAGCTGTGAACAAGTGCATTCTGATGTTAACGTAAAATGGGCAGGCATGCTGTGACTGGTAGGCTAAATCAAGCTTGCTGTCTGCCTTTGTAAATAAAGTTTTATTGGAATGTAACTGTACCCATTCATTTACGTACTGTCTACGGCTGTTGTATGGGAGTTAAGTAGATAGAAGCAACAGAGACTGTATGGCCTACAGAGCCTAAAGTATTTACTATCTGCCCCTTTCTAGAAAAAGTATGCCGGCCGACAAGCTGGTGTAAAAGACAGAATTTTGAGTAAGATGAGAGGCGGGAACACGGGTTAGAAACCTGAAGTAGGGCTGTAGCTGTAGGGCTGGAGAGGGGATGGAGTCTATAAATATTTATGAAAGAAACTGACTAGAGCAGTGATTATTATTTTTTAGGGATAAAAGGAACTGGCATTTACTGAGTGCTTACTTTGTGCCAGGCAAACTCCTGTGCATATTACTCATGGTGCTTCATTAAATCCTCCTAATTCTTGAAAGGAGGTATGAGCCCCAATTCATGGATGAGGAAATTAATGTTCAGGAAAGAAAATATTAATACCATGTCCAAAGTCATACAAAGTAACAGAGCCAAGATATGAGCCCCCTAATCCTCTGCAACAAGCTATCCATCCTTTCATGAATGTGGTGTGCAAGGAAGTGAGAAGAACCCAGGATGATACCAGAACAGGACCATACCTCATTAGCTAAACAATAGAGAGACAAGCCTTATTTTTCTGAGCATACTTATTTGAGAATGTCTAGACCTCTGAGATTGAGTTCTAAGATTAAATTATGCTGATTTTGAACTGCATTAACTCAAGCCTAAAAAGCCAGGCTAATTAGCAAAGCTTCAAAATCTGCATAAATCAGCTAAAGAAATATTTCTTTTCATGCTGTTAACTAATGTATATTTCAAGTAAATATGCAGTGGCCAAATTTGATAAGGTAACAACTGAAGAAAGTCATTAGCTCCAGAATAAAATATATGTATTCAATTAAAAGTTCTGTCACTATGTCTTTTATTCATCTTTAATTACAGTAGACATTTATAAGCAGAAATAAATAGTGCTATTTCTATTGCTATAGTGTGCTGGTTTTTATTTTGAATCTTGCAATGGCAATTAGCAAGAGCTACAAGTTTCTGACCACCAGATCATTGTTGCTTTTTTTAGACTACTTTGGTTAAAGCCAACATTTACTGATGCTCAGACGTTTTTGGACATGACAGTTATATCCTGATCGATAGCCAATTCCCCTAAAGTCGTAAGACATAAACCTGTGCTACAGTAAACTTCACAGAGCAGAGCTTGGGAAATTGGATCTCTAGGAAACCCACAGTGATCACATTTTGGAAGGCCACAGACTCAAAGGTATAATAGACTAGGAAGGCCATAGACTTTAAGGTATGATAGTGCATTTGACCCTCCCAAAGGGTCTTGTAACCTGAGAAATACCCTATAGTGATAAAAAAAAATCTGAATTCCTCTAAACCAGTGGTTCTCAAAATGGGTGACTTTGTCCCACAGGGCACAACTGGCAATGTCTAGAAACATAAAAATGTTTCCAAAAGGTTTTCAGAGAGGTGTGCATGCATGCACATATGTGCTCCTAGCATTTATTGAGTACAGGCCAGGAATGCAGCTGACCACCCTACAAAGCACAGGACAGCTCTCCATTAACAGAATAATCCAGCCCCAAATGTCAGTAAGACCAAGGCTGAGAAACTCAAGGGTAAACTGATAAACTGTATACACTTAGTAATACAAAATAAAATATAAAGCAAAAGTTTTGGCTTAAAAGTGTTTATTCTTTAAGGAGAACAAGGCATAAAAAGTATTGAAATGTGGAGAGAATTAGCATATACAGAGAGGCTCAAACATCAGCAATTTCAAAAAAACAATAAATTATTCATTTAAATATAAACACCCAACATACTGCCTTACCTGGAATTTCGTTGGCTACAACTGAAGGAGGGCTTGACTGGTTGCTGCTGATCTGCTGGTGGCTGATCATGTGACAACACTGTGGCACGGCATTATTGACCATGTAGAGCGTGTCTGGCACATTGGACATTCTAACCATTCGCAAGCGCACAAGATCCGTTTGTTCCACCATCATCTCATCTAGCACTGACTGAAATAATCATTCAGTATTAACAAAACCAGTCAACCTTCCTCTGTTAAATCACATTTGAAGGAAGACTATTACTTTCATCAAATAAAAAGGGAATTAATTTATTTCTATTTTATAAATGTTAACATTAGTGGTGAAAGAAAGTTCCCCTACATCTTTAACTTTTAAAGACTCTTTTAGGAGCATCTTTGAAAAGACACAACCATCTTTTGAAAAGTCTGCTTTTAATTAGAAGTATTTGAAATGTGAAGGAAGGATATAAAATTAATCAGAAATAAATTACACACAATATTATAATAAAACAATGTATACATGTGCTAAATAACAAATCCAACAAAGTGCTCAAAATACAAAATATTGAAGATTGATAATCAGGGCCGGGCGTGGTGACTCATGCCTGTAATCCCAGCACTTTGGGAGGCTGAGGTGGGTAGATCACCTGAGGTCATGAGTTCAAGACCAGTCTGGCCAACAAGGTGAAACCCCATCTCTACTAAACATGCACAAATTAGCCAGATGTGGTGGCGGGTGCCTATCATCCCAGCTACTCAGGAGGCTGAGGCACGAGAACTGCTTGAACTCGGGAGGAGAAGGTTGTAGTAAGCTGAGATCTCACTGCGGCACTCCAGCCTGGATGACAAGAGTGAAACTCCGTCTTAAAAAAAAAAAAAAGATTGATAATCAATTCAAGAGACTTAGAAATAAACCAAATTTTCTTTTTTGAAGAAAAAAGAAAAATGTTGCCTGGGCTGGAGTGCAGTGGTGCCATCATGGCTCATTGCAGTCTTGACCTCCCAGGCTCAAGCAACCCTCCTACTTCAAGCCTCCTGCATAGCTGGGACTACAACAGCACACCACCACGCCTGGCTAGTTTTTTTTTTTTTTAATTTATCTTTATTTTTTGTAGAGACAGGGTCTCACTAGGTTGCCCAGGCTGCTCTTGAACTCCTGGACTCAAGTGATCTTCCTGCTTCAGCCTCCCAAAGTGCTGAGATTACAGGTGTAAGCCACCATGCCTGGTTTAAAAATGAGAAACATTTTGAGGCAACTTGATTGTATACTCATTGAGTATACACACTGTTTTGTCTGTTAAATTTACTTCAGAAAGCTTAATAAGGATTTCCTGCTTTCAAAGACTGTCAGTTCCTCAAAAGGCCAAAGTTTTTTTGTTTTTTGTTTTTTTTTTGAAGACTGGTTCTTACTCTGTCGCCCAGGTTGGAGTGCAGTGGCACAATCACGGCTCACTGTGCAGCCTTTGCCTCCCAGGCTCAGGTGATTCTCCTAAATCAGTCTCCTGAGTAGCAGAAATCAGGGTGCACGCCACCACAACTGGCTAAATTTTTCCTTTTAGTTTTTGGTAGAGTTGGGGTTTTACCATGTTGCCCAGGATGGACCCCGGAAAGTTCTTATGGCTGAACATCTAATAAAAATTAGATGTTTCATTTTCACATTACCGTATTTTCTGGGACAGTTCTTTATGTTACAATATACATAATGCGAACTAGTTACTTAACAGGCCTGAAATTTTTTCTTAGTTTGTGCATTTATTCTAAAACTAAACATAATTCCCAACAGTCAGCTATTGCAGAAATATGTTACAAGAGGTCGTGGCATTCCTTTAATTTAGGAAGGAAGTAAAAAAGTGGGCAATCTTCTTTCAGAACATTTCCCTCATGCTCAAGATCACAAAATAGTGACAACCATTTTCAGTAAGTGGTAACAATTTGCAAGGCAGTTAACAATTTGCAAGGCAACTAAAATGAGAAAAATATAAAATGCATTTTAACATAACCTAAGTTTTAAAAACATGCTTAATTAAAATTAAACGTTTTAGAAAACTATTCTGTTGAGTAGTCAAACTAGAACTTACTTTCATTTTCCCTATTGTTGAAAATATAGGCTATTTCCAAATATTTAAGTAATACTACAGTGAACCACTTTGTGCATATGGTTTGTAATAAAGTAGTCTACTATCTTCAAATGGTTTTCATTACCTTTGCTTCTTCCACATAGGGAGAGAAGAGTCGAGGACGAACATAGATGCCAGCATTTTTTTGCCGTAACCAGGCATTTGACTTCCCACCTTCTGTTGTAGGAAGCATATCTGATGGAGGAGTACTAATCAAGCCTCTTTTCATCTAAAAAAAAATTTTTTTTTTAGATAGAAATCTGTGTAGTACTATAATACTACTAAGATAAATAAAAATATTTATAACTATAAATAAAAATATGCAAACTTTATCATTTAAATAAAAATTTAGAAATGTATATGAAATTTAGAAATACCTCAAATTTTTTTTTTTTTGAGACAGAGTCTCACTGTCGCCCCGGCTGGAGTGCAGTGGCGTGATCTTGGCTCACTGCAACCTCCGTCTCCTGGATTCAAGCGATTCTCCTGCCTCAGCCTCCCGAGTAGCTGGGATTACAGGCACTCACCACCACGCCTGGCTAATTTTTTGTACTTTTAGTAGAGACGGGGTTTCACCATGTTGGTCAGGCTGGTCTGGAACTCCTGACCTCGTGATCTGCCCACCTCGGCCTCCCAAAGTGCTGGGATTACAGGCGTGAGCCACCGTGCCCGGTGAAATACCTCAAATTTTTAATAATATTTAAAAGATTTTCAATAAAAAGATACCATAATTTCCCATTTTTCTCTAAATAGAGGAATATTTTTAAAAACGAGACACATTAATTAAAATGTAGTTAAGTTGGACTAAAGATCAGAACTCTTAATGAAAACCAATTTTTTTTCTTTACTCATCTAGGAACAAATTCAGTCCCCACCCAACTCCTCAAGACAAAACGAGAACATTGACATGGGCCTATATCTACAGTACAAGGATACAGGAAGGCTAGCACAGTGCCTAGCAACACAGGCTCTGGGGCAAGGCAGATGTAGCTCAAACTTCAACTCCTGCATTTAACAGCCATGTGACCATGGACATCTCCTTTACCTGGGCTTCACTTTAAGGGCTCCTGTATGGCTCTGGAGGCAAGGCAGTGCACAGCTAACTGAATGAGGTATCCCTGTTGTTTCCTGACTGATGCCAGGAGAATCTGTATCAAGTATCTTTAGTTCCTAAGGTGGTGTGAGGATTAAATGAGGGCAATGCAGATGAAAGCACCTAGTACAGTGCTTAGCACATACTAAGAGAGCATGAAAGTTAAGAGTCATTGTTAGCAAACCTTTGTTGGGGACTTACGATGTGTTAGGCACGGAGTTAAGAGCAGAGGTATATATTTCCTAACCAAAGTTCTAAAATACTTTTCTAAACTACATACAGGGTTCAATTTGATTTGAGTCCCAGGTTTTAAACAAAACCAAAAGTTGTTTCTCCAATATTACTCTCATTAAATATAATCAACAGCTTCATTAGTTAAAATTACTTTTAACTAGTAAAATACAGCATTATCTAGTATTTAGAAAATAGAGAAAAAAGTCAATACTCATTACAACAGTAATGTTGATATATTTCCTTCCAGTCTTCTCTTTTTCCTTCTCTTCTTTTTTGAGACAGGGTCTCACTCTGTTGCCCAGGCTGGAGGGCAATGGCGAGATCTTGGCTCACTGCAACCTCTGCCTCCTGGGTTCAAGCAATTCTCCCATCTCAGTTTCTCAGGTAGCTGGGACTACAGGTGCATGCCACCATGCCTGGCTAATTTTTGTATTTTTTGGTAGAGACAGTGTTTCACCATGTTGGCCAGGCTGGTCTTGAACTCCTCAACTCAAGTGATCTGCCTGTCTTGGCCTCTGAAAGTGCTGGGATTACAGCGCCTGGCAGAGTCTTTACCAAATGAAGTTTTACATAGTTGAATTTAAGAATACATAAAAATACATACTTTGCATAATCTTTTTTTTTCTTCTTTTTTTTTTGATACAGAGTCTTGCTCTGTCACCAAGGCTGGAGTGCAGTGACACATTCTTGACTTGCCTCTGGGTTCAAGCAATTCTTGTGCCTCAGCCTCTCGAGCAGCTGGGATTAACGGCATGCACCACCATGCCTGGCTAATTTTTGTATTTTTAGTAGAGACAGGGTTTTGCCATGTCGGCCAGGCTGGTCTTGAACTCCTGACCTCAGGTGATCCACCTGCCTTGGCCTCCCAAAGTGCTGGGATTATAGGTGTGAGCCACCACGCCCGGCCACTATACAGTCTTTATAACAACTGTTCAGGGGAGCAAAATATTCTGTTGTGTAGTGGTACTATAACTACTACCTTAACAGGTGAAAAAATGGTAACTGTTTCATTTTGCTTTCTCTGGTGTGTGTGTAATTAGTGAGGGTGAATTTTTTTTTCTAATCAGAATCCACAAATATTTCTTTTTTTAAGTTTTGTTTTTATTTATTTTTATTACTGCTCCTTGTGGAGCAGGGCTACCCCATAGGCAGTATGCCCAGAGTAGCCCATAAATACTTCTTGAAAACAATATTGTTTTCTTCTAGTTCTTCCATGTTTCCATTTAGTATTTAATTCTTCAGTCTAACAAGGATTAATTTTGTGTGCCAGTGAAACGATGGTTTAACTTTCAATAAATTTCTTCTTCTGCTAATCAGTTAATCTAGCACCACATTGACTTGTGATAGTTCGTTTATTATTATGTTTTGTTTTTTTTCCAGAAGACTTTTATAATGTTTTATAATGTTCCTGTGCAGTTAGAAAAAACATATTATGATGTTTATAAGCATTATATTAAGTTTATAAGTCAATGTGTGAAGAACTAATATTTATAATATTTATTTTTCCCATCCATGAATTCAAGCAATTCTATTAATTTTTTTTTTTTTGAGATGGAGTCTCGCTCTGTCACCCAGGCTGGAGTGCAATGGCTCGATCTCGGCTCACTGCAACCTCCACCTCCCCAGTTCAAGCAATTCCCCTGCCTCAGCCTCCCGAGTAGCTGGGATTATAGGCATGCACCACCACGCCTGGCTAATTTTTGTATGTTTAGTAGAGATGGGGTTCTACCATGTTGGCCAGGCTGGTCTCAAACTCCTGACCTCAGGTGATCCACCTGCCTTGGCGTCCCAAAGTGCTGGGATTACAGGAGTGAGCCACCGCGCCCAGCCAATTATATTAATTTTTAAAAAATTCACTGTTTAAAAAATTATGAAAGTAACAAGATGAGCTCTATTAATTTTCAGGTCCATCCATTCTTTTTCTATTCAACCAATCCCTCCACTCCACTACTCTCTGATTCACTGCTGTTCTTGAAGACTCTTCAAAGGTAATTTCTACCTTTCCCTTTTTGAATAAGGGTCTACTTGATCTACACTTAAATGACAGAATTAACTCTGCTAGAAATAATGCTCTTGCATGAGTAAGACCTATTTACCCACTCAACTCTCATTCACTGAACATTTTAACTGTATTATGTGGAAGACACAGGAGATACAACATCGTACACAATAGACATCTGTCTCTGTCCTCACAGAATTACAGCTTCACAATACTCTATTAGTAGCAGAAATTATTTACAATGAATAAAAACATACACCTGGCATTTTTCTTTTCATGAAAGGAATACATGGAGAAAAACACTTACTGCATCACTTAAGACTTCACTGTTTATAGGTAAGATGTGTTCAATTCGCACAAAAGGTAAGAGAGAAGAAAGGATCTCTCTGAGCTCTTCCATGTCCAGGTCCCGTCTTTTTACACCTCTTTTGTTCACACTATGGGCAGTGCCACTCAGTAAGTTTGGCTCTATGAGACAGAAAATGAAAAGTTTCCAACCAAATCCAAATGTTCTGAGACAGGTTTCCTTTGTTCTCTAGTACATACACTAACAGTACCACTCTATAGACTTATGTGCCTCTGCTTTAAAAAGGGTTATAAATCAATTATTTTCTTTCATGTTTGTTTAATAGGGATGTTCTTGGATAAAGAAAAAGCATGGTATCAACAGTACAATAAAATTATTTTATCACTGCTCTGCAATAAAGAATAAAGGATTCCTTTCTATAGACTAACTCAAAAGAGAAAAGATGACAATCTACTAAAATCTAGTTTTATCAAGGGCTTTTTAAAAAGCCTTCTCACTTTTGTGACCAGTGTTTAGTAGTATAAGGTCATTGTAGAGCATATGCCATTTCTGGTCACTGTAAGTTATCAGTATGCTCATTAGCCTACATATGTGTAACAGTAATTTAACAACATGTTAATCACTTGGTGTTTGAAGCAGCAAAGCATAATGTGCTTTATTTGGTTTTAAGATTTTTATGAAAATCTCCCAAATTTCCATAATATGGGAACATTACTGCATAAAAGTAGACCCTTTGATCTTTGACATGTAATATATGTCCATCATCCAAGGCAGAGAATGATTTCTTCATTGGGCATTAGTGAACAACAATCTGAAATACATGTATGCTTATGCTATTGAGGTGGGAAGAAAAATTATGTAATTTGGAAATCTTTAATCATGGCTTTAATCTAGGGGTCTGTAATTTTTTTCTTAAAAAAATTAACACAGAATAAGATCTTATTATTCATGAAATGCTGGATTTTTTTCAAATATTCTACAGGAAAACTGGTATCTTCCTTAAATCGTGTGTGTGTGTGTGTGTGTATGAGAGAGAGAGAGAGAGAATTGATTGTTTTTGAGAAGCTAAGTTTTTTTCTGGATTCATTCAGAATAAAATTGTTAACTGTGTAGAAAAGAGTCATTTTTTTCCCCCTTGCCTAGCTATGATTTAGCTTCATACTTATTTAAGGCATTCTGCTTTTCAAAATATTTTTTTTTCTTAAAGTAGTGACATCCTGTTTTCATATAAAATCTTACATGAAACCCCCAAATATGTGACAGGTAAGTGCAGAATCCTCCTGTATAAAACTGACTGAAACAAAGCTATGGCCTGGTTCACTTAGCTTCCTTCTTATCCTTGCAGAAGAACCTTCCACTAACCCAGTGTGGAAACTACCTTTTATTTATTTTTTTATTATTATTTTTTAAGATGGAGTCTTGCTGTGTTGCCCAGGCTAGAGTGCAGTGGCATGATCTTGGCTCACTGCAACCTCCACCTCCTGGGTTCAAGCGATTCTCCTGCCTCAGCCTCCCAAGTAGCTGGGATTATAGGCACCCGCCACCACACGCAGCTAATTTTTCTATTTTTAGTAGAGATGGGGTTTCACCATGTTGGCCAGGCTGGTCTCAAACTCCTGACCTCAGGTGATCCACTCACCTTGGCCTTCCAAAGTGCTGGGATTACAGGCGTGAGCCACCGTGCCTGGCCTAGCAACTATTTTTCTAAGGAAAATTTTAACCCTTAACAGGCAGATGCCTGTTATCTGCCCCAAATAAATGACATTTCATCATTACCAACTTTACATCACTGAACAAGCTTATGGTCTATAACATTTACACAGAGTTATATACAATCGGTTCTTATTATCTGAAGTAGTTATAAAGTCAACACAAACAATGAATCAGCATATACTGAACTGTTGCTCATAGGGAAAACACAGGGTTAGGTTCCTGTGAACCTCTGGGTACAACATTTTTGTCCAATGATTAAGACAGAACCTTGTTTTATGTGTTTCTGTTTAAAGACACTTTATTTAATATATGTGGCTGATTTATTAACACTAACCTCACAACCAACAGCACTGTAACTCACGCCTGAATGAAGCTTACCTAACTCATGTATTATCTCTGTATGGCACACCACAGCCTTCCTGTTCTCAGGAACACTAGACAGCACTTCAGTACTACACCTGGGGGCCATCTTGAACAGTGAGATCACGAAAACATAAAAATGTAAAAAATGTGGCACTTGGTAAGGAGATCTGAAACAAGAAGGCAGAGTGCCTCTGTCTTGTTAGAACTCAGCTGGGAATGTGCTTGTTGGGAGACCAAGCTTTTTGCTACTCCGTGAATGACCATGAAAGTATCACCAGTATTGATTTTGGGGTTACAAATAAATTTCAGTGACTAGGTAAGTTGACAAATATAAAAGCTACGAATGAGAACTAATTGTATGCTGGCATTTAAAAAACTTTCTAAATCAACTGTAATGGTTTTCATATTTTAAAAAATTCATAACTTGCTGGGCATGGTGGATCATCTGAGGTCAGGAGTTCGAGAACAGCCTGGCTAACATGGCGAAACCCTGTGTCTACTAAAAATACAAAAATTAGCCACGCGTGGTGGCACGTGCCTGTAATCCCAGCTACTCGGGAAGCTGAGGCAGGAGAATAGCTTGAACCCGGGAGGCAGAGGTTGCAGCGAGCTGAGATCGCGCCACTGTACTCCAGCCTGGGAAACACAGCAAGACTCCATCTCAAATAAAAAAATAAATCAAAAACAAAAATCATAACTTTGTTGCTCTCTGAAATAAAATTTTAAAAATAAAAATAAACACATTCAAATCTGAGAATTGCTAAAGGTTTTTGCCAGCCACAGAAAAAAAATTGGAGAAATAAAATAGAAGGACTGCTTTTGTTCCCTAGAGCTTGGATAGTAGCATATTAAAGAAACACTATAAAAAGGCTTAAAGGCAGGTTTAGCACAACATTTTTTATATTTAAAAATGTGACAAAACAACTCTATAAAGGTACTAAAATCCACTGACTTGAACACTTCAAACCGGTGAACTTTAAGATACATAAATTATATCTAAATAAAACTATCGAAAGGTGACAGAAAAAGGAAATTGGTATTTAATTTTTCAATTAAAAATTTTAAATTTAGATTCAGTACATAAAGGAATACAACGATGTTTGAGGGAAGGAGGACAGGTGGGTGGGCTAACCCTACACACAAACAAAAGACTGCTGTAGAATCACAAATTTCCAAAGTTGAAAGCCCAGCCTCCAACATATGATGCTTCCTTCTCTTCTGCAGTGACCCCACTGGGAGGTCATTCAGAAGTATTATTTATTTCTCTTTTACCTTCCACAACATTTTTTTTTTTTTTTTGAGACGAAGTTTTGCTCTTGTTGCCCCAGGCTGGAATGCAATGGCCCCATCTCGGCTCACCACAACCTCTGCCTCCCGGGTTCAAGTGATTCTCCTGCCTCAGCTTCCCAGGTGGCAGGGATTACAGGCACATGCCACCATGCCCAGCTTATTTTTTATTTTTAGTAGAGACAGGGTTTCTCCATGTTGGTCAGGCTGGTCTCGAACTTCCAACCTCAGGTGATCCGCCCGCCTCGGCCTCCCAAAGTGCTGGGATTACAGGCGTGAGCCACTGCACCCAGCCTACTTTCTACAACATTTAAAAATAAACAATGAATGCTTTTTTATTTGTACTCTTTTTTTTTTTGAGTCTTGCTCTTTCACCCATGTGGAGTGCAATAGTGCAATCTCAGCTCACTGCAACCTCTGCCTCCCAGGTTCAAGTGATTCTCATGCCTCAGTCTCCCGAGTAGCTGGGAGTACAGGCGCGTGCCACGACTTCCCACTAATTTTTGTATTTTTAGTAGAGGCGGGATTCTGCCATGTTGGCCAGGCTGGTCTCAAACTCCTGACCTCAGGTCAGCCTGTACTCGTATTTTTAAACTGAGGTTAAAATTCACATAACACAAAATTTATTTAAAACATTTTAAAGCGTACCATTCAGTGGCTCTTACTATACTTGTATTGTTGTGCAACCATCAACACTAATTCCAAATTTTCATCAACATTATGCTTTTGTAATACTTTAGTCATTATATGAAATTATATGAAATTTTTCATTCTAGTACTTCCACGAATCAGTCATGTTTTATTAAGCACCTAAGAACATAATAATAAAAAGTATCCTTTTAAAGCTGCAAAATAAGACTTTCTGATATATTTATTTTAATAAACTATACCCTGTCCACTAAAGGATTTTGCTGGTGGTAAAAACTTCCATTTTCACCAGGCAACAGTGTCAATTTTCAAGACTGATGTGCGGCATGCATTTCTATATAAGAACCACCAAATTTTACACAAGGTAACTAGTGCAAGCTAATTTTCGGAGCTTACCTCTATCTGCTATTCTTTTCATCAACTGATGCTCTCCCCATTTAATCAGATATTTAAGGATATCTTGTTCACTTGCCTATAATAAAAAATGGTTTATATTTATTTTAGTGAAATTAGATAAGTGGTTAATTTCATTAAGGACTTTTCGTAGGTGGGAAATAACAGCATGCAACTTACCATGTTTCACTCTTTCCATTGGCTGTTTGAAGTTTTAGTGTTAAATCTGTGGTCCATCAACAGGAAATATACAAGACTGCATTACATATATTTTATCCAGTAACCTCAATCTTGGCTCCAACTAATTTTTAAATTTCATTTCTATCTTCTTTTTCTGTAATCTGCTCCCTTCCTATTTTATTTTTTCATTTTAATTTTTCCTTTTGAGATGAAGTCGTACTCTATTGCCCAGGCTGGAGTGCAGCAGTGCCATCATGGGTCTCTGCAGCCTCAACCTCCTGGGCTCAAGTGATTCTCCCCGCTTCAGCCTCCTGAGCAGCTGGGACTACAGGTATGTGCTACCACACCCAGCTAATTTTTTTTTTTTTTTTTGAGAGGGAGTCTCGCGCTGTTGCCCAGGCTGGAGTGCAGTGGTGTGATCTTGACTCACTGCAAGCTCCTCCTCCCAGGTTCACGCCATTCTCCTGCCTCAGTCTCCCAAGTAGCTGGGACTACAGGCGCCCGCCACCACGCCTGGCTAATTTTTTTGTATTTTTAGTAGAGACAGGGTTTTACCTTGTTAGTCAGGATGGTCTCGATCTCCTGACCTCGTGATCCGCCTGCCTTGGCCTCCCAAAATGGCTAATTTTTTTTTAAATTTTTTGTACAAATGGGGTCCCACCTGTTGCCAAGGCTGGTCTCGTACTTCCGGGCTCAAGCAACCCACTTCCTATTTTAAATTTATTTTATCTTACTATGTGGTTTCTATATAGCTGCCTTAAATTCTCTTTTGGAAGAAAACAGAGATAAGTAAATGAAAGTGTAAGTATAGGGTATAGGCAGAGTAACTACTCTCTCCTGGAGGGACAGGAAAAACAAGTCAGTCAACTTGTTTTGGCAGAAGAAACTACAATCTCTACAAGGTATTCTACTGGTTAGTGAAGCACAATCTGTGAAATGGCAATGTAGCCCTCATTTCTTTGTATTTTATTTAAAATCTTAGAGCAAATCTAGGCTGCTCTCTGTTTTTTTTTTTTTTAATACTTTCTAAGAAGGAATGCAAAGCTCCTAAAGACAATAATCTAAGAGAACTAACAACTTCTAACACAAACATAAAGCGTCCAGTTTTGATCAGGACAATGAGACAAGGTTAATGAACAAAGATTCTCCATAAATCAAGCCCAAGTATGCCATCTGTACTGCAATCAAAGCAACATACAAAGGAAAAGCACAGATGCTGAGTGTATTATTTAACTCTCCACTGCATTTCTGACTAAAATGGTAGCATTTTATTATTTTTCTAGTACAAATACAAAGAAATAGGAAGTGGTTCAATGGGTTTATGTCTTTAATAGCATTAAAACGGTTGTACAGTTTTTAGCATAAAATTCATATAGCCAATGCACAAAAATTAAGCTTGGATATACTTTGCCTGTAAGTATTTTCTGTAATGTATAAAATCTATTATTAATGTAAATTTCCAAATTAAATTGACATTTAAGTCAAGAACACAAGAATTTGCTAAAAACTACTTCTGGTTAAAAATAAGTAGTTGAAAACATTACCGTACTTTGGAAGAATACATGCACTGAGTTTTGATAAAAATGTGAGCAGATCAGAAATTGAATATTATTTTTACTTTGTGCTGCTGAAGCTACTGTCTTACAATCTAAGTATGTGATGCTCCACCAAAAGTAAGAAACCACTATAGAGAAGCTACATTAATAGAAGTCAAGAAAATCATGTTGGGATGTGCTTCTGACCTTGCCTACTGCCCCAATCTCTTTTTGGTGCATTTGGCTGGGACCTGGGCTTGTTCAATGTTGAGTCATGGTAGCAGTGTACATGAAGAGCCAGTGAGCCAGAAGGCTTTTGTTGTACAACTATGAAGAGGGCAGTCCTGGGTGGTTTGATCACAGCCTGTTTCTCTTCCCCTGCCCTACCCTAGATGGAAGAGTAATAGAGCATAGATGGGTTTCTTGGCGCACATATGAATGACAGAGTTTGAGAGGTGTTTAAATGATTACCTGTAGGTAGTCAGACTGGATAGCAGTAAGCAGATGGTCTTTGCTGAGTTCATAAAAAACATCCGAAGTCATGACCTGGGAAAATTCCTCACAGAGGAAATGTAAAGCTTGTCGGTGCACCCATTTAGAGCCATATGGATGAGAACTCCACTTGAGGATGGCAATTAAGGTATCTAATGAGATGCTCTCAGCAATGATATCCTCACAGCCTAAAAGAGAAGGCAAATACTTCTTGAGATTAATCATAAATATTACTTATTGAACATTAGTGTGCTAGGCACGATATTTAAAAGTCACAATAGCAAAAAAGAACTCAAGGAGATAAATAAAATCTCATGAAAATCACCAAGACTTGGTGGGATGGGTAAACAATAGACTATGGCATCTATAGAAAATCTGCTGCCTTACAGAGATGGATCTACAGAAAAAGGCAGAGAATCCTCCCAAGTTCAAGATAATAAACATCTATGTGCAAACCAATAATGTGAGTAAGTCAGTATAGAGGAAGACATTGGACCAAAAGGGAAAGAAGAGTAGGCAAAAAGGCTGCAGTGGTGGAAACTGGCTAGAGGAAGGAAGTGGATGACACCTGACTGATGAGAGAATGCACACCTCAGAATAAGGTAGGTGGGCTGCCAGCTATGCAGACATCCACTCTTTGTATGAAAACATAGCACCTTGCATTGTTGACAGTTTAATCCTTCAGAAAATAGACAAAATACATCTGAGCTTAATTCTGGCAAACTTGAAAAAGTAAGTGAAGAGGACCAGGATCCTGGAGAAAGCAACTATGGCATTTCAAGAACTCAAGGAAGAAAAGAAAACCTAAGGAGACTCAACTCTCCTCCTTAGGAAAGATCATTTCAAAATATAAAGATAAAATATAAGTAAAAATCTGAGTGACAAAGATTATGGGAGTGAGAATGGCTAAAGTTGAACAGAAATTTTTCATTAAGCTTACTATAAAACAAAAAACAATCCTGATAATGTGAAAACAAACAAACAAACAAACAGGTGTTTAAACACCACCACCAGGCCGGACACAGTGGCTCTTGCTTGTAATCCCAGCACTCTGGGAGTCCAAGGCGGGCAGATCACCTAAGGTCAGGAGTTAAGACCAGTCTGGCCAACATGGTGAAACCCAGTCTCTACTAAAAATACAAAAATTAGCTGGGCGTCCTGTAATCCCAGCTACTCGGGAGGCTAAGGCAGGAGAATCACTTGAACTCGAGAGGCGGAGGTTGCAGTGAGCTGAAATTATGTCTGAAATCGTGTCACTACACTCCAGCCTGGGCGACAAAGCAAGACTCCGTCTCAAATAAAATAAAATAAAATAAACACTACCAAACTATGGCTACACAGAAAGGGCGTAAATAAACTCCAGAGACTTCTAAAGTTCAAAGCTGTTTGTGAAACCATGAAAGGTGTAAAGATAAAGGGAGTGAATCCCACTTTCAAGTGATAGAAGATAATGAGTAGCAATATGGAGTCTACAAAAAGTAAACCCTCATTCCCCTTTCTGATACGCTACCAGATGAGGAGAAATATCATAGAGAACCGTATAACTTCATTTCCACAAAGCATTTAGAAAATATTTCATGATGCTGCTAAACTGTAAGCACCACAAGATAGGGACGGCTATCTTCAATGTATTCCTAGCACCTTCTCGCACATGTGCTAAACCTGTGCTAAGTAAAAATGTGTTGAATGTACAAATGAGATCTTTGCAGATAACATGAAGAGACAGGGGATGGGATGACAGGACAGTGGTTAACAGAACCATTCATAAACAGCACTGATTAACTTGATGCGTGGAGTGGGAAGTTGGTTTTTGCCATGTTTATCAAGAATTTGGGGCCGGGTGCGGCGGCGCACGCCTGTAATCCCAGCACTTTGGGAGGCTGAGGCAGGTGGATCACCTGAGGTCAGGAGTTCGAGACCAGCTTGGCCAACATGGTGAAATCCCATCTCTACTAAAAATACAAAAATCAGCTGGGTGTGGCGGCAAGTGCCTGTAATCCCAGCTACTCAGGAGGCTGAGGCAGGAGAATTGCTTGAACCCGGGAAGTGGAGGCTGCAGTGAGCTGAGATCGCACCACTGCACTCCAGCCTGGGCTACAGAGTGAGACTCTGTCTCGAAACAAACAAACAAACAAACAAAAATCTTGGATAATGATGTGGAAAGTATGTTTCAAAATCTTCAGATGACCCCAAACTTGGAAACACAGTTAACACCACACTGCATAGCAGAATCATAATTGCCTAAAAAGACTGATCAAAATGAAGCTGAAATATAACTAGGAGAATTAGTTCTACATTTAAAGAAATCGACTGCACAGCAGATGATGGTTGGCTTAACTGGAACTATATAAAATATCTGGGTTTTTTTTTTTCACTGAATGAATGCAAAATGTGACATGGCTGTTATAGATCTGAAGCAATCTCAGGCTTTTCAGGTACGAGCATTGAGCCGTAATCAAAGGACTCATGTTGCTGCTTTCTGTGGAGTGCTGTGTCATTCTGGGCCCCGTGGGTCAGTTTAGATTAGCACTGACCAAACTGCAAGAGTCTCAGGAGGGCAAGGGAATAGTAGAGAGTTCGCAACTTATCACAGGAAAAAAGCTCCAAGCAAGAGATGATTTGGGTTATGTAAGAGAAACCTGAGGAGAGACATGAGAGCTGTCTTTAAATGCCTCTTCACGAGGCAGAGGAGAAATAACTGATTTATCCGTTGTTCCTAGGAAACAGACAGATGTTAAAAGTGGGGAGATTTTGGTTCAATGATAAGAAATTTCTAACAATTAGAATTTCCATCCTCTTCTCCCATTAAAAAAAGGATCCTTCTAGAAAGTGTCAGAACAGAGGCTGGCTCGTCACATTAGGGATGGAGTATAAGGAACCCTGACACTGGAAAGGAACTAAGGTCAGAAGACATCCAAGCTGATTTCATCACAAAGACAAAACCGTTTCTATAAGATGGTAACAGAGCAAATAAAAGATGTCTTTATTCCAAGCACTAAAAGAATATCCCTATAAGGAACACAATGAGACCACCACATTTATATCCACATATAGATGACACCCAAAGGCGTGAAGATGTGCTAATGAGAAGTGGGAAATATGGGAAAGTTTTCAACAGTCGTCATTTTATGACGAGCCTTTGAGCCTTGAATACCAAGCTGAGGAGGACAGACCTCATTCAGTAGCCAGTGGAGGACCTCTGTTGGCCTGTTGTTTTAAAGTGGGCATTGGAATAGAATTGAGTGGGATGAGTTAATCTGATAGGAAAGGCAATCTCATAGATGTGTTTGGGAGTGAAGCAGGGGAAATGAGAGAAAAGCTGGTTATTTAAAATGATGTGTCACAATCCTACTAAACCAGGATACTGGCAGAGGTGAAGAAAAAGAATGAAAGATAACATGATCACAAATATTTAAACTGCTGAGGTTTACAAAGCAGCAGGATACAGTAGGAAAAAAAATGGGCTTTAAAATCAGATTGGACTTGAAATCCTAGCGCTGCCACTCAGTAGCAAAATCACTTTAGGCAAATCACTTCACTCTTTAAGAGTCTGAAATGTTCTCATCTGCAAAGCTGAGATTATTTCCTACCTCACAGGGTTGTTATGGGATTTAAATGAGACCATACTCTTGACACTCTACATTTGCTCAAACAGTCTGGAGTACCTAAGCCGAGTACCATGAATATCCAGCTCTTTTCACTGCCTGGTGATGTCACTTGCCCCACGGCCTTCACCTCATTATATCCCTGACTTCCCAGCTGATAGCTCCAAGCCTGAGCTGACTCCCAGTCACACCTGACTTTCACATGGATTTTCCACAGACATCTTAAATGCCAAAGTCAATTCATTTCCTCTGGGAAATCTGGGCCTCTTCAGTCACCAAAGGCAGAGATCTCAGTACTATTATTGGGTTCTTCTCCGGATGCCCATATCCAATCTATCACCAGATGCTGTTCATTCTTCTTTTCAATTCAACCCCTCCACAGAATCTCCATTGAATTTTTACCACCTCCTTTTCAGAACCTGATACTTTTCCCCTGCATTATTGAAATGGCTTTTAAAAAATTCCCACCTCCAGTCTTTCCCTTTCTAATCTGCTCTCTGTACTGTTGCCAGAATGATCTTTTAAAATGTAAATTATATATGGCCTCTTTAACGAATTATTCAATAACTTCATGCTACAAATGATTTCAAGAAAAAGTCCAAGCTACATCTCCCTTGATGATCTGGCACCTGCCTACTCCCCAGCCCATCCCTGCGCAGACTCTACACCCGTCATACTGTGTCCCTTCCAATTCCCCAGAAGTCCACCAATCGCTTGCACCTCCAGGCTTTTGTGTATGTTGTTCCATTTTTCTGAAATGCCCCTAACTCTTTTTCTTAACTCCTCTGCATCTTTAAGTCTCAGCTTAGATGCTGCCTCTTTTAAGAGCCTACTTTGATACTGCTCCTCAAAGCCTTAGGTCAGGTGTTCCTCCTATCTAAAAGTTTCTCTGGTACCCTGTGTTTGTCTGTAACAGCACAAAACTCTCATACTACTATATCTTTCTTATATATATTTGTCTGACTCTTCCACCAGACTAAGTTCCTTTTCGGTAAAAGCCCCATCTTATCTGATTCTATAGTGTCTGGCACCTAGTAGATAATTAACTAAAAGCAAATAATAATAGTAGCTAACATTCTTGAAAACTTATTATGTATATGTATCAGGCTCTGTGTTAACTGCTTACTTTAGAATATTTAATTTTAGCACTTCTTCTCAAAGAAGGGTGTATTATTATTACTATTATTATCATCCCCATTTTATAGATGAGAAAACTAAGACTCAGAAAGATTAAATAAGTTACCCAAGGTTATACATCTAGGAAGAAACAAGTCCTACCTAAACATATCCTTCCTTCCCCTCCCAAAAGTTCCCCTTCCCAGCCTTTTATGCCTCTAACTTAGACCTTTTTTTTTTTTTTTTTTTTTGAGACAGATTTTGCTCAGCCGCCCAGGCTGGAGTGCAGCAGCACGATCTCAGCTCACTACAACCACCACCTCCTGGGTTCAAGGGATTCTCCCGTCTCAGCCTCCTGAGTAGCTGGGATTACAGGCACCCACCATCATGCCCGGCTAATTTTTTATATTTTAGTAGAGACGGGGTTTCACCATGTTGGCCAGGCTGGTCTTGAACTCTTGATCTCAGGTGATCCGCCCGCCTCGGCCACCCAAAGTGCTAGGATTACAGGTGTAAGCCACTGCACCCAGCTCTAACTTAGGACTTTTACTAATCAATGCTCATTAGAACTTATTTAGAACTACTTCTCTCACGAGCAGAAAGCACCTTATAAATACACCAAACATGGTGATATTAACTCAAAAATGTAAAAGGAAGACAGATAAAAAACTGGAATGTTGGTAAAAAGAGATTTATCTTATAATGTCAAAATTAATGTTTTAATCTGATGGTAAAGGATTTCAATTAATGATAATACAACTTTGTCAAGGTTATCAATATTGGAATGAAAATGTAAATATAGCAGCAAGGCAGAAGGGATGCTGGCAGGGAAAGGCCAACAAGTGGGTGCTGAGAGGCTTTACACGGTGCCACATCCTTGGTAATGGACAAGTCCTGTAGGTACGAAACCATCAGCACACTCAAAGATGGTCAGACTCTTGGTGACAAAGTGATCCTAACACAAACCCATGACACATGCGTAGATCAGAATGCTTACTCATGGGCAGTACAGGGAGTCAGTTCTAGTGAGCAGAATGTCATGTGTTCTCTCTCGGCACTTTGCAAACTATCGCGAGTCATGCTACAGTTTTTTCTTTCTTTTTAAATTTCCAACGTGTCCTGGACCAATACTTTAGTAAAATTCAGCAAAAACACCGCTTGAATATTGTGGCAATTGTTTAGTTTCTAAATGCTTGTTGTTAATTTCTGTACCTATCTCACTCACTGCAGACATGCTTTGAATAGTACTGCTCTGTCTAGAGTCCCTTTCCTCTTTAGGGAACTGGGCTTGCCTTCTTCCCTCCTACCACGTGAAAAGTATGCTGTGACTAGCTTATTGGTCCCAGGAGGAGAATGGGCAGCCCTGGGAACACAGCCACCCCTGCTGATCCACAGTGGCAATGAGAGAGGCCCCAGCTGCTGCAAACTGAAGCAGAAATGCCCCACCTAACCCAGAAACTTATTAGAAATAAATGTTCATTGTGTTATACCACTGAGGTTCTCAGATTGTTTCTTACACAGCAACGGTTGACTAATAAACCAGTTAGCTTTTTAGATCAACTCAAAAGCTTTTATTTTTATTTTTTTGAGATGGAGTTTCACTCTTGTTGCCAGACTGGAGTGCAGTGGCGTGATCTCAGCTCACTGCAACCTCAGCTATCCGGGTTCAAGCAATTCTACTGCCTCAGCCTCCTGAGTAGCTGGGATTACAGGCGCCTGCCACAACACCCGGCTAACTTTTCTATTTTTAGTAGAGACGGGATTTTGCCATGTTGGCCAGGCTAGTCTTGAACTCCTGACCTCAGGTGATCCACCCGCCTCAGCCTCCCAAAGTGCTGGGATTACAGGCGTGAGCCACTGCGCCTGGCCAAAAGCTTTTATTAACAGCCAAGCGTGGTGGTGGGCATCTGTAATCCCACACTTTAAGAGGCTGAGGCAGGTAGATTACCCGAGGTCAGGAGTTCGAGACAAGCCTAGCCAACATGGCGAAACCCAGTCTCTACTAAAAATACAAGAATTAGCTGGGTGTGGTGGCATGTGTCTGTAGAGTCCCAGCTACTCAGGAGGCTGAGGCAGGATAATCACTTGAATCCAGGAGGCAGAGGTTGCAGTGAGCCGAGGTTGTGCCACTGTACTCCAGCCTGGGCAACAGAGCGAGACTCTTGTCTCAAAAAAAAAAAAAAAAGCTTTTATTAACAATTTCCTGGTAACAGAAAAATTCCACCTGTAGCCAAGGCATTTAATGGATAAAAGGCACCAATACATTCCGCTCAGGCAGACTTTCAGTGATGCTCTTGGGAGGCTGGCAGGTAGTACAAAGTCAACTTCTTACAATTTCTTTTGCTTGTGTGATAACCACACTTTACAGATCCATCTCCTACTTATTTAATCCTTTCCTCTATTCTCTTTTACTAGGATATTTTCTTTCTAATCTTTAATGTAAGCAAAAATACCTTCCCTCAAAAAATTGAGTCACATAACCAGTAGGAATGAATGACCAAGGCTGAAGGTTTAGACTTAAAGAGCTAACAAATCAATCTGAAATTCAGTAACACAAATGACTGTATTGCTGCATGTTAAATAGGATCACTTTCTGTTTTTATTATCAATTTTTGTTTCTCCTCTTCATGTTTGTCCCTCTGGTAACTAAAAATAGCCTCAACGTTGACAGTTCTCCTGAATACACTGTCAGGATCTTTGTTTCCCCCTTACTTGTTATTCCTACAATGCCACCCTATTTGTTTCACCAATACCAGTGGGAAACTTTTCCGCTGGCTCATGTCCATCAGGAAATATATAAACGACTTCCAGATTCATATTGAGGTCGGGGTGGAAAGAGGAAGGAGGAAACAGGCAAGGGGGAAAGGAAAAAGGAACAGGGAGATTACAGCTTGCCATGCAACATAAAACAAGATCGTAAGTTTAGAGGAGGGCCGGCCTTAGACTTGGCATGGTGATTCTTCAGAGGCACCAGAGTTAGAAATAAGAATTGAAGTACAAACAGGCTCGAGAGAAAAGTTGCTTCAATTCTTTCTTACTAACCAGTACATGACTGATTCAGAATCCTGAGAAAAGAAATTAAGAAATAATGGAAGTGAGTGTGGCAGGAAGTGAAAGACCATAGGTTTTAAATTCAGGCAGCTGCATCACTAATTCTTGACCCTCACTCAGCCTGTACCAGATTAAAACACATCCTGTCCAGGTGTGATGGCTCACACCGGTAATCCCAGCACTTTGGGAGGCCAAGACGGGCGGATCGTTTGGGCTCAGGAGTTTTGAGACCAGCCTGGGCAATATGGTGAAACCTTGTCTCTACAAAAAATACAAAAATTAGGTGGGTATAATGGTGCATGCCTGTAGTCCCAAGCACTCAGGAGGCTGACGTGGGAAGACCGCTTGAACCTGGGAGGTAGAGGTTGCAGTGAGCCAAGAGATGCCATTGTACTCCAGCTTGAATGACAGATGAGACCCTGTCTTAAAAAGACAAAACAAACAAAAACTACATCCTGTGGGCGGGCGCAGTGGCTCATGCCTGTAATCCCAGCACTTTGGGAGGCCGAGGTGGGCGGATCACCAGGTCAGGAGTTTGAGACCAGCCTGACCAACATGGTGAAACCCCATCTGTACTAAAAATCTACTCGGGACCTCAGGAGGTTGAGGCAGGAGAATCGCTTGAACCCGGGAGGTAGAGATTGCAGTGAGCCAAGATTGCACCACTGCACTCCAGCCTGGGCAACAGAACGAGACTGTCTCAAAAACACAAAAACAAACCTACATCCTGTGAGTCTTATTTTCTCATGTCAGCTGAAAGAATCTGAAGTTCTGAGGATTACACTGGAAATTGGGGAGAAATGTGTCTACACAGTACCCTATAAATCTTTAATTTCTACTCTGCCTTTCTGCCCTCCTTTGACCTCAATATCTAACCAATGTGTCCTACAGATTTGTCCTTCAGAACACCCTTCAATTAGCCTCTCTTCCATTCCCACTAGAATACCACCTTAGTTCAAATCCTTAGCATCTCATATACCAATTACTGAAAAGCTTCCTACTGTCTCCCTCCACCCAGGATTCCAATGCATACAGAGCACACTATTGAAAGGTTTAAGTTTTCTAAAACAGCACTACCATCACATCACACCTACAAATCTATTTTTAAAAGGCAACCAGGAATTCCGGATCCAAAGCAAAAACTGAGTGTCAGATATAAGGGCGAGAAGACAAGTCAACCTGCGCCTCAGTGTTCTGCACTGTCGGTCCTTAGATGCTGTGACTCTGAGAGCTGCTTGGATGAATGCTCCTCTCTACTATTTCTCAGGAGGACAATTCTGATGAAGAGCCTAAGCCCAGGTGTCTGCAGTGGTGATCAGCTCAATGACACACTCTTGTACTGCTCCCCCTCACTCCTGCTCATGGGATACTTACTGACTAAATGACCTGCATGTCAGCCTTTGATCTGGGCTGTGCTTTCGGCATGCACTGTGGGGAATGGGAGGAGACACCCAGCAAAGATAACAGAAATGGCCCTAGAAAACAAGGTTCTTGAATGAGATTCTAGATCTACCTTACTCACTGACCAAATGGCAAAAGGTCTCCCCCTCCCATTCCTACTGGTAGGAGACATGGTGATAACCCCTGCACATAGTAGCATGACAACACCAGGAGCAGATTAAAATGAGGTACATGTGGAAGGTAAAGTATCAGATCACCAATCATGGTGGCACTTGAATGGAATGGAAACATTAGTGACTATAAGGCCTAGATACTGGCTGGATTAACAACTTTAGAGGCCATGAACAAACAGAATGACAGGCTCAGGTTAGCCAACCCTTAAATCTAGGCATTCTTCAAAGTCTGAAGACTTCCAGGTCAGTGTCTGAAAAGACCCTATTTCTTGCAGCTGCGGGGCAGATTGCCAAAATTCAGGCTCCAGACTTAATTTAAAAGATATCAGAACTACAAAGGAGATATGAAAGAAAGCCTTGACAGGTGTTCTATGATAAAATCTGGGTCCTGGTAGGAACACTTGGACACAGAAACCTGGAATGGGGATATTTGGTTGGCTTAGCTGAGAATATTAAACCCCAAGATTTACCTGAATTTTTTGGGCTAGGAGAAGCAGCTCCCCCAACTCCTTGCTAGAGAGCAGCAGCCTCCTTCATCTGGAGACCCTGCAGGTGCCTGAAAAGATAATGCTTGTTCTCTTTAAGATCAGTTCCTGCCTTCTCTCACTACCTCCAAACCAATAATGAGGATCATGTTCCCAGCACAGTCTGATTGGGAAAATACAGTCCCTGTTCTGGGAGGAAAGAGTGTAGGCACCTAAAGAATGGTAAGACCTGGCTATATGCACTGGCAGGTCCTGAAGGTACACTCGTACAAGTGGATCCTGTGTTGGATGAGGTGCAAGGTCTGTGGCTATACAACAGCAGTTCATTCAGAACCCAGGGGATTCACTGCAGCATCTTCTGGTGCTTCTTTGCTGAGGGATAACAGAGACCTAGTGATTGTAGCAACTACTAATAAAGAAACTAAGAGCTCAAATACCTCTGGGATGAAGGTCTGGCTCACACCTAGTAGGCTGCCTAGGCCTGCTGAAGTATTGGCAAAGAATGATGAAAATCTAGTTTCAATCTCTTCCATGATTGAGTCTTTTGTAGAGGTGTGGCTGGCCACCATCTTGAAGATTCCGTGATGATGGAGCACACAAACTGATCTGAGTGATGCAAGAAGTAGACTAAATTCAGCAACTCTTGCGCCCACTGCACAACCTCTCTGCCTTTCACCACAGCAGCCCAGTTACAGCACCCTGCCTCAGCAGTACCTTTGTATCTTTTGTTGTCTGCTGTGAAAATTGTGACCCTTGGAGTCAGCACCTCTGGAAATCTGCTAGGCACCTGTCCATATGCAAACCATGAGATGCAAGGGAGTGAACACCCTATTGGAAACACTTTTCCAATGGAGGGATGGAAGGTGGTAGGTAAATGTCCCCTCTTTCTTCCCTCTGGAAGACAATCCTGAAGTACATTCCATGTGGCTCATCAGTGAGTTCCAGTAGGATTATGCCTGATTGACCACAGCAGTGATCAGCTCAGAACACATGCTTGTATTGGCTTGTTCTCATTCCATTTCACTCATCAGTTACCCACTCCTATTCTCTGGTAGAACTTCCCAAAATAAACTTTTTGCTTGCAAGTCCTTATACGAGGCTCTACTTTTTGGAGGGAACCCAGGCTAAGAAAGAGCAGATACAAAAATCTACAGTTTTGACACTGGTCTAAAAGAAGTAATGTTATTTTTAATTGCCACTCTAGATTTTGGTCAAACTAATGGGTCATTCAGCCCTGGATTCCAGGTTACCTTTCTAGACTTTCATTTAAAAAAATTATTGAGCTTTGTGCAGGCTCTGTACTACATGTGAGGGATACAATGATAAATAATACAGCTCTTGATTTCAAGAAGCTAACAATGTTCTAGAAGGGTAGAAAAAGAAGTAGGCAATCTCACCTCTATGTAGTAAGTACTACCAAAGGGGTGTACAAAAGGCTATGGTACACAGTGGGGGGCTACCTAAATTCTCAGGTGGAGTGAGAATGGCAAGGGATAGAACCTACATATAACCCACTACTGTGTGAATACCAGAAAACGGAGATTAGGGTTCATCTTAGGGTCTACTTGTTGCACTACATTTATGGCCACCTTAGTAATATACTTTCTGACAGACTGGACAATCCTAATCACTTCAGTTTGCTCTTTGTATCCCTATTCCTTTTATCTTCTTCAGCTTTCTTTTCTCAGAACACACCTAACTTCACCACTTCTCTGAACAGTGGGAAGAATATATAATTTGTATTTTAGGCAAGGATGCATTATAGTTTGGCAAAAAAATTTTTAAAGTTGTAGTTTTCTGTGTTTTGTTTCTTATACCCTTGTAGCTAATATTTGGAATTTGGTTGTCCCTGTTGGGTAAAGAGGCATAACAGAGTGTAGTCTTAAAGTTGCTTAACAGTGGTCACTTAACAGAAATACCATCTGAGAAAAGCATTGTTAGGCAATTTCATCATTGTGCGAACATCAGAGTGTACGTACACAAACCTAGATGGTTTAAGGCCTATTACACACCTAGGGTACACAGTATATAAGGCCATTTTTTTGCTCATAGGCTATGAATCTGTACAGTGTGTCACTGTATTGAATACTGTAGGCAACTATAATGCAATGGTATCTGTTCACTGAAACACATCTAAACATTATAAAGGTACTGTGAAAGTACGTTATTACATAACCTTATAGGACCACTGTTGTACATGTGGTCTGCTGTTTACTGAATCATCATTATGTGGTACATGACCATTTATCCACATAGAAACGTATCTTTCAAGTCTCTGTCCGTTTTAATAGTCTTGGCCATGCATGGTGGCTCACGCCTGTAGTCCCAGCACTTTGGGAGGCTTAGGTGGGGCAGATCTTTTGAGCCCAGGAGTCCAAGACCAGCTTGGGCAACACAGTGAGACCCTGTCTCTAAAAACAAATTTAAAAATTAGCCAGGCATGGTGGCATATGCCTGTAGTCCCAGCTACTTGGGAGGCTGAGGTGGGAGAATTGATTGAGCTTGGGAGGTCAAGGTTGCAGTGAGCTGTGATCATGCCACTGCAGCACTCCAGCCTGGGCAACAGAGCGAGACCTTGTCTCAAAAAGTCTTACAAGATTTTCCCGCAAGAGCTAAATGCCAGTCAGGCATTACTAATACTATATTTCCAATCTAAGTATCTTTTCATGCTCCCTTACAATACATTTTAGGTTATGTTCTGAGACAATCTCTGGATTATCTATCTGGAAGGGTACACAGGAACCTGTAACACTGGTTGCCTCTGTCAAGGGCAACTGAGTGGCTGGGGAACAAAGTGGAAGGGTGGGGGACTCTTTACAGAATACCATGTTGAATTCTGTTCCGTGTGAATGTATTACCTATTAAAAGTTAAATTAAAAAAAAGTACCACCAGGCTATGGAAGCTGCCAGAAGTTCTTTTCCTTAGTACTCTGTAAAAAATTAATCACTGACTACAAAACCAAGTGAATACTGGAAATGAGAAGGCTATCTACCTGGAGAACATTAATCCCTTCTAATGGGAAAGAGGCAATCACTGAGATTGATGCTGCATGTGTGTGAAAAGGTACACAATGTTTATATTCTTTATTCTTACAGCTTCTGACAAGTTGTGTGAGAGACAAAAGCAAACAAAGCTGGAAAAGCAGCTGAAAACTTCTAGGGAATAACTTTAGTAACTTAGTAGAGGAAGCTAAAGCATACACACAATTCATGAACGATTTCTCTTCAAGCCACGACACACACACACACAGATTAATTTTTTTTTTTTTTTTTTTTTTTTTTTGAGATGGAATCTCACTCTGTCACCCAGCCTGGAGTGCAGTGGCATGATCTCAGCTCACTGCAACCTCTGCCTCCCGGGTTCAAGCAATTCTCTGATCTCAGCTTCCTGAGTAGCTCGGATTACAGGCACGCACCACCACACCCAGAAAATTTTTGTATTTTTAGTAGAGACAGGGTTTCACCATGTTGGCCAGGCTGGTCCTGAAATCCCGACCTCAGGTGATCCGCCCACCTTGGCCTCCCAAAGTGCTGGGATTACAGGTGTGAGCCACTGTGCCCGGCTCAGGTTAATAATTCTTAAGGTACTCAATTGACTAGATTGATATTTCTTTAATGTTTACTTCATAAATTAGTGTTATCTAATACGGCATTTAAAATGTTTACATTTAAGCATGGGGGGTAATGAGAATAGCATAATGAAGGGAAAGCATTCATGGGGATGTCAGTTCTCTGCACAAAGACACCACATATAGCCCTCTACTGTAATGCAGGGGGAGCTAACTCTGGGACCTACAGGATGCCTGAAATCTCTGAAATAGAGCACATTCTTATATGCAGGCATCTTGCTGGAAGAGACAGAAAGGATATACCACTAGAGTGGGACTGACCAGAAACCCAATTCCAATTCTCTTTAGCTGTGTGATGTGTGAAATCTTTGCCTGTTTCCTTATCTGAAAAATGTGGATAATACCGTCTACCCTAGGGGGTTACTTTCAGGATTAAATAATATACATACAGCTCTTAGTCCATTGCTTACCTTATGGTAAATGTTAAATGAATGACAGCTATTTCTATAATCAAAGTTCCCTGATAAGCGTACGCACTGTACTGATGTATTCTACTACCAAAGCAAGCACAGGATTTGCGGGATGTGCAAGGGGGAAGGGAGGGAGCGTAGTCTGAAGAGAGCAGGGCAAGTCAAACACCTATAATGAGAACAGAAACAGTGACAACCCAAATGTATAATTTCCTGTCACAGGTTTATCAAAATGTTAAATAAAAACTATCCTCCTACTCAGCAGGTGAAAAATTCAGCGGTTCACACCTCTTTATCTGAAAACAAAAGCTAGTCATTTACACCTGTATTTTGTTTACTATCCTTAGACCATTACCCCACTAGTGATGAATAGTAAATTATTATAATGGAATTAAGAATATCATTGAAGGGAAAAACCAAAGCTTTTGGGGTACAGCCATGTAATTATGTTTTTCAGCCAGGCGTGGTGGCTCACGCCTCTAATCCCAGCACTTTGGGAAGCCGAGGTGGGTGGATCACTTGAGGTCAGGAGTTCGAGACCAGCCTGGCCAACATGGTGAAATCCCACCTCTATTAAAAACACAAAAAATTAGCCAGGCGTGGTGGCAGACGCCTCTAATTCCAGCTACTTGGGAAGCTGAGGTAGGAGAATCGCTTGAGCCCAGGAGGCGGAGGTTGCAGTGAGCTGAGATTGCACCACTGCACTCCAGTCTGGGCAACAAGGCTGAAACTCCATATATAAAAAAAAAGTTTTTCAGAAAACCTTCTGATATCTTCTGGTTGGTTACATATGATCATGTGCTCCCTTCAAAACAGTGCACCTCACAGATGATTTCTCCTCAGAGATCATATTCCCTCTTCCCCCTACCTGTGGAAGAGTAGCTGTGGAATCACAAGGACCAGGATTCAAATCTTGGCCTTAACACTTTCTAGCTGTAACATGGTAATGCAATGGTATTTGTTCATCTAAACACATCTAAACATTAAAAAAGTAGAGTGGAAGTACGTATTTTATAACCTTATAGGACCACCATTGTACATGTGGTCTGCTGTTGACTGAAACATCATTATGTGGTACATGACTATTTATCCATATAGAAGCCTATCTTTCAAGTTTCTGTCCCTTTTAATAGTCTTGGCCACGCATAGTGGCTCAGGCATGTAATCCCAGCACTTAGGTGAATTTTTGGTACCCCATTTGGCTGTAAATGGAGGAAAAACCTACCACAGAGGACAACGTGAGTAAAGTGCTTGACACAGTGCCTGAAAAAGAACAGGTGCCCCACAAATTCTCCTGAACAAATGAATACACAGAGCATAAAACTTTTAAAAAGAATTAGTAATTTTGATATAAAATTTACAGATTTCATCTACTTACAGCAGAATGTATGTACTTTTAAGACCCTCACTATTTCTAGAACATTTCTTACGGTCTTCACATGCTACATCCAAAGAGAGCTTTTAGAAAATACAAATGTAATCAGGCCACAAGATTTATGATAGTGAGGATAAAGCCAATTGTCTCAGTTTAGTATACTGAATTCTTTATCTTATAGCCGTGTTTGCCTCTGTTGCCTCATTTCTTGCCATACCTCTCTTTGCAACCCCAGCATCTCCAGCCAAAAAGGCCTAGCTGTCATTTATCTCTAGGCCAGTTCCTGCTGCCTGATATGCTCGCTTTTACCTCCAATCTTTGCTTAACTCCTACTCCAGGTCTCATTGTCTGGGAAGTTTCTGATATGTCCTCCTGCCCTCCCCTTCCATATTGGGGTCTGGGGCTTCTCGTCCTCCTAGGTACTCCCCCAGCACCCAGTGTTCTATTAGGGCACTCACACTCTAACTGCCTATTGGTACTTAACACTGGACTATCCTTTTCTTCTTTTTTTCGTTGAGACAGAGTCTCGCTCTGTTGCCCAGGCTGGAGTGCAGTGGCGTGATCCCAGCTCACTGCAACCTCCGACTCCCGGGTTCAAGCGATTCTCCTGCCTCAGCCTCCCGAGCAGCTGGGATTACAGGTGCCCATGACCACGTCCAGCTAATTTTTGTATTTTTAGTAGAGACAAGGTTTCACCATGTTGGCCAGACTGATGGACTATCATTTTCATTACTTTAATCTCAGGTTCTGGCACACAGTAAGAGCTCAATAAGTGTTTGTTAAATGAGTATAGGAATCATGGTGCTAATTCTATACCAAGGGGCTTATTTGAGTTGATAGGCTATATCTTTTTTAGCTCCAATAATGTCCCATTGTTACCTTTATTTGCTTGAAAACTAGGACAGCAGCTGTTCTCTCAGGTTTATAGACCTAATGTGATGATCAGATCTATAATACTGTATCCATCTACTTTTATTTAATCTACTGCCTCTAAAAATTTGACATCAAAATGTAGTTTAGAAGTGGTGTTCACACCACAGAAAACTTTAGCTTCTTACTATTTTACTGTTCATACTTATAAACAAAAAACTATCAATCTAGGGTTTAAGATGAGGCACAAAAATAACAACTAATCATGCAGTTTAGCTTAGAAAAACTTCTGACTGCTCATAATTAGATACAAGCTCAGATGTCAAAAGATTTAGAAAAACAAGGTAATGCCCATGTACTTTCCAGAGAAAATTTACTGAATCGGTTTCAAAATTCAGCACTGTTCTTTAATGTAAACAATGTAAACGTCAATTAGAAAGGAACACTGACAACGAAAACCTAATATAAAAACCAAACAAACCACTTCAGAAAAGGCTATTATGGTTGAAGATGAATATCGCTAGAAACAAAGACATTTAAGTGTGCAAATATATTTTCAGTTTTTTGGCACTACTTTCAGATGTATGTATATTTCACCCTTAAATTTCATGACATGTATAACATTTATCAGAAGTTTTATAAACATAAACATGCCAATACCTAAGTATGAGATACATAAAAATGTTTTAGTGCAAAGAATCGTAACAGAGCTCAAAGTCTTTTAATATATCAAGTAATCCCCTTGTGGAGACATATTTAGTAAGGCCAGCCCATGTTAATTTACAATAGAGACCAAATATATGAAAAAATGGTTGAAGCCAGGCAATTTCTGGACAGTTTATATTCACCGAGTGTTTTAGCAGTCCCATCATATATATACTCTGAACTAAGATTCGGTCCTTTGAAGGTATTATTTATAAAAAGGCACCTTTTTTTTTTTTTTTGAAACAGATCTTACTCTGTCATCCAGGCTGAATCACAACTCACTGTAGCCTTGACCTCGGTGGACTCAAGCAATCCTCCCATCTCAGCCTTCTGAGTGGCTGGGACTATAGGCACCCACCACCACGCCCAGCTAATTTTTGTTTTGTTCTGTTTTTGAGACAGGGTCTTACTCTGTCAGCCAGGCTGGAGTGCAGTGGCACAACCTTGGCTCACTGCAATCTGCGCTTCTTGGGCTCTTGATCCTCCCACTTCAGCCTCCCAAAGAGCTGGGACCACAGGTGTGCACCACTATGCCTGGCTCTTTTTTTTTTTTTTTTGTAGAGATGGAGTTTCACCATGTTATCCATGCTGATCTCAAACTCCTGGACTCAAGCGATCTGCCTGCCTTGGCCTCCCAAAATGCTAGGATTACAGGCATGAGCCGCTGTGCCCTAATTTTTGTATTTTTTTTTGTAGAGGCAGAGTTTCACCGTGTTGCCTAGGCAGGTCTCAAACTCCTGGACTCAAGCCATCCACCCGCCTCAGCCTCCCAAACTGCTGGGATTACAGGCATGAGCCGCCTCACCTAGCCCAAAAGGTACTTTTTGTTGACAGTAGTTATCACAGAGGAGTGAGACTTTATAGTTCTTAAACACTTTTAGTATTATCTGTGTTATCTGACCACCCAACCTATTACTTGTATTTTTAGACAGTAACTTAAAAAACATCAGTTATTCAAAAGTAAACTCTATATATACTGACATAAACATTTTCCCAAGGTTTATTAAGTATGAAAAAAAGTTATATAGTGTGATGTTATTTATAACAGAATAAGATAGCACGTTAAATACACACACAGATATGCACATATAAAGATTTGTAAGGAAAACCATCAAACTGGCCACAGTATATCACTAATAAGGATTTGGGAAAAGCATTGGTAGTAGACAAAAATACACTTTCTGATATGTTTCTGTATCATTTCTTTTCTCCCCCAGCAATGAGCATGAATTGTTTTTGAAATGAATTAATTCAGAGGTAAAGTTTTACCAGAGAGTTATTATAGGAGATGGTTTATTTATGAATATTATCAATCGTATTATCTAAAGTCTGCTGAAGTGCAAAGTATACATGAAGCTTGATCACTGAGTGTAGAGTAGGTGCTCAATACATTCTTGTTTTGAAGTTCATCTTTTGATCTGTTGAAATAGCCTTGGAGAGGTAGCAACTTAGGATTTGTTACCTCATTTCTATTACAGGAAGCATGACAGCAGTTACCACATAGGTTACTATAAAGATTAAGTGAGGTATTCCATAAAAAGATCTTAGTGCAGTGTTTTCACAGTAACAGCTAAGTAATATCATTATCAATCTATCTTAATTCTTGGAATAGTTTCTTTTCCACTTCTACAACTAAAAGTAAACAGAATTCTTACATCTTGTGATAGTCTTCCTCTGGATGTTTTAGGAGATAAGAGCAATGCTTTTTTCTTTTTTTTTTTTTTTGAGACAGTTTCGCTCTGTTGCCCAGGCTGGAGTGCAGTGGTGCGATTTCTCAGCTCACTACAACTTCTGCCTCCTGGGTTCAAGCGATTCTCCTGCCTCAGACTCCTGAGTAGCTGGGATTACAGGCATCCGCCACCACACCTGGCTAATTTTTGTATTTTTAGTAGAGATGGGGTTTCACAATGTTGGGCAGGCTGGTCTTGAACTCCTGACTGCGTGATCTGCCTGCCTTGGCCTCCCAAAGGGTTGGAATTACAGGCACGAGCCACCGCACCCGGCCTATGCTTGGTTTTAAGACAGAAACTTCAACTGTATCTCAACTCTGAGTTTGAAAAGCCAGGATATTTGTACAATGCAGAGGTTCTTCCTTCCTTCTGTCATTTTCCCTCTTTAGTCAGTAATGCCTCCTCCCCAGTCCTATCTTCCTTATACCAAATCACCTGTATCTTAGACTCCATTCATTTTGTATTCCTTGGTGATGGGAGGCATCACACCTGGCCTCAATTGATGTTAATTATTCTATTTTACTTTGAAAGTCATATATAAATGGTGGTATGTGCAAGGTGCAATGAAGAACACATATCTCAGTAATTCAAGACAAATGTGATGTCATAAGTTTACAAAGTCTGCTATTTTGCCTTCTCCCTCCATCTTTCGAATTTTATTATCAGAGAAAAGGTTTTGCTTGCTGAGAAAGCTTCTAACTAAACTTTGTATAATTTTTGCTGTTGCTGTTGTTTGTTTTGAGACATGGTCTGGCTCTGTCGCCCAGGTTGGAGTGCAGTGGCATGATCTCAGCTCACTGAAACCTCTGCCTCCTGGGCTCAAGCTATGCTCCCACCTCAGCCTCCTGAGGAGCTGAGACTACAAGTGTGTGCCACCCACTCGGCTAATTTCTTTCTATTCTTTTTAGAGACGTGGTTTTGCCATGTTGCCAGGCTTGTCTTGAACTTCTGAGCTCAAGCTATCCATCCGCCATGGCCTCCCAAAGTGTTGGGATTACAAGTGTGAGCCACCATCCCCAGCCAAATTCTGCATTATTTTAAATAAAAAGAAATTTAGACATTTAATGGATTCTACTACAAATTAACAGTGCATATTTTAGAGATATCACTTCTTGTTATAGCTACAAACTACCTGATACATATTTACATTTTAAAAGCCATATAACAAGCTATAACATTTATTTATATACAATGTTTTGTTTTGGTTTGGTTTTGAGACAGTCTCTCACTCTATCACCCAGGCTGGAGTGCAGTAGCAGGATCTCAGCTCACTGTAATCTCCGCCTCCCTGGTTCAAGCAATTTTCATGCCTCAGCCACCAGAGTAGCTGGGATTACAGGTGTGCGCCACCATGCCCGGCTGATTTTTGTATTTTTAGTAGAGATGGGGTTTCACTATGTTGGTCAGGCTGGTCTCGAACTCCTGGCCTTAAGTAATCTGCCTGCTTCGGCCTCTGAAAGTGCTGGGATTACAGGCATGAGCCATTGCACCAGGCCAATACAATGTCTTTTAAGTATATAAATAAGGGTGAATAAACATTCCACTTTCAATAGACAAAGAAATACTGGCAACTCCTTAAAATTTTCTTTTCCCTTAATAAATCAAACAGGACAAGTAAGAAATAAAAAGATACTTAACTTAGATTAAGAATTTCCAAGTTACTTTAACATTCTGAGTTATATAATTTACCATAAATTTAATTCTCATTACTATACCTTTTTATTATTAAATTTGAGATATATAATTAGTTCTTTGATCTAAATTATAAATTAGTGCAGAATGAAAGACTGCCTCTGGATTAAACTTTTTTTGGCCTTAAAAGATGAACAGCATTAAACTGGCTTTTGAGAATTTTCTAAATTCAATTGATATTCTATTTTAAATCAATGAACTGACAAGTAAACAGTGAGTTGATGAGACAGGTTTTCTGACATTAAACTGTGAATTAAATGGTAGAGAGTTATACCATTTAGACCCCATGTAAACTTACTTTTATAAATAATACTTCATATTTTGTTCCTATTCTGGGGTTAAGTGCTTTCATTTTGTTTGCAACTCCTTAGGGATAAAATTTATTACAACCTCTACTATCCCACTCCCCACTTTTTTTTTTTTTAAAGAAAAGGTTACTCAGCTTTCAAAGGTATTAAAAATAATTCAAAACATGTAACTGACAGTATACTAAGAATAAAGCAGTGTGCTAGGTTCTCAGGTTATTCAAAGATGACCAAGATTTTGATACACAACTTTGGGAGCATACAATACACTAGGTGACAGAGGAAATGAGACGGGTACCTAGGTAATTTCAAAACAAGTCAGAAGATATAAAACCCTAAGAACAATAAAAAGTGTTTTAGAAATTCTCAGGATGTAGAAAATACTTTTAACTTGGAATGGCTAAGCAAAACAAGGAAAGTAAGCATGTGAGTTCGGTCTTAAAGGTTAGGGTAGAATTTGGACATTTAATGATCAAAGGCAAAATACCCCCCAGACAAATGAAAAGTGAGAGCAGAGGGTCAGAGGTGAAGAGTTTGTAGTCTATGAAAAATGACTTAAGTTTTAAAACAAAAGATGCAATATTATATATATAAACTTTTTATGTTTTATATATAAACATATATATAAATATGAAACTGAGATTAACTCTTATGTTGCATGTTTGAAACCTGCATTTACTACTCTGATCTGTTGATAATGGTCTTTAGCTTGGCCCCATTCTTCTCTAGGAAGTACATTCAAATTTGCTGAAGAGGAGACAATTATAGACAGAAGTAAAATAAACTGTCAACTCAACAGAACTGAGACAGAGGGAAGAGTGTCAATATGTAGACAGTGGAGGTTGGGAAGAGGGTGAAATGGATGAGTGAGTGGGGACAGTAAGTCTTTGCTATTTTGCATTTGTTTCAAGCCACACACTCTTGGAAAGTGACCAAGTTGCTAAGGGAAAAAACGAGGTCATTGCTTTCAGTTGCTTCTGTTAGATTTTTAATTCAATAAAATATAATCACATCCATTACGACTAAAAATATGGGCAAATGCATTACAGAGTCCATTTTGGAACTAAAGTTATAAATAAATTTCATATTGTAAAGATTGAAAAATGCATTTGTGATCAAGATGAAAAAACAAAATCTGCAGTTTGAAGTCTACAGTAAATATGCATGTAGATGTTGGTGCTAATTCTGGGGTATTTTGCTCTGAGGTCAACAGTATTTATGACAAGGATGGTTAAAGTTCATGAGTTAACCTATAGTTCTCCTAAACAATGAACTTTTCCTCAAAAAATTACCAATGAATGGTATACTCTTACTGTTCTCACATTTTCAGAGCTGTTTACCCAGTATATATGCTAAGGTCATTATGAAAAGTCAAAGTGATCAAACATGTGCTCCTTCTTTGGAGACTCTTCCAATCTAGTCATCTCTTTTGGAGTTTTAAATACTAGTCTTTTAAATATAGGTACTGCTACCAATCAGGCTTCTTATGGTGCAATAGCAGAAAACAAGTCTAGTTGGCTTAAAGAGAAAAGGAATTTATCTCAAAGGACACTATTAATCTACAGTGTTGCTGGGAAAAGCTGGAGACCCAGCTCAGTAAACATGGACTAAGGAAGGCTGCAGGATGGGGACTCCACAACATGGAAGCCCAGTGAAGACCCTGAGTTGCCTGGGACCCTGGCCACTAAAGCTCCTACATTCTGTCCCTGGATAGTGAATGTCATCAATGGCACCACTGCCATGGCCTTCTCTCCTTTTCCACTAGATGTTGCTGCCCCACTCTGCTTCCAGAAAAAATTCTCTATAGTCCCTGCTTTTCTGTACCACTAACCCTGACTAGAGAAGGCTGCAGAAGAAAGTATATGACCTTTAAGGCTTTTCTACTGGGAGGTGGGCTCTGCCTCCTATGAAGACATACACAGTAAGGCTGGGAAGAAGGTCCTAATGCTGGGCAGCCAGAAAAGTCAAATGACTAACATAGGAATGCTACCTATTCAGGAAACAATGGCTGAAACAGTACAAAGCCCCTGTTCTCTGGCTAAGTGCTCTGAAGCAAAGTTTGAGTGAGCTACTCAGATCCCTGACCCTACAGCTTTAAACCTCCTAGCTGAGCCCACATTACCCTCAACCCAAGTCGGGGGTAATGATTTGTTGTTCAGCCACAAATCGGGCTCACAGCTGAGGCTCCTACAAGTTGATGTTTCAATCACTATAGTTTTCTGTTTTGTTCCTAAGAGTAGGCCACAGCCTCCCACCCTCATCCCTGGAAATTGGGTCCAGTATTTCTCCCTTCTCCTACCATGCCCAAATTCCTGAGCCTAGAGTCAGAAGAGCTGGTATGAGTTACAGCTTCGTGACTTCCAAACCTGGGAAAAGGCTAGTTAATAATCTCTGAGCCTCACCACATTCATCGGCTGACAGGATGACCAATGGAGATAAGTAACAGCCCTCTGTACATTCAAATTATAAGCATGAGCTCATTAGTTAACAGACTTCAAAGATATGATAAAGTCTCCAGTTCTTTAGGATTGTGGCCTTCTCTTGGTCTCTCTGGTTCTTATGGGCACTGATGTCATATCTTTACATTTAAAAAGTTAATTCTGGGCCAGGCATGGTGGCTCATGCCTGTAATACCAGCACTGAGGCGGGTGGATCACCTGAGGTCAGGAGTTTGAGACCAGCCTGGCCAACAGAGCAGATCCCCGTCTCTACTAAAAACACAAAAAATTAGCCGGGCATGGTGGCAGGCACCTGTAATCCCAGCTACTTGTGAGGCTGAGGCAGGAGAATCGCTTGAACCTGGGAGGCAGAGGTTGCAATGAGCCAAGATTGGGCCATTGCACTCTAGCCTGGGCGACAGAGCGAGACTCTGTCTCAAAAAAAAAAAAAGTTAACCTTGTAATCAAAGTAGTATATGCTCATCATTTAAAAAGTCTGGTAGTAACACAATGCTAACCCTAAACCCCCCCGCCCCCCCACCCCGTCCTACATCCCTTCCACTTTCAGTTCTGCTCCCCAGAGGTAACTACTCTCAATTCTTTAGCTCTTTCTTCTAGTATTTACCTCTCTATATTACTATTTTTATTAAATCAATATTTAGTGTTTATAATTAAATAGTGCTTACTGCTGAGCCATGCTGTGTACTAAAATTATTTATTCTTTCATATGTACTGTTAAATTTATCTTGGAAATATTCATTTCTTCTTTTTCCATTTGCTTCATTTTCTAAGAACTTATTGCTAATTCTTCATAAATGCACCACAAGAGCCATAAAATTGCTTTGTCATTTGCTATTTAATGTTCAAACATTGAAAGTAATTGATTTCTTCCGAGACACCTCTTTCCTTGGAGACTTTCACCCTCCCGGTCTGGGCTAGACTGAATGCCCACAAGACCTACTGTGTGGCTGATGCGTGGGATCTCCCTTTGCTTCCTTCCCGTGTTGGAGCCCATTTTCTAGATCCTTCACTTCTTTGTTCTTGGTTTGCTTCGTCATTTGGTGGAATACATTCCCAGCAGCTGCCTGAGTGGGGAAGCAGGGGAAATATCCCTACACAGGCAGTTTTTCGAGGTATGACTGAAAAATGCCTTTATTTAGCCTTACACTTGATTGACTGTTTGGCTAAATATAGGATTTTGTGTTTAAAATAATTTTCCATCAGCTTTTGGAAGACACTACTTCACTGTATTGTGGTATTCAGTTGTTGCTACTGAAAATCTCAATACCATCTGATTCCTATTTCTTTGCATGGAACCTAATTTTTCTCCTCCCTGCAACATTTTAAAATTGTCTCTTTTTCCCCAGTGTTCTGAAAAAGAAACTTTTTATATAGAAATTCCTTTAGTTTTGGAAATATTTCTTATATTACTCCTTAGATACTGTCTTCTCTTCACTTTTCTCTGGTATATATTTCTAAAGCCACTATTTGTTAGATGTTAGACCCTGGATGAATACTCTAGTTTTATTTGTCTCCACTCATCTCTTTATTATATTATTTACTTTCTAGATTTCCTCAACTGTACCTTTCAATGCTTCCATTATATCTTTCATTTCTGCTATCTTATTTCTAAAAGCTCCTGTTTTTACTTTAATAGCATCCTGCTTATGTCTCACTGATTCCATAAAAAGTTCTTTTATATAAGGATATTTTGATTCTACTGAAGTTTTCTTCTGCTCCCTTCATTGTCTGCTTCCTCCAGGACTTTGTTCTTTTTGCTCTGATCTCTGTCTCAATTTGGAAGCTTTCCTCAAATGTCCAGTTATCCTTGGATGGGTTTTCATATTTAAGATTGAGGCAGTAAGCAGCTGTTTGAAAGCTCTGCTGCACAGGCAGGCCTGATGACTGTAGTCTCCTCTGTAAAACAAATGGAAGGCAAGCTGGCTTTTTCATTTTATAACCCCTGAGTGTAATTTCACTGTGGAAACCCAAAACATCAGTATCTGTAAGTGTATATACTTTTGAGCTGTTCACCATTTCCAGGACTCCAGTTTCTTCTTGTATTTGCCTGGCTGGTATTACAGCAGGGGTTAAGGAAGTAGGTGATTTCACCATAGGGTTTCACATAATTATAGATTTCAACCCTGTGCCACATCCCTACCCTCCTCTGTTGCTATTTCCAGATTTGGAATCTCTCTAATTTCTTTAGAAAATTCAGAAAATTTTAGAAAATCTCAGGTCTCCTGTGTTTTGTTGTGGGGGCAGTAGCAGAGAGGCGAATTGAGGGGGCGGGGACAAGGGCATGTCACCTTGTTGCAAGTGATAGTAATGCAAGAACAGACAAATGGACCACTGGGACAAAATGGAGACTGAGTACTGATGCATGAATACAATCCATGCATACATAGCAGCTTTAAGAGTGGCACAAATCAGGAATAGGGAATTAGTAGGGAATACTTGGCTCACTATATGCAGAAGAACAAAACCACATCCTTTTCTAATACCATACATAAAGATGAATTCCAGGGTTGGGGAAAGGGTCTGATCCCTCAGTATTCAGACTTAAAATCAACTCTGTCTTTTTAGTTCTATGCTATGCATATCCCTTCTTTCCAGAGTACTTAGTTCCACCTGGCCTGAGCCACGCCAGAGCTCTAACAGGTGAACTGCCTCACTTCTCCTCAGTAGCCCCCTTTACAGCATCTAATTACAGGCTGCTCCTCTGTTAAGCCAGTAATCAAGTCTCTATCTGCTTTCCATTTTCCAAAAATTTCAACATCTTCCCCATTGTTGTTTTCTCCTTAGGTATCTTTGTCTCTTTGTCCTTGAGAGCTTATATTTGTTTTATTCCTTCACTATGATAATAGGGCTTTGAAGGAAATAAAATTAAACATATTCATTTTGTTATGTTTAAATGAAAATCAAGTGAAGTTAAATCTGGTCCTAAATGCCAGGCCTGTAAGTTGAGGCCGTTATCTACTTGTGATTGCCTACTGCCTGCTCCTCCCTACTGATATAAAACACATTCTCTGTGTAGGCCAAGAATCTCAACTCTCTGGGCTTTTTTTTTTTTTTTTTTTTTGGAGACAGAGTCTCACTCAGTTGCCCAGGCTTGGAGTGCAGTGCTGTGATCTCGACTTACTGCAACCTCTGCCTCCTAGGTTTAAGCAATTATTGTGCCTCAGCCTCCCTAGTAGCTGGGATTACAGGTATGCACCACCACGCCCAACTAATTTTTGTAGTTAGAGACGGGGGTTTCACCATGTTGGCCAGGCTGGTCTCGAACTCCTGACTTCAGGTGATCCGCCTGCCTTGGCCTCCCAAAGTGCTGGGATTAAAGGTGTTTGAGCCACCGCACCTGGCACCAAGAATCCTTTTACCCACTTGCCAAACCACTCTAGCTGTCTGCCAATACTGCCTTTTAATTTTTTTTTTTTTTTGAGACGCAGTCTCACTCCGTCGCCCAGGTTGGAGTGCAGTGGTGCGATCTCAGCTCACTGCAAGCTTCGCCTCCTGGGTTCACGCCATTCTCCTGCCTCAGCCTCCTGAGCAGCTGGGACTACAGGCACCTGCCACCATGCCCAGCTAATTTATTGTATTTTTAGTAGAGACGGGGTTTCACCCTGTTAGCCAGGATGGTCTCGATCTCCTGACCTCGTGATCTGCCTGCCCCGGCCTCCCAAAGTGCTGGGGTTACAGGCGTGACCCACTGCACTTGGCCTTTTTTTTTTTTTTTTTTTTTTTTAAGACAAAGTCTCACTCTATCACCCGGGCTGGAGTGGAGTGGTGCAATCTTGGCTCACTGCCACCTCCCGCTCCTGGGTTCAAGTAATTCTCATGCCTCAGCCTCCTGGGTAGCTGGGATTACAGGTGTGTGCCACCACACCCAGCTAAATTTTTTTGTATTTTTATTTTTTTGAGATGGAGACTCACTCTGTCGCCCAGGCTGGTGTGCAGTGGTGCGATCTCAGCTCACTGCAACCTCCATCTCCCGGGTTCAAACGATTCTCCTGCCTCAGCCTACCTGGGACTAGAAGCGTGTACCATGATGCCTGGCTAATTTTTGTATTTTTTGGTAGAGATGGGGTTTCACCATGTTGGTCAAGCTGGTCTTAAACTCCTGGCCTCAAGTGATCCATCCACCTCGGCCTCCCAAAGTGCTGGGATTACAAGTGTGGGCCACTGTGCTAGGCCTAGTTTTTTTTTTTTTTTTTTTTTTTTTGGTAGAGACGAGGTCTCACTATATTGCCCAAGCTGATCTTGAACTCCTGGGCTCAAGTGATCCTCCTGCCTCAGCCTCTCAAAGTGCTGGGATTACAGGTGTGAGCCACCACACCTGGCCTAGTAAAATTATTTTTTAAACTTAAAGTTATTTTTAGAAAAAAACTATATGGTAGTGAGAGACATATGTTGTGGTGATTATTATAGTTTAGCAGCTAACATTTACTGAATGTTTACTATGTAACAGGTGCTACTCAGATCATTTAACATATATTATTTCCTTTAATCATCATAGCTTATAGGGTTTACTATCTTTATTTTACAAATGAGAAAAGAGGGGCTTAGGCTATGTGACTTGGTTAAGGTCAAACTAAGACACGGTAGAGAACTGAAACCCAGTCTGTCTGGTTTTAGAACCTGAACTCTTGAGCTTTATGGTATAAAATCCTACCTCAAGCGAGCTAATATTCTTCTTCCTATGGAAATGAGATAAAAATTATGTTAAAGTTATAGTCTTTTATAAACCTTAATATGAATATTTCATGGGTATGGGGGAAAGATATGCCCCACATGGGTTACAAAAAACAAAACAAAAATAACTCAAACTCTATTTTGAGTAACAAAGGGAAAAAGAAGAGCATATATATCCACATTTAAGGGAATATTTGTACACAAGATTTTTTTTTGCTTGTTTTAAGTAACCAGATTAGACAATGCAAAAAGTATTATTTTATATCTTTAAATACACTGAATAAAATACAACTTTTAGCTAAACACTAAAAAAAAAAAAAGAGAAATTAACTCAAGATAAACTCTAGATAAATAATCAAGTATTACCAAAGATCTTAGAGCTGGCTGACAATTTTACTTTGCATCTAAAACTTAAAAAAACCTGCAAGGTGCGGTGGCTCATGCCTGTAATCCCAGCACCTTGGGAGGCCGAGGCAGGTGGATCACCTGAGGTTAGGAGTTTGAGACCAGCCTGGCCAACATGGTAAAACCCTGTCTCTACTAAAAATACAGAAATTAGCTGGGCATGGTGGCAGGAGCCTGTAATCCCAGCTACTCAAGAGGCTGAGGCAGGAGAATCACTTGAATCCAGGAGGCGGAGGTTGCAGTGAGCCGAAATTGCGCCATTGCACTCCAGCCTGGGTGACAAGATCAAGACTCCGTTTTTAAAAACAAACAAAAAAACATATATTAAAGAATGCTTTCTCATACAAAGTCTATATAATTTGGTTTCTTATTAAAAGGCATCAAAAATAAAAATATTTTGAGAAAATATAGTTTTTTTTTTGGTAATGTTGCAAACTTCAAATTTTTCTGTAGAAGCATTTTCTGACAAATTTGGTTTTACAGAAAAAAATAGTAGCTTAAACTGCTACTCTATTTTTGATAACATATTTTTCCTACAGTTTGACATCTAAATAGTCTATTATTGATACAATAATTCTTATTCTAAACTAATAAACTGTTTTAATGACATTTTGGTTGTTGTAATAAAATAAAACATCTATTATAAAAGGATTATGGTAAAGTAAGGTTTTAAAAGATTCTTTATGTAAAAGAAATCTCAACATTTTCCCACTCATGTTTATCAACGCCTTCTTCTGTGTAAGTTCCCATTTTATTACTGAGATTTTTAAAAAATACAGCTGAGTTCTCACTATGCTGCCCAGAGTACAGTGCAGTAGCTATTCACAGGTATGATCACAGCTCACTGCAGCCCTGAACTCCTGACCTCAAGCGGTCTTCCTGCCTCAGCCTCCCAAGTAGATAGAACTACAACCACACACCACTGAGACTGGCTTAATGTTGTTATTTAACTGGGGCTATTTTTCAATTTCTCAAAGCCCTATTGATAGGCTGACTTAACCATATAATACATATTATTTTCAAGTTCAGTACTTAGCTTTCCTTATTTAAATTCATGTCTCTTACCCAAACCATTAATATTTTCTTCTAACTGGCAACTTCTAATGTTCTTTTAGCTAATATGCATTAGCTAAATTTCTCAAGTAGTCTCATGTCACATAGCTTATTTTCTTTTAATATATGGTCACAGAAAGCTAAGAATGCACTCTGTCAAAACAGCAAACTGTCTTTGCTCTCCTACAAAAGGTCTCTTTCCAGCTCTGAAATGTTAAGATTCTAACATTTACCAACAGATGTATACTTCTTTTAATGTAACTTTCATGAATTTGTTTGCCTATAACACAAAAAACGTGCCGTCCTAATTTTAAAAAAATTTTAGTTTAAATTAAATGAAGAAGGCACATGAGTCTAGCGCTAACTGTGTTTTACACGCTGTAGGCTGTGGCTTGATGTACAAGTTGAATCTAAAAATAAGATAAGGAATATTTTAAAATTTAAATCAGAAACCCTGCCCAATTCTGATTCAACTAAATTCGTATCTAAATGTGACTATCTTCATTTTTGTAATGAATTTTTATTCTTATCCAAACATTTAAACATCAACAAGGTACTGAACATAAATATGAGACTCAAAATGTGGGAAACTGGGCTCTTTCAAAGCTTGGGTGGAGAGGGTGTAGGTTGGTAATTATATATTCCCATACCTATCGTCTTACATTAGGGAAGAAAGAACCTCAAGTCTCATTTAATGCTCTGAAGTCATTAGTACTGAATACTTGGTTTTACTAGTAAATAAAGAACCACATTAATACTGACCCTCAATCTGTCTCAGATGTCATAACTGAAGGTTCAAAAAAACTGACCCTGTAACATCCCAAACACTGAAATCATAGAATATACTGGTTGTGTTTTCAATTTGGAAGATCAATACATAATTCTATAAATCAGAATTAAAAACCAGAACTTCATACCTTGTGCAAGCATGTTAAATTCCAAGAACAGTGCTATGTGGTAAAGTTCCATGGCTTCTTCTGCCCTGGTCATGTTTGGCTTCCCTGCGACGAGAGCCTGAACTTCACTGAGACTCCCCACAGAGGGGCTACAGTGCAAAACAGAGAGGTCCACCACGTCGGTATACATACAGTGTAATATCACTGTTGCATATTTTTTTGGTATAATGGACTCATCTAATATAATTCTTGTGGGAGTCCTCAAAGTTCGGTCTGTGATTTCTTCACCAGTTCGTATCCTCCTTTGTAATAAATTTCGAAAAAATGGGGACCGTGCAGAAATAACAGCCTTGTGGGCTTTGAGCTCTTCATCTAAACAGTTCTGATTTCCACCAAAAGCTTCAACCAGTTCAGAGTCTGAAGAAAAACTAAGGACGACATCATAATAACACATGTAATCAAAGAGTCCACGCATATCTACATCAAGGGAATTTGGTGTTCCAAATTCTTCACTAAGCTGAACAAGGATATCGACATTTTGAAACCTTGAGTCCTCCATTCCAAACTCTCCTGTATAAAGGTAGTGTAACAAAGCAGAAAACATGGGCATATCAATACCAGCTGTATTGATGTCCATTATTATCTCTGCCCCATACTCTGGTGAGGAAGAAAGCAGTGTTTTAAAAAATGGACACCTTGCTGCCAAAATGGCACGATGAACAGGAAAACAAGTTTCTTGAAATATTAAGTCTACATCAGTACAATACTTGTACTCATAAAGATCAGCCATATCTTTCTGCAATGTCCGGGCTTCTGGTCTAGCCAAACTGGCTTGTAGAGAAAGCTCCTTTAATGCTGATGTTCCCTCATATTCCTCCACTAATGCATTGACATCTCTAACATCCCACCCAGAGAGGAGTTCTCGCATCTGCTTGGCATGATCGGCAGACCTATTAGATTTCCGACGCTTAATAAACTTCTTTTTGAGGGTGGCAAGACCAGAGGTTCTCTTTTTTTTGTCTTGTGGTTTCTCATGGCCATGGTCAAGGCTATACAACTTTGATTCGCAACCATAGCCTTGCTGAGAATAGGATGAGGTCCCTAAGAAAAAAATTAAACAAATGAAAATTTATTTTTTCTTAACATTCATTTTCAACGTTTAACATTTTTCATGTTGAAAAATTCTGTAAGCAGACATTACCGAACCACTCAAAATTGCATTTGTTTTTTATAAAGGAAGACAAAAAGTTCAATTAACTCATTTTAGTTTTCAATTCAATTTAATTTTTAGAGATGGAGTCTCACTGTGTTGCTCAAGCTGGAGTGCAGTGGGAAGATCATAGCTCACTGCAGCCTCAAACTCCTGGGCTCAAGGGATTCTCCCCAACCTCAGCTTCCCAAGTAGCTGGGAGTATAGGCATGTGCCACCATGCCTGGCTAATTAAAAAAATTTTTTTTTCTTTTTTTGGTAGAGATAGGGTCTCACTAATGTTGCTCAGGCTGGTCTTGAACTCCTGTCCTGGCCTCATGCAATCTTCCTGCCTTGGCCTCCTAAAGTGCTGGGATTACAGGTGTGAGCCATTGTGACTGGCCTACATTTTTTATATTAAATAAGAAATAGGGACAAACAGAGCAAATTAGTCTAAATTTTTTTAGAAAAAGTCTTTCGTTCCCTGGCTATCAAAGGACATTTGTCATAGATCTTAATCATGGGTTTTTAGGAATGAAAAATAGGCAGAGTTGTAAATTAAGAACATTACTTGTATATAATTGTGAAATGTTTCTTTTTCTTCTTAATTACACAAGTCTGCATTTGTATGGGCAAAATAAATGAAATGGGACACAGGAAATATGTACTTCGCTGTTTTAACACCAATGGAGACTGCTAGTTTGCCTAAGGTAATTGGCAATTATGGTTAAAACATAGAAAAGCTCAATTGTGCTACAAGTGGTTTAAGATAAAAACCATACAAACCAGACTTAAGATTTACGTTTGTTGGGGGAAAAAACCTAGATGCTGCAGAATTATTATAATAACTACAGCTCACTTCTTTTGTCATCTACAGAGACTACCGAAAACACAATTCTATTATAGTCACAAAAGAAAATGAAGTTAGAAAAACTGAAAGTTACCTATAAAAGTCTGTTGGGCCTGTGAATTTCCCCCTACCCTCGGGGAACATGAATGAGGATAATTAGATGCATTAGCACCCATTTTCTTCAGTCACTCAGGCATTCCGTCTGCGGGTTCTTCAGAGTATAATCCCAGAGGCCTTTATGAACCTTCAACCCTGGATCCAGCAGCCTCTTTTCATCCATTTCTTGATATGAAATAAAAATAATTTAATTCATTTTTTCAAGTGTATCTCAGATCACAGTTTTTTTTAAAAAGCTACTGAAAACTGCTTTCATTCACAAATAACAACACGCTGTCAAATTCACATGTCAAATTTTCATAAAATGTAAATCTTTAAGCTTGAATTATCTGTGTTAGCTGCAATTTGAGCCATAAAATGTACCAATTATATACTTTCTAAGTCAGTAAAAAGTAACATATCAAACCAATTTAAATATATAGTTACAGGAAGAGTATTTGAAAACACAGGGAAAAGTACTTGGACTGAAAATAAATGTTTTAATTTTTGTTTTAAATCCTTAGAGGCAATCACCATTCATTATTATCTAACATTGTAAGCAATTTACAAACATTTAAGAGGTCAACACTGGTACCGCACATACAAATAACACATAATTGATTAGTTGTTTTTCTGCCTTAAAATAAAGTTGCTAAAAATCAATCTTTAATCTGTATAATTAGGCATTTTACTAAAAGAGGGAGGAGGAAAGGTGGACAATTAAAGCTAAATATATATAAGCTACTTGTTCTATGGTAATTTTGAAAGAAGTTATTATACACATTGCAAGAGACACAAAACAAAAAATTTTATCTATCCACCCCATAAAGCCCTGAAAAAAAATCCTGCTTTCTATTATGTGATATGATGATTTAAATGGACAGGCCAGTAGCAATAAAAGGTAATTCTAACAATTACAGATTAAATTCTGAACATGGAAACTTAACTCTCAGAGCTGCTAGCAAGAGATTTATGCAAAAAAGAAAATCTAAGAGAGAACAAGATTAATGGAAATACTTCTAAATCTTTACACCATCTGGATATATAAAATCTATCTGACTAAATGGGGTAACGAGTTTAAGAAGAGAAAACGCCATTTAAAATCTATTATTGGAATTGTTAAGAAACCAGTAGGCAGTTAACCTAGCCTCACAATGAAGTGTTTTAACAAATATAGTGAAAAACACGTACACAAATTATCACAAAAATCTGCTAGAAACAGAACTGTGTCAAGATGCTTGGAATTTATTTTCATCTCTGTTAGTGACACAGCATAACCTTATGAATTCATGTTTAAAAATATCGTTAACATTTGTGTTTTCCTACAATCTTTTATAGACTATATTTATATGAAAATTAATTATTTATTTAGACGGAGTCTCGCTCTGGCGCCCAGGCTGGAGTGCAGTGGCGCAATCTCGGCTCACTTTAACCTCTGTCTCCCGGGTTCAAACAATTCTCCTGCCTCAGCCTCCTGAGTAGCTGGGACTACAGGTGAGCGCCATCATGCCTGGCTAATATTTGTATTTTTAGTAGAGATGGGGTTTCACCATGTTGGCCAGGCTGGTCTTGAACTCCTGGCCAAGACCAGGAGTCTTGCAAAACAGGAAAACAGGAACTAAAATTACCTCTATTAATTCCACTTCAAACTTAAAAACCAGTTAAGTCTAACAAATCTTACTTTTAAAGCTGAGCTCCACAGAATCTTCAAGATCTTATCAGGCTTTTATAGTGGTTCTTTCAAAGAAAATAAGGGCCTGGAGGCCAAGTTTGTGGCCTCATTTATAGGTCAAATCCTAATCTCACTCAGGGTTTACATTTAAAACAAAAAACAGCACAAACAATCCTTTCTCAAAAGAGTTTAAAATATATAAACAAAAATCCAGAATAAAACTATCATGTAAAATAAAAAGCCTTTACCAAAATGAGGGGGGAAAAAGACTTTTAAGATGAGCTTGGAATCTGAGTGTAAGGGGAGATGGTGAAAATCATGCTGAAGTGTTTCTAAAGGTAAGACGGCATGGTGTCACTCCTATGGCTAGGCCTCTTTGCACTTTCAAGTTCGATTATTATTTCTTTTTTTTGTTTGTTTTGCTTTTTTATTTCTATTGACTGAGTAAATTTAGTAACATAGCAGAGTATGCTTATGGCATGAAACAAAGAAGAATAGAGCCTTGCCTCCGGATGAAGAAAAATCAGAAGCGTCTTCAGAAGCGGACAAGAATTTACTACTCTTACTTTAACACGTACATGCATGCACACACATATGGAATTATTTTCATCTGAGAATCTTGTATGGTTTGTAGAGACTCAAGATGCCACACGTTGAGCATCCCTAATCAGAAAATCCCAAATCTGAAATGCTCCAAAATCCAATACTTTTTGAGTGCTGACAGGATGCCACAAGTGGAAAATTCTGGAGCTGTCTTCTTTGCTTTTTGATGGTTCAATGTACATAAACTTTGTTTCATGCACTATATTAAAAATATTGTATAAAATTACCTTCAGGCTATGTGTATAAAGTGTGTATCAAACATAAATGAATTTTGTGTTTAGACTTGGGTACCCCACCAAGCTATCTCATTATGTAGACACAAATATTACAAAATTGGAAAAAATCCCAAACCTGAAACACTTCTGGTTCCAAGCATTTCAGATAAGGAATACTCAACGTGTATTACAATGGTTTAATACTTAAACCATGTCAAAAATCCCTTTTTTTAAAAAAAAGCTCTGGTAAGGGAAGAACACCAAGAAAAAAGAAAACAAAATTTAAAAAGCTCTATTTTACGATGAGCACAATTAGATATCCTAAAGCAATTATACAAGAGTTATATGACATCAATGGCCCCACTGGAGAAACAAGAACAAGTTGCAAACACTAGGGAAGTCAGAGGCTGAGCTAAGGATGTTTGGCCATTTGCTGCTACAATAAGCAGTAGTAGCTGCTGGGATAGCTGGGGTTTCACCTTAGAGAGGTGGCCAGAAATACAAGTGTCTTTGGGAGTTAGGGAAAATCTCTTCCTGGTAGCTCCTGGTTAATGGGAACTCCCTTCAGGATGAACTGATTTGGGGACATTCATATATCCTACTGGAGCTCTATATACTAAAATAAACACAGACCTTGGAAGGGAAGGGAGGTGGGGGAGGCAGATTTCCTGGATGAGATGTAACCCTTGAGTCTACCCTGTGTTCCCCAGTTCCAGAGCCTGATGGGTAACCCTGACTACAGTTCTAGTACTACAGCAATATTTCTTCTCAAAATCCTCACAATTAACTCAGGGATTAATGTCATTACTTCTCAGGTAACCAAAATCCTATGTCAGATGGTGCTCAGTATTATGTTATTTATTTCTGAATCTAAACCATCACTTGTAGATGTTGGAAATGAGAACTAGTCTCAGTTTAATCTCTCCAGCGATGTGTTCTCTCCAGGCAAGCCTGGTCTCTTTTCTACAGACATCCAATCTTTGTATGATGCAACGGAGAGAGGAGCAAGGAGAGGGGAGAGGAGAGGAGAAGGTCTACAGGACTTGGAGAGGCCCAGAATATGCAAAAGGCTGATGAATCCTTTTTCTAGAATCACCATTCTGGGGGACTCCCTCTTAATAGCATATGATCAATCCCAATCAGATGATGCTGACTGTCTTAAACTAAAATAAGCTCCAGTGATCACGGCAGACCTAACTGTGGGGTGGGGGCGGGGAATCATGTTGAATGCAAGAAAGACTAAACAACCCATGAGACATTTTTTAAAAAAGAGAAGTCAACTTTCTCCTCCCTAACCCACCCCCTTACCCCAGCCCCAAAAAGAAAGCCCTAGGCCAGCATTTTCCAAAGAGCTTTCCCAAAGTTTAGAAAATGTAGGATTAAACAAAGCCAAATAGGTTTCTTTACTTCAGGACATTTGAGCACCTTTAAAGTGCTGAGGTTCATTGTAAAGAGGGAGCATTCAGCATGATCTAAAGAAGCCCTGCTGCCCCCACGGGGCATGAAGGAATGAACTTGCATAACACACTCAGGAAAATGCTGATCTTTGCCATAAAAACACTTTTTATTGCTTCATGCAATAGAAAGAACTGTGGGAGTTAAGGTATCTAGGATTCGGTTATCTCTGTGTCACTAATTTACTATGTATGTAGGACACGTCACATGTAATCTCTATGGGCCTCAGTTCCTGTATCTGTAACATAAGAACGTCGAAACAGAGTTCCAAAAATTTAATGAAGTTGTACGGTTTATTAGTTTAGGAAATATGGATGGGGAAGGAAGTTCTTTCTTTGTTCTTTTTTTTTTTTTTTTTTGAGATGGACTCTCGCTCTGTCGCCCAGCCTGGAGTGCAGTGGCGTGATCTCAGCTCACTGCAATCTCTGCCTCCTGGGTTCAAGTGATTTTCCTGCCCCACCCTCCTGAGTAGCTAGGATTACAGGTGTGTGTCACCATGCCTGGCTAATTTTTGTATTTTTAGTAGGGACAGGGTTTCACTATGTTGGTCAGGCTGGTCTTGAACTCCTGATCTTGTGATTCGCCCACCTCAGCCTCCCAAAGTGCTGGGATTACAGGCATGAGCCACTGGGTGCCCGGCCCTTTTTTTGAGATATGGTCTTTCTATGCTGCCCAGCTAGACGTGCATGGCTCACTGCAACCTCCACCTCCCAGGCTCAACCAATCCTCCTACCCCAGCCTCTTGAGTACCTGGGACTACAGGCGTGTGCCATCATGCCCAGCTAATTTGTGTGTGTGTGTGTGTGTGTGTGTGTGTGTGTGTGTGTGTGTGTGTGTGTGTGTGTGTGTGTGTGTGTATATATATATATATTTTTTTTTTGTAGAGATAGGGTTTTGCCATGTTGCCCAAACTGGTCTCAAACTCCTGAGCTCAAGTGATCTATCTATCTTGGCTTCCCAAAGTGCTGGGATTACAGGTGTGACCACGGTGCCCAGCTGGAAGGTATTTCCATACTAAATGTTAATCTACAGAGGGGAAAAAAAGAGGCACCTGAATTTCGCATTTTAAACATATTTCCCTTTCAGTCTGACTTTAGGAACAGGATAGGAATGTGGGGCAAATGTGAATATAAATAACAATTAACGGCCTGGCTCAGTGGCTCATGCCTATATTACGTCTATAATCCCAGTGCTTTGGGAGACTGAGGCAGGAGGACTGCTTGAGGCCAGGAGTTAGAGACCAACCTGGGCAACATTGTGAGACTCTGTCTTTCCAAATTTTTTTTTTTTTTGAGACAGAATTTCATTCTTGTTGCCCAGACTGGAGTGCAGTAGTGCGATCTCAGCTCACTGCAACCTCCACCTCCTGGGTTCAAGCGATTCTCCTGCCTCAGCCTCCTGAGTAGCTGGGATTACAGGCATGCATCACCATGCCAGGCTAATTTTCTATTTTTAGTAAAGACAGGGTTTCACCACGTTGGTCAGGCTGGTCTTGAACTCCTGACCACAGGTGATCCGTCTGCCTTGGCCTCCCAAATGCTGGGATTACAGGCGTGAGCCACCGTGCCCAGCCAAAAAATATTTTTACATATATATATATATACACACACACATATACATAAAATTAGCCAGGTGTAGTGGTACGTGCCTATGGTCCTAGCTACTTGGGAGGCTGAGGCAGGAAGATTGCTTGTGCCAGGAGTTCGAGGCTGCAGTGAGCTATGATCACACCACTGCCCTCTAGCCTGGGCAAAAGAGTGAGACTTTCTCAAAAACAAAAACAAAAAACCTAAAGAAAAACCATAATGAAAGAGAAATGTAAAACTATACTAATACTTCACTCCTGTCAAATCTAAGGTAACAACATTGTTATAACAGACCATAGGCATTTGGACTCCCCATGTAATGAAAATTAACAAAGGGACAGACAGATTTCCCAGACAAAGCTTTTATTCTGGGGCTTGTCCTACTGTGCTAGAGCGCAAGGGAGACAGACAGCAGAGCCTGGTTCCCTGAAAAGAGCCAGTAAAGATTTATTAGGCAAAGCGCAGGAATTGACATCAGGGATAAGGTATGCAGGCTGGGCTGGGCAAAGCATGTGAGGGGTAGAGTATGCAGGTTAGCAAGGCTGGTTGTGATGGTTATCTTGAGTACGAGTTAACTGGTGGTCTGTCTGGCTGGCAAAAACAAGGCTGGAAATCAGTTGTTCAGCATTCCTTCCAGAGGTGAGACACTCAACAACCTTGGTTCGATTTTGGATCTCCTAAGGCCAGTTTCTGGAGTTCTTTAAGCACAAGGCATGGTTAAACAGTATGAGAGCACAGAAGAATGGCTATTTTCTTTGTATGACTAAAGCCTTGGGATTAGTGGGTATAGTGCCAGTGAGGCAGTGGTGTGGGTTTTGTGATTAGTGGGAATGTACGAAAAAATGCTAGTGGGGGTGAGCTGAAGCCAAGCCCCATTTTAATATGATGTATTATTCAAACCAAGAAGCTTGAGAGTGAAAAGGGGTACATATCAGAGGGGACGACAGAACACGTGTAGCCCAGGTCTGACCAGGCAAAGTGGGATGAATGGTCATATCTCTAGCTAAATCTCACATTTCCAGAGTAGCTTAGAAATAAAACAAAGTTTTAAAAGAAATAAAGGGCCGGGAGCGATGGCTCAAGCCTGTAATCCCAGCACTTTGGGAGGCCGAGGCGGGCGGATCACGAGGTCAGGAGTTCGAGACCAGCCTGACCAACATGGTGAAACCCTGTCTCTACTAAAAATACAAAAATTAGCCCGGCGTGGTGGCATGTGACTGTAGTCCCAGCTACTCAGGAGGCTGAGACAGAAGAATCGCTTGAACCCAGGAGGACGAGATTGCAGTAAGCCGAGATCACATCACTGTACTCCGCCCTGGGTGACAGAGTGAGACTGTCTCAAAAACAAAACAAAAAACCACTTAGCCAGGCAAAGTGGTGTGTGCCTGTAGTCCCAGCTATTCAGGAGGCTGAGGCAAGAGGATCGTTTGAGGCCTAGAGATTGAGGTTGCAGTGAGCTATGAGCATGCCAGTGCACTGCAGCCTGGGTGACAGAGCAAGATCCTATCTCAAAAAAAGAGGTAAGTCTCAAATGCCAAAGGTATTGGGTCTTTGTTCGGAACACAATAGAGGAACTACTGGAACAAAGCACAGAGTAGTAAGAGCAAAGCAGCACCATTATACTTCTGTTACAGAAAGACTACTGGAAGATGCTTGATCTATAAAAAGATCTTGATGCAGAAAGACTTATTAGAGGATTCTTCCAACAGTCCAGGAAAGTAAGTGTTAATAAGGTCCTGGCTTTATTTCTAAAATGGGGGCAATATAATAACACCTACTTTACAAGGTTGTTTTAAGAGTTAAAATAATATGGACTGCTGGTCAGGCATGGTGACACATGCCTGTAATCCTGGCACTTCAGGAGTCTGAGGCAGGCAGCTCGCTTGAGCTCAGGAGTTCGAGACCAGCCTGAACAACATAGCAAGACCCCATCTCAGAAAAAAAAAAGTTAAAAAAAAAAATAAAAAAGATAATATGGACTGCCACTCGGAAAGCAGAAACAGGAGCCTATCAAAAGAGAAATGTCTTTTGAGGGACTTGGGCCTGTGCCAGGTCTGACCTGGACTAGACGAACTACATCTTAAAAGATGTTAAAATATTCTTTAAAAAATTCAGTTTCTAGCCATTTAAAGCAGAGAACCAATTCCTGGAAAGTGGTGCGTTAAGAATGAATGTGGCTGCACTGTGAAGACACAAATGGGCCTCTCCTACTCTGCCACCTTTACCCTCAGAGCTCACACTCCAAATGCTTCATCCTGACCTACAACCTCAGAAGAAGATCCTCTTGAAGCAACAGATGGAAAATGGGAATTAGAGGGCTGAAACGGCCTCCCCACCCCCCACCAGAGGAAGGCCTGACTCTAGGACAATGGGAGTCGCTTATTCCTCTTATCTGGTCTTTGGCAGAGGGCCTGAGCAGTGATGCCTACAGCAGCCAGTGCAGGAGCTGCCTTGGCCTGGACATCCCCAAAAGTTTTGATGTCTTCTAGCAGCTAGAATCCCCCAAAACTGAAGTAGCTCTGGAAGGAGCCTGAAAAGTCTTCCCCAAAAGTCAGGAAAAAGAGCCTATAAGCAGAGGGTGAAAAATTATTATGAGGCCCTGCAAGACAGACTGCAGAACTTGCCCAATCAACTCTCATAAGGTGATGGGGCCTGCCATTTGGAGCCTCTGTGTTTACGATATGGAAAACTAGCACTGAGCCCGGCACACAATATTTTATTGAATAAAGGAAATGATTGTTCTAATCAGGGACAACTGTTTTTATTGTTGGCTTGAGAGTGTACAGAAAGATGGTTCACTCTAGATTTAGAGATGGTGATAAAAATGAGTCTAGATTTGAGTTTATTATTTATTTATTTTTATTTTTGAGACGGAGTCTCGTGCTGTCGCCCAGGCTGGAGTGCAGTGGCGCAATCTTGGCTCACTGCAACCTCTGCCATCCAGGTTCGAGCGATTCTCCTGCCTCAGCCTCCCGAGTAGCTGGGATTACAGGCGTGCATCCCTACACCTGGCTAATTTTTGTATTTTTAGTAGAGATGAGGTTTCACCATGTTGGCCAGGCTGGTCTCAAACTCCTGACCTCAGGTGATCTGCCGGCCTCGTCTTCCCAGAGTGTTGGGATTACAGGCGTGAGCCACCGTGCCCGGCCTAGATTTGAGTTTAAAGAGGACTTGCAGAGAGAAATAGAACTGACATCAGAGAATACATTCAAATCAACTGAATTTAAAGGGAAAAAATGCAATTTCTCCTAAATTCCATTCAAAGCCAAAACATTCAGATTTTCTGACACCAACTTAGCAAATGTTTAAAATACAAGGGTATACTTCTTATTGATAAGTTACCATGGGTTCCACTAGTAGAGCTGGAGAGATAAGCAAACATGCTGGGTGAACCCTAGAGTAAGCCTGAGACTATGGCTGCACAGACAGAAGAGAACACAGAACAAAACAGAAACTCAAAGGTTTCCTCATCCAGGGCAGTCTTCATGAAGACAGTTCAAATTCCAAACTGTTAGATCATTAAAGGAATAGGCATGTGACTAGCCCTATGAATTATTCAAATTCTTATAAATAAGAAGACAATAATGGCTTAGCAGTTGAGGTAATTACATAGTAAAATTCTATTTTTCTTCACATTACGGAGACTGAGTCTAAATAAATATGAGGGTGGGGGACCCATTACTTTAAATTTTCAGTGAAAAAGTTACAAGTCATATATAATGGCTTAATACTGGCTAGTCACTCCATTCTGATGAGCTCCTGCCCATCAGAATATTTGCTATTTAAAGAATCTTTGTTGGCATGTTAAGTGAAAAATGTGTTCCTCCTAAGTTTCTTCTGAAGTCTACACTTAGAGTCTTGTATATAGTGGTCCTTGTAAAAGAAGCACTAGTGGTTGTGATGATGAACAAGTTTTGAGAACGTTTAGCTATAAAAGACCCTCTCTGTAAGAGACATCAACAAGGTCTCTTATGAAAAACAAGAAGTAGAAAACCAGACAAAACTCTCACTCTCACAAGCATTATTAGAGGGCTTTCTTATAACTATGGTAATTTTTCCTTAATCCCATTGCTTGTTCTGTGCTACCCACTTGTAGCAGAAACACTGGGAGAGGATATTACAGTTTAAGTATGTCAGAATGAAATAGATATTCTTGGCCCTGTTAAGGCAATGAAAGTCTGCATCTTAAAACTCTATTTTCCATTTGTTTAGAAGCTTGTCTTAGTCTGTTTTCTGTTGCCGTAACAGAATATCATAGACTGGGTAATATATAAAAAAATCTATTTCTTACAGTTCTGGAGGGTGGGAGGTCCAAGACCACCCCAATATCTGGTGAGGGCCTTCTTGCTGTGCCCTAACATGGCTGAGGGCACCACATAGCAAGAGGGCAAGAACATGCGTGTCAGCTCAGGTCTCTCTTCCTCTTATAAAGCCACCAGCCCCATTATGGTGGCCCCACCCTGATGATTTTATCTAATCCTAATTACTTTCCAAAGGCCCTACGTTCAACTGACATACAGATTTGGGGATTAAGTTCCCAACACATGCAATGTGGGGAACAGCAAATCATAGTAGACATCTATAATAAAAAATTAAGTAATACATATGAGGTCCTTATCATAGAAGACATAGTGAAGAATGCTCACCAAACTGGTAAGGGGAATGGTGGAGAGGAAGAAGGAAACGATGACTGAGGTTTCTACCTTGCATAACTGGGTGGTTACAATGCTGTAAACCAAGAAGCATATAGGAGAAGCAATTTATGGGTCCACTGAGGGTGATAAAGGTAATGGGTTTGAAATCTGGGAAAGACATATTAAAGAGGCCAGGCACGGTGGCTCACGCCTATAATCCCAGCACTTTGGGAGGCTAAGGAGGATTGCTTGAGGCCAGGAGTTCCAGACTAGCCTGGGCAACAAAACAACCTCATCTCTCTTTAAAAAAAAAAAAAAAAAGACGTTATCAAGGAAGAAACAATTCAAACAGAACATAAAGAAGTCTAAAAACAAAAGTTTTCTAATACTATTAATAATATCTAATTTCTAAAGGTAAAATTCCTTGTATTACAATACAGCATTCTCCCAAGATAATTCATTTACTTTTAAATGAGGATATTATTTACAAATATCTTATCAATGTTTCTAAAAAGATAAATGGAGAGTCTTAAGAAGTAATGGTGCTTATTTCTTGAGGCGCAAAGTTATTTCTGGCATAACTTCACATTACTGCACAGCACCCAGCAAAATATGGGTGATCTCTAACCTCTCTTGAGATCTGAGTCTGAGTGTTCTCCTAATAATATATGTATCACTGTCATATATATCAGTAAGATACTTGGTTATTAAAGTATTTTATTATCTAAGATTTTTAGAGATCATTTCTTAAAACTCAGATTCTCTTTATCAGTTGTCTCATTCTGTCTTCCCTGAACAGATGATAAAATATATCCTTTGGGTTCACTGTACATGCCCCTCTGCCAAGAAAATAACATTTCAGAGGAAAAGGTTATGTCTTCTATGTAGTAATCATTATTGGAATGTCATGTCAGCAGTAATATCTTCCTGACATCTCCCACACCACAAATACAGTATTTTCTAGATTAACAGAATATGCAAATAAATTATCCCTAACAATTTTCTATTTTTAGTTTTCCTGTACTTTTCTTTTTTATTTTTAAGAGGCAGAGTCTCACTGTGTTGCTCAGGCTGAAGTGCAGTGGCACAATCATAGCTCACAGTGCCTGGGCTCAAGCAATCCTCCAAGCCTCAGCCTCCCAAGTAGCTAGAGCAGGCGTGTGCCACCATGTCCAGCTAATTAAAAACATTTTTTTTCTGTAGAGACAGGGCCTCACTAATGTTGTCCAGGCTGGTCTTGAACTCCTGGTCTCAAATGATCCTCCTGCCCTGGCCTCCCAAAGTGCTCAGATTACAGGCACGAGCCAGCACACCCAGACGTGACTTTACTTTCTAGAGCTATCTTACAACAATTGATTTCCTCATATAGGTACTAGGTACTGGTCAAGATAGGCTGTCATCTGATCCCTGAGTTGTCTACTTGAAAAGCATTTCTTACTCCTACCTCAGGGCTCTTCCCTTTGCCTGTACCACTCTTCTGAAACATCTTCACATGTTTCATACTCTCATTTTTACTGAAGTCTTTGCTCAAATACTACCTCTTGGAGAAGACTTCCCTAGTTAGCCTATATAAAATAACATTCCACCCCATCATTCACTATCCTCTTTCTTCAGTTTATTTTCTTTACAGTAGTACTTTTCAGCACTTGAATTTCATTTATTCAACACTAAATCCTCACCACATAATACAGTACCTGGCACTTAGGAGGCATTAAGTTGAAAACTGCTGAATGAAATTAGTTTTAAAAAATAAACATTTAGTAAGGAAAGGCTTATCTGTAATCATTCTTCAAGATTTTGAGTCCAAAAACTATTTCTTGGGATCCATATTCCTTCACAGTCTAAGCCTCTTAGAAGAGTGTGATTAAAAAATTGCGGCCGGGCACGGTGGCTCAATCCTGTAATCCCAGCACTTTGGGAGGCCGAGGTGGGCGGATCATGAGGTCAGGAGATCGAGACCATCCTGGCTAACACAGTGAAACCCCGTCTCTACTAAATATATTAGCCGGGTGTGGTGGTGGGCGCCTGCAGTCCCAGCTCCTCGGGAGGCTGAGGCAGGAGAATGGCGTGAGCCTGGGAGGCGGAGCTTGCAGTGAGCTGAGATCGCACCACTGCACTCCAGCCTAGGCGACAGAGCCAGACTCGGTCTCCAAAAAAAAAAAAAAAAAGAAAAGAAAAGAAAATTGGATTAGTACTTGGAGACAAAAGATTTCCCAGCAAAAAGCCTCATGGATCACAGCGTACATATACCCTCAAATACGACTTGTGGAAATGTTTCCATAAGCAATAAAGTAAATAATTTTTAAAAACACACTGCTTCCTCAATAATTAAACATAGAATTATATGATCCAGCAATTCCATTTGTGGATATATACCAAAAAAAGTGAAAACAGGGACTCAAACAGATGTGTACACCCACGTTCATAGCAAAATTATTCACAACAGCCAAAAGGTAGAAGCAACTCAGGTGTCCACAGATAGATGAATGGGAAAACAAAATGTGGTGTATACATAGAGTAGATTATTCAGCCTTAAAAAGGAAGGAAATTCTGACACATGCTGAAACACAGATGAACCCTAAGAACATTATGTTAAGTGAAATAAGCCAGTCACAAAAGGACGAATATGGATTCCACTTATATGAAGTACTTAGAGTAATCAAATTCATAGAGACAGAAAGTAGAATGATGGTTGTCAGGGGCTGGGAAGTTAGTGTTCAGTAAGCACAAAGTTTCAGTTGTGGAAAATGAGAAAGTTCTGGAGATGGTGGTGATGGCTGCACAACAATGTGAATGTACTTAATGTTGCAGAACTATATATACACTTAAAACTGGTTAAAATGGTAAATGTTATGTATTTTTAAGTGACAACTTAAAAAATGGAAAAAACCTCACAAAAAAACATTAAAACAGAAAAGCAATGACATACCTTCCCTCTCCACTCCCTTTTTTAAACATTCCCCCCAACTTCATGTTCCTTTTAATGACTGGAGTGGGAGTATCTTACATCAGAATGGGAATACAGTTTACCAAGGGCTTTTTCATGTGTTAAGTCATTTTATTCTCACAATAACTCTTCCATGTAGACAGCACAGGCATATTCTCTATTCTCCAAATGAGGAAATCAAAGTAGAGACTTTAAAGTGACTTATCCAAAGTCAAATAAAGAGTAAAATGGGCCAGGTGCAGTAGCTCACGCCTGTAATTCCAGCACTTTGGGAGGCCAAGGTGTGTGGCCTAGGCGACAAGGGCAAAACTCCTCTGTCTCCAAGAAAAAAAAAAAAAAAAGAGTAAAATGGCAAAGCCAAGACCAAAGACCAGGCCTTCAATCCCTCATCTAGTGTGTGTCTTATCCCCCCAACCTCCACACCCCTGCTAAACAAGAAAGCGTCTCAAAAGTCTTCAGTGCTATACCAACCTTTCTGAAGGAAGCTGCCACGTCTACCTCATGCTTCTGTGTCCACTGTGCTGCTGTTTCTATTACTCAACCCTTAAGTCTCCAGTTTCTACTTTATCACCCAACTGAGGTAAAGGGACAGATCTTAATCTCTCTAGTGCTGTGTATTGTTGAACAGTAAAATGTTTCTTGATTGTGATTAATACTCCATAAATATCAAATCTCCTAGCATTCAAACACAGAGGACAATTAAATGACTAAGCTTCTCTAATCTCATCCCTTCCTATTACTTGTTTTTCCTTCCTTTGCAGGAGATACTTTTGTAATTTTTGTAATAAAAATGAAAAAATATACAATAAAAAAGTGGAGAAAATAGTTAATGGATCTCTACCCATTGCCAAGTTTCAACCAACATTTACCAATTGGCAGGTGTTTTTTTTTCCCCCTTTAGAAATGGGGTCTTGCTCTGTTGCAGAGGCTGGGGTGCCGTGGCACAAACATAGCTCACTGCAACCTCAAACTCCTGGACTCAAGTGATCCTCCTGCCTCAGCTTCCCAAAGTGCTGCAATTACAGGTTTAAGTATCAACTATATCCCAGTCCACTATCTACCCAATCCCAGTAGAATATTCTCAAGCAAATCTCAGATAGCATATTATTTCAACCTGTAAATATTTCCATATTTACCTCTAAAAGGATGTAAAGCAACTACAGACTATCATATCTAAAATAAACAATAATTCCTTAATATGAAACTCCTGGGCAGTGTTAACATTTCTCAAATTGTTTTTTCTTTGTTTGAATTAGGATCCAAATAAGGTCTACACACTGTGACTGGATGACTATGTCTCTTCAATCTCTGCATATGGGTTCCTCCCCCTTTACAATTTTTTTTTGTTGAAGAAATCAGGTTACCTGGTTGTTTCCTATAGTTTGGATTTTGCCAAATGTATTACCATGATGTAGTTTAATAATGTGCTTCTGACTCTTGTATTTACAGTAAATTGATAGAGACCAGCGTGGGTAACGTGGTGAAACCCCATCTCTACTAAAATAATAAAAATTGGCCGGGTGTGGTGGCACGCACCTGTAGTCCCAGGTACTCGGGGGCTGAGGCACAAGAATTGCTTGAACCTGGGAGGTGGAGGTTGCAGTGAGCTGAGATAGTACCATTGCACTCTAGCCTGGGCAACAGTGACTCTGTTTCCAAAAACAAACAAACAAAAAAACCAAAAAACTTTTTTTTTTTTTTTTTTTTGCCAAGACTGCTTCACAGGTGGCAGGTAGTATGTACTTCCAACAGTTAAGTTCAAAAGTCTATTGAATTCCCTTTTTTTGATATTAACAGTTATCAATGATCACCAACTAAAGCAATCCATTAACGGGGTTGAAAAACGATCACATGATAGTCTATCATTCTTTCTTTATTCACTAGCTGGAAAAATTCTATAAAAAAAACTCATCAACTATTCAGTTGTCCTGATGCAGTCTGTATAGAAAGGACAGAATAAATGAGTAATTTTTTACTTTTATTTACTAATTTTCAAAACAATTAGTAATAGCTTCCTAGCATCCTTAAAGACAATCAGTGAGTTTTAAAAAGTTATGAATTAATAGACTTACATCTATGTGACAGGTTTTAATCCTTTGTAGTTATTCTTATTGAAGTTCAAACTGTCCCATCTTTGGACAGTAGAGCCTTATTCAAATTGGTTCCTGAGACCTTATGACATAATCCTAACCTCTGCCTCCGAGAGCAGAGGTTACCTTACCTTTCTGGTATTACAACTTATTCCAGGCATATCTTGTATTTTTCTTGCCTTTGACTTGGCACTGGTCATTTCCTTAAAGAAGCCCTAATTCCCTTTAGTGGGAAATGGTATTCAGAAACCACAATCTCAGTAATAGGGATGCTTAATGCCTTTTCAGTACAAAGATCTAAGACATTATATACACACATATCTACATAAACATGTACATAGATACATAAATGTACATTATCATTAGTTTATACTGTTGCTTCCAATTCAAATTCAGGTTTATAGGGTTTTTACTCAATCTCATTATCTTATATCATTTCTCCTTTCTCACATATGAAAACCCTCTATTCTCAATGCAGCCTACATAATAGTTTATCACAAAATATTCACACAACCTGAGAATAAAAATATTAACACTATCATCACCAATATGATCCATGAAAATATTTTTAATTTTTTTTTTTTTTTACAATTCTTTTTATCTTTAGGATATACCCAACTTGGAATATTCTACAAATTACTGTATATGTAAGTCACTTGGAATGGTTTACTCTGTGTGATTATATAACCAATGGGAAATCCACTTTATAAGATTTATTTTGATTTTTAGTCATTGCATTTTTAACTTTGTTATATAATTAAACATTTAAGTGAGTATAAAGTTAAAATAAAAAAAAAAGATACATCCAAAGAATACAAATTGCTGTCCCTGTCTACTCTATTCTAGTCCCTGCCTGCCCCATATGTAACTTTACTTATACTTTATACAACATTTTACATTCCCTGTTTTTTTGGCTATTATCCGTTGGTTCCCTACTATGAGCAATGCTGAAATTAAGTTAGTAACTTCCTTCTCCTGTCTCTACCCCAGTATTTTAAGTGATATATTTTTATTTACAGTGAATACCTATAACCAGTGAGCTTATTTTACATTTCATATATTCTCCCCACATTCTTGATAATTAAACTTTACCTATAGAGTGGTTACATACTACACTCTCAGTCTTAGTTCTACCAATAAAATATATATTTAATGCTCATCATCAGCTTAAAGTACCAGTTAAAGAGTGTTAAGAATACAGGTCTACAATTCTTTTTCAAATAGAAATCTTTGGAGCCACATACATTCAAAAATTCACTTTTTTCTTTTGCTTTCAAAGAGAAATAATATGGTTATAGTAAACATACCTGACAGCAATAATTTAAGCATATCCTTAGAATGACTTTGTATGGCAGATGCACCTGAATGTGTGTTCTGAGCTAGGGAATTCAGGAGTGGCCAACCCAGAGATTCCCTCCTTGTCTATAAGGACATCTGAGCCCCCAACCTGTCTCTTGGAACACAAGCCCTACAGGAGACTGAGGCTCCAAGTTTTGGGTAGAATAAAGAGTGCCAGGTGGAGGTTGCTAGGTGGAAGTGCTAAGTGGAAATGCTATATAAACTGCATGCCTATGGCAGGCAGTTGTGGTTCTTCTGCCCAGCCCACTGCCACTGGACTGTATATAAGGCAGTTCTCCCGTCCAGCCCACTGCCACTGTACCCTCTCCTTTGTATGTAAGCCCCCAATAAAACCCCACATCTCTTTTGCCGGCTCTGGGTCTCTTCTTCGGCCTCTTGAACCTAATGCCATGCCCACTGGAGTGACAGAAGTTTGGCATGACATATGGTATACCAAACATTTACTGTATACTATATAACTATCCCCAGGGAGATCTGGCACAGCACCCTAATTTGTTTGTAATAATTTGTTTGTAACATCAAACAAATTAATATTCTGCAGTAAAATATACTATTTAGACTAACCTATGTTAGTTTAGGTTCGGTTTTGCTGGCAGACAAATCTAGGTCATGTCAGTGTTTGCCATCAAATTAAGTCCTCCCATAACCCCTAAAATAGTTTTCAGAACTTTTGGGATTTCAAATTATAAGTAAGAGAATGTGGACCTGTAGTTAAAAATAGTCTTTTCCCTTATCCACCCACCACCAAAAATAGTCAAGTCAGAAAACATTTCTATTCATGTTAAATGAAAATCTTTAAATTGACATTTTCTATAAAATTCCATTGCATTACTGCAAATGAAGATTAGTTAGTTGTTAGGGTTTTGTTAGGAGAATCTTATTAAGCCATGTGGTTTTTTTCTAATATAACCTATTATAATTCATAACAGCTGTCAGTCCCCTGCTGATACTTTTTTCCCCATTAAAAATGCATTTTTAAAAGAATATAAAAGTACATCACATTCCACTAATATATGCAACAATCGAATAATTTTTCAAACTAGAAAATGATGGAAATACAGAGAAATGAGTTGAGTATGGTTCTTAGAATTCTGAGTCTAGTGAAGAGGAAAGTATCTGAATTTTTGACTTATCCTAAAATGAAACTACACACACACACACACACACACACACACACACACACAATCACACATATATACACACACATTTATTTTAATTTGAGAAAGGGTCCTGCTCTGTTGTCTAGGCTAGAGTATAGTAGTTCACTCATAGCTCATTGCAGCCTCCAACTCCTGGGCTCAAGCAATCCTCCTGCCCCAGCCTCCCAAGTAGCTAGGACTATAGGTGTGTGCCAGCGTGCCCAGCTAATGAACAACAAAATTTTTTTTTTTTTTGGTACAGACGGGTCTCACTATGTTGCCCAGGCTGGTCTTGAACTCCTAGCCTCAAGTGACCTTCCTGCCTCAGCTTTGCAAAGCACTGGGATTACAAAGCATGAGCCACCTCACCTGGCTGAAACTATATTCTTAGTGTTCTTGTAGTATTTCTAGTTATGAAATACTTCTTAAATAAAATATCTGCTATAAATGCATAGTAAGCAAGGTCTGAAATCTGTTAACTCTTAGCTGTTTAAATGATTTAAAAAACATAATCTCCAAAGAGTAACAAACCCAGAGTAGTCAGTAGGGAAGTCTTGTAGATTATCATTCTTAAACAGGGTAGGAAAACCCAAACCAGTGAAGAAATCATTAAAAGAGATACTGAATTATTAGAAAAAAATATTAAATGTGGATATGACTATCTTATTTATGAAAACTAAATTTACACTAAATCCTAAAATTAAAAACTATTATGCACTCATATGTATATCAAAATTTAAAATTTGGCCAGGTGACAGTTTTATACAAAACTATTTTCATTTCATAATATAGCAAGGTTGCAAAAATATGGCCACACACAAAATTTTACTTTACCTTAAAAAAATTCCTACATAGAACTGTGTTGTATAGATATGTAATAATTTACTTAACCAAATCCATATTGAGGGTCACATCCAATTTTTCAATATTATAAATAGCACTGCAAGTCTTTTACACATATCTTTGCCCACTCTGCCCAGTCTAAATTATGTCATTAGAATAAATTTCAAGAAGATTCTTGGGTTAAAGGATATACATGTTTCTAATTTGAAGACATATTGTCAGAAGAGTTGCAATTTACACTCCTATCAGCTCTGCATGAGAATGTCCAAAATGCTGGACATTATTCATCTTTGCAATCTGATGGAGGAAAAATTATGCCATTGCTATTTTAATCTCTTAAAAATTAATAAACTGATATTCATTAGTCCCCATGTTGCTTTATATTCTTTGCCCATTTTTCTATTTGGCTGTTCTTTTTACAAATTTGCAACATTTTCTATATTAATGTTAAAATAATAAACGGAAAATATTCATACGGGCCTTTTAAAACTATGATAGCTTTTGTCACAAATGTTTAAATTTTTCATATAGACAACTCTGTCTTTTCCTTTGTAACTTCTGGGTTTCCTCCTTCTTACTGCAAACATTTTTACATCAGAAAACTAATTTATATATAAATATTTAAGCAGTTAGGACAATATTTGAGAAAGTGCTTTCAATTTGTGTTGTAATCTCCAAATTAGAGTATGTGGGTAAATATTCTTCTATTAAGGAGGAAGTTAACATTAAATTAAGAGTTTATAACACAGTTATTATTGTTTCAAGTCATTTGGTATACTAACATTTAACATTTTATTAAGTCCTAAGTATTAAGCTAACTCAATTACCTGCTGTTGCTAGGAAGCGAGATGGATAAATTTTCCAAATAACTGGAGGATGCTTTTGTTAGCCATTGAGGTGTACAATGTTAGGCTTGACTTTTTACTGAATTTCTTGAGAACGTTGTGCTTAACTGACACTATATTACTTGTAGATACATCTGTGCAGCCATCAGTGGTTCTGACATGTAGAACATTTTCATCACCCCCTAAAAGAAGTTCCATTAGCAGTCACTCACCTCAATTCCCCAATCCTAGGCAACTACTAATCTAATTTCTACCTCTATTATTTTGGACATTTTATATAAATGGGATCATATAATAATGTGGGCTTTTGTGACTGGCTTCTTTCACTTTAGCATGATGTTTTCAAGGTCCATCCACATTGTAGCATTTATCAGTACTACTTTATTCCTCTTTATTTGCTGTATAATATTTCATTGTATGGATATACCACATTGTATTTGATTTATTCATTCATCCATCCATCCATTGATGGACATTTGGGTTGTTTCCACTTTTTGGTTATTATGAATAATGCTGTTACAAACATTTGTACAAGTTGTGTAGACATGTACTTCCACTTCTCTTAAGTATATGCCTAGGAGCAAAATGTATCTTTTTTTTTTTTTTTTTGAGATGGAGTTTTGCTCTTGTTGCCCAGGATGGAGTACAATGGTGTGATCTCGGCTCACTGCAACCTCTGCCTCCCGGGTTCAAGCAATTCTCCTGCCTCAGCCTCCCGAGTAGCTGGGATTACAGGCATCTGCCACCATGCCCAGCTAATTTTTTTGTATTTTTAGTAGAGATAGGGTTTCACCATGTTGGCCAGGCTGGTCTCGAACTCATGACTTCAGGTGATCTACCCACCTTGGCCTCCCCAAAGTGCTAGGATTACAGGTGCAAGCCACCATGCCCAGTCTTTTTTTTTTTAATTTTTTTTAAAAAATAGAGACAGTCTCACTCTGTCACTCAGGCTGAAGTGTGGTGGCACAATCATAGCTCACTGTAGCTTCAAACTCCTGGGCTCAAGTGATCCTCCCGAATAACTGGGACTACAGTATGCACCACTGTGCCCAGCTAATTTATTTTTATTTTTTCTGTTGAGGTCTTGGTGTGTTATAAAGGTTGGTCTTGAACTCTTGGCCTCAAGTGATCCTCCCACTTTGGCCTCTCAGAGTTTAAGGATTACAGGTGTGAGCCACCATACTGGGCATAACATGTATTTTTAATTATTGTTCCCTTTTTCCACTCCCCACTATAAGGTAAACTATATAAGGTCAGGGTTTTTCTTTTATTCACTGTTGTATCTCCAGTGCCTAGAACTGTGTCTGGCAAATATAGTAGGTGCTTAACAAATTTTGCTGAATCTATGAATGAAATAGTAAAAACGTTTGCTTGCTCTGACACAGTAATTGAGCAGAGATGGAGGGACAGTTCATATTCAAGATGGTAAAGTGATCATAATATTGCTGTGGCAAACTGAGAAAATGCCCATGTAACATAGACAATTGTAATTTGATCCTTAGTACTAGATTAAATCTGGGCAGAGTAAGCAAAGTGGGTCAGGGAAAAAAAACGTGAGATGAGGCAGGACATGTAGGCAGTCACCAAGTCATGCACATTCCTGTGAAAAGGCTAAGAGTCCTGTAGTTAAGAAATCTGTTTAACTTTGTTTAATTCATCCTTTCCAAACTTAATCACAGAAACCTTCATAAGAAAGAGTGCAGTGGTACGATCTCAGCTCATTGCAACCTTTGCCTCTTGGGTTCAAGCGATTACCCTGCCTCAGCCTCCCGAGCGGCTAAGATTACAGCCATGTGCCACCACACCCAACTAATTTTTTATTTTTAGTAGAGATGGGGCTTCACTATGTTGGCCAGGCTGGTCTCGAACTCCTGACCTTAAGTGATCTGCCTGCCTCAGCCTCCCAAAGTGCTGGGATTATAGGCGTGAGCCACTGCGCCCGGCCGGAATATACTTTCAATCATATCATAGTAGTCAACCTTTGCACTGAGCTAATGTTGATACTTTTTTTTTTTTTTAAGAGAAACAGGGTTTGGTATGTCGCCCAGGCTGGAGTGCAGTGGTTAATCCTAAGTGCAATTATTGTGCACTACAGCACTCAGCCTCCCAAGTAGCTGAGACTACAGAGGCACACACTACCACACCCAGCTAATCTTGATACATTAGGAAAGAAAACAACGGTGGAGAAAAAAAGAACATAACATAAAGTGATAATTGATTTTTTACTTATTTAAATTTTGAATTCAGAAACAGCAAAAGGTACTATGCCAAAAAGACAACATAGCAGGCCTAAGACTGCTATCTTTAGAAAGGCCTGCATGCAAAGATGGCCCTTGGCAGGTCTCTGGGAAATTGGATTTTGGGAGTGTTCCCATAATTCCCTGACTATTTAATAAGGGTGATTTACTATGCCTAAACTGTTTGTGCAAACAATATGGTTTATGCTGAATATCTGCTTTCCTTCTGGGAGCTTGGAATTTGGTACAAGCTAGACAGAGGGTGCCTATGTGATTATACCCCAATAAACACCCTGGGCAGTGAGTCTCTTATAAGCTTCCCTGGAAGACAACATTTCACAAGGATTGTAACAAGTCAATGCATCCTACGCGGCTTCACTGGGATAAGACTCTTGAAGCTTGTGCCTGGTTTCCTCTGGACGTTGCCCCATGGGCATTTTCGCTTTGTATTTTTTTTGCTGTAGTAACTCTTAGCTGAGTCATACTATATGTTGAGTTCTGTGCTTCCTCCTCACCAAACCTGGGGGTGATCTTGCGGATTCAAAATACAGGCACAAAACGGGATATGATAAAATGTCTTTCTCTACTGTCCTCCCAAAATGACATTATATTGTTTTGGGATAAATATTCAGCTGGTAATCAAGAATAAAGCTATTTTTAAAAATCTGCAAGGAAATTACCATAAAGATCAGAATAGCAGTAACCTTTAAAAGGAGGAAGAAAGTGGTTATGATTGGGAAGAGGCATGAGGGGGGCTTTTGGAATACTTACAGTGCTCTATTTCATGGCCAGAGTGATGTCAGCTTTAAAATAATGTTTTTTTAAGTTAGATTTATTTAATGTACTTTGTATGTGTATTACTTCACAATAAAATGTTTTGTTGGAGCTACTACAAATTTGAAAGTTTCAGCTGAACCCTTGAAATTAAATCCATTTCCTAAAGAAAAGGATCTAGAAGAATGAATGAAAAGCTAAGTGTTGAGTCATAGGAAATGCTGATGATTTGGGGGCTGGAAAAGAAAGAGAACTGAGTAAAGGAGAGTATAAAAACACAAATCAGACTGGGTAGTGACCAGGATAGCCTGCATGTAAGAAGTGGCACTTGAATGAGGTTTACATCAAACTGAGAAATCATCCCTTTCCTATATGCTACCAGAAAGTTTGGGATACACTTCAATTTCCATACTCACTCTGTAAGAGCAATGAATTAAAATTTCCATGTCCTCAAACAGACTAAGTTCTTGGAGTACTGGGACTGTGTCTTATTTCAGTAACTATATAGTCCAAAGACCTTAAAGAGTGCCTGGCTCATAACGAACCCTTAATAAATGAGGTGCAAGCTAGATGCGGGGGCTCACGCCTGTAAACCCAGCACTTCAGGAGGCCGAGGTGGGCAGATTGCTTCAGCCCAGGAGTTTGAGATCAGCCTGGGCAACAGGCTGTTACAAAAAAACAGAAAAATTCGCCAAGTGTGATAGTGTGTGCCTGCAGTCTCAGCTACTCCGGAGGCTGAGATGAGGGATCACTTGAGTCCAGGCATTTGAGGTTACAGTGAGCAGTGAGCCATGACTGCACCACTGCACTACAGCCTGGACAACAGAATGAGACACTGTCTCTAACAATAACAACAACCAAAACCAAAAAACAACAGACAAAATCTGCTCTGGTCCTTGCAGGATGTTAAACTATGGAGAAATATAGGCAAGGAGATTTCAATACAGAGACCAGCTTAACAATTAATAGATATCACAACAGCCAAGATGTGGAAACAACCTAAATATCCATTGACAGATGAATGAATAAAGAAAATGTAGTAAATACATAAATGGAATACTATTTGGCCTCAGAGAAGAAGGAAATATGGTGACAACATGGATGAACCTTGAAGACATTATGCTAAGTAAAATAAGCCAGTCACAGAAAGACAAATACTACATAATTCCACTTATATGAGGTCTTTATCTAGGCCTGGTCATTACCCAGAATGATAAGTGAGTATCTAAAATAATCAAATTCATAGAATCGAAGAGTGAAAGGGGAGTTGTCAGGGGCTGGGGGGAAATGCAGACTTATTAATCAACGGGCATACAGTTTCAGTTAAGCAAAATGAGTAAGCTCTAGAGATCTACTGTACAACACTGTACCTATAGTCAACAATAATGTATTGTATACTTAAAAATTTGTTGAAAGGGTAGATCTCATATTGTGTTCTTACCAAAAAAAATAAAAATGAATAGGACAACACATATGAGAGACAACATTAAGCACTAGGAAATGAGGCAAGAAAGGAAGACTTGAGAGTTGAATAACAGAGAACAAGAAAGAAAGGGGCAAAGATGATGCCATTGTCCAACTAGGTAGAACTGATAAAGAAAATAAAAATGGAACGGCCAGAGAGATAGAGGAAAACTAGAAAAATGTGGTCTCAATAGAATTCAAAAGAGGAAACTGAACTGCAAGTGAAAACTTGGAGAGAACAGATGTTTTACAATTCTTTTTTAGAAGTATGGCTGCAAAAAGGTTCAGAGAAATGAGGCAGTAGCAGAGAGGCAGGAAGTCTGAAAAGGTAAGTGTGAGAGGGAGGGGAAGATATTAAAACAAATGAGTAAGTGGACAGAATGATGTAGGAAAGCTGCAATTTTCAACTGGGGTGATTGTTCTCCCCTTCCACCCTCCCTAACCCCCACACTTGACAATGTCTGGAGACATTTCAAATTGCCACAACTGGACAGGGGAAAGGGGAAGGATACTATTTGCCTCTAACAGGTAGAAGCCAAGGATGCTGCTAAACATTTCACAAGGCACAGGACAGTCCTCCACAACAAAGAATTACCTGGCCCCAAATGTCAAGAGTGCCAAGGTTGAGAAGCCCTGTAATAGAGTGTAAGGAATACAGAAAAGAAAGATTAATCAAAGAAGTCAGGCTTTGGCAAGAACATTCAGAGAGGAGGAAGACTTTTTTGGTTCTCTGTCTACTGACCTGATTGAGAATTACAGCAGAATTACAGCTAGAAGTAGCTTTCAGATTTTTCATTTGAAAAGTCTACTGAAGTATAATGACATTCCAACTTCTCCAACAAACACATGAACACAATGTGCATGCCTTACATCATTATCCACCATGTGACTACTGGACACAGATAAACCACTTTTTTTTTTGAGGTAACAGTCAAGGTTTAAAATATGGGATACTTTAAAAAACCTCTACACACAGAGAAATTACACCTCTGTAATTTGTTAAAAGGTTAAACAGTATAAATGATCAGAGTCCATCTACTAGTATAATTTTATTTTATACAATTTCCTACATACCCTTTAGAAACTAATTAAAAATGATCTATATTTTAACAGTTCACAGAGGGATAATATGAGAAAGAGGCCTACAAAGCACTAGTTTTTACAGTTGCAAAGTGATACCGTTACGCAGTATAGGGCAAAAAGGAATTAAGAGAGGTTATAAAAAATGAGCTTGTAACCATGATTAACTTGATCATAAAAATTTCACTTTGTATAATAAGTAGGCATGAAAACATTACTGCATTTACTGACACACTACATGAAAGGTACTGAGAAGAATTTAATCAAAACACTCTCTCCCTCAAATAAGAATTTTCATTCATTTAAATATTTTCTGAGCACCTAGTATGTGCTAAGCACATGGGGATATAACAATGAACAAGACAGGCATAATTTTTCCTCCAAAGGTGCTTCTTTTAAGGGGGGCAGTGGCTCACACCTATAATCCCAGCACTTTCAGAGGCCTAGGCGGGTGGATCGCTTGAGGTCAGGAGTTCAAGACCAGCCTGGCCAACATGGTGAAACCCCGTCTCTACTAAAAATACAAAAATTAGCTGGACGTGGTGGTGCGTGCCTGTAATCCCAGCTGCTCGGGAGGCTGAGGCAGGAGAATCGCTTGAACCCGGGAGGTGGAGGTTGCAGTGAGCTGAGATCGCGCCATGGCACTCCAGCCTGGGCTACAGAGCAAGACTCCGTCACAAACAAACAAGCAAACAATACCCCAAAGGTGCTCATAGTGGGGCAAACTGTTGAACAGGCAATTACAATGTAGGGGAAGCATAAATCAGTGGCGATAAAGACTTCTGGAGCAAAACTGCCCAAGTTTGGATCTGACTCTGCCATTTCTAAACTGTATGATCTTGGGCAATTTTTTTTTTTAATCTTCTTTGTGGCTGATAATACAACTGTTTATCTTAAACGATTCTTGAGAAAGTGACATTTGGGATGATATCCAAGACTGACAATAGAAAGTGTGAGCTTTCCTCTTTTCTTGGTGAAAATAATAGAAGGAGCGAGAAGAATGCCAAAATAATGCTCCAAACAGCAGTGGGAACTAACTATGAGAAGGCCCACGGAGAGAACAAAACTGGATTCCTGAAGGAAATAAAAGTATTTCTATATAGAGTGCAGCAGGCAGTGGCAAGATATGAGCCATAGGATCCAAAAAGGAATTTGGACTTAAAAGAGTTGTTTGTTGTTTTTTAAAAAAATATGCTATTGCTTATTTTTATTTTAGAGACAGGGTCTCATTCTGTCAACCAGGCTTGGAGTGCAGTGGGGTGATCGCTACTCACCATAACCTCAAATTTCTGGGCTCAAGCGATCCTTCCACCTCAGCCTCTCGAATAGCTAAGAACTACAGGTACATACCACCATACCTGGCTAATTTTTAAACTTTTTTTTTTGTAGAGGTGTGATCTCGCTATGTTGCCCAGACTGGTCTTCAATTCCAGGACTCAAGTGATCCTTTTGCCTTGGCCTCCTAAAGTGTTGGGATTATAGGGGTGAGCCACTAAAACCCAGCCTGCTTATTTATTTAAAAACATACACTATATGCTTAAACATATACTATTACTATTGCTTGATTTAAATGATTTTTTTAAATTCAAGAATTAGTAAGCCCACAATAAAGAACACATAAAAAATACAGAAGAGAGATCTTGGCTTAAATAATTAAAAGTTGAAATTCAAAGAGCATTTACTTAATTTTCAAAGTGGATAGAGAAATATAAAATGAGTAATTTTACAGATGTGGAACTAAAGCACAGAAAAGTTAACTGGGCTTTAGTAAAGTAAAAAGCTAACAACCAGACATCAAAACAAGAAGGTTTTTCTTCATAGGCAAATACATCCTTTCAGAATCATCCAATACACAGTATCATATATTTTTAAAGGTATACTCTATTCCTCTTGTCTTCATTTTAAAAATAACTACAAGGCTGGGTGATGTGGCTCATGCCTATAATTCCAGTGCTTTGGGAAGCCAAGATGGGATGAATTGCTTGAGGCCAGGAGTTCAAGACCAGCCTGGGCAACAACACAGCAGGACCCCATCTCTACAAAAAAAAATGTTTACAAATTAGCTGAGCATGATGGCGTGTGCCTGCTGCCCTAGCTACTCAGGTGGCTGAGGCAGGACAATCTCTTGAGCCTATGAGTTTGAGGCTGCGGTGAGCTATGATAGGGCCACTGCACTCCAGCCTGGGCACAGAATGAGTATCCTGTCTCTTAAAAAAAACAAACACTGCAAAGCTGGGTGTGGCAATCTCAATTACTCAGAAGGCTTGAGGATCGCTTGAGCCCAGGAGTTTGGAACCAGCCTGGGGAACATAGCAAGAACGCGAATAGAAAAAAAAAATTTTTTTAACCCTACAAATTACTATGTTAATGTTTAATTTATTTGACCAAAGCCAATAAATGATGAAATATATACAGTTAGTAAATTGTAACTCTTCTTCCCCATCCTTCCTCCCTTATCAGACATTATTGTTGAAGCATGTGACAGAACTATGACTCTGCAATTGAGGCTATGAGACTTCTGTCATAGCTATCACTAACATTCACTACAAACTCATCCAGTCCTGTCACAAAGCTTTCTGCTTACAAGAAAATTCTCATGTCTGGTCTTAAGCAAGCAAAAAATATTTTAGGCAAGTCTGAAGACAAGAATAGGTCTCATGAAGCATATTATAGAATTTTTCTCTAAAGAATAATTCACAATTGAATCCCAGATGAAACAGAGCTAAATGTAATATTGCTCCTTCCGTAAAGGACTACAGCCAGGAGACTGACATAGTTTTTATCTAAATGAAAATGTCTAGGTAATAATGAGGGGCAAGCAAAAAACAATGTCTGATCTCACTGGTTTTTCCATTTTTACTTTAAAGACAACACCACACGTCATGTTTATTTAAAAAATGGCTTACAATTAGCAGAACAGAAACTCTTTAAAAAACTGCTTTCAAAGCACTCTTTCATGTTACTATTTCATCTTAACTCACTTACTGAATACCTATTACTTGTTGTGTGACACTATTAGACACTGTGCGACATCCCGTACACTTTGGTTCAAACCATACAGTCATGTAGAGGAGTCAGGCATACAAGCAATTATAATACAGGGCAATAAAGAATAGAAGTGTAAAGTTCTAAAAGAACATATGACTATTGTGCAAAGTTCCAAAAGAATGTATGACTGTTGGTAAAGGTATCATAACTTGATCTTGAAAAATAAAGAGGACTGTATCAATCAAGAGATTTTGGGCCAGGTGCAGTGGTTCACACCTGTAATCCCAACACTTTGGGAGACTGAGGTGGGAGGATCACTTGAGACCAGGAGTTCAAGACGCCTGGGCAATACAGGGAGACCCTGCCTCTACAAATAATTTTTTTAAAGTAGCCAGGTGTGGTGGCTACTTCTCAGAAGCCTGAAGCAGGAGGACTGCTGAACCCAAGAGGTCAAGGTTGGAGTGAGCTGTGATTGTATCACTGCACTCCAGCCTGGGTGACAGAGCGAGACCCTGTCTCAAAAAAAAAAAAAAGAGATTTTTGATGGCAAATAACTCCAAAGAACTGTCTGAAACATTAAGAAAATTATCTGTCATGAGAAGTCCTGTGGTGGGGATGGCTCCAGGCCCAATAAAATATGTGGTTAAATGATGTTACCAAGGATCCAGATACCCTCTACCTCTCTGATCTGCCATCTTCAGGAAGTGCTTCATCCCTTGTGATCCCAAGACAGCTGTCGGTAGCAATAGGGGCCTTGTGTTCCCTTGTTCACATACAAGAGAGGAAAGAATCTTCTCCCCCAGAAACAGAATGTCTACTTCCCTTCAAATCTGATCGGTACAAATAAGAGTTTACAGGGAAATGCCATGATTTGACTGGTTTGAACTAATGGAACTCTACTACTGGAGGTGGTGACAAATCAGCTTCTCCAAGTCTGCTGCATGCATGAACAAAAGCAGATTTCTGTTAGGAAAGAAGAGAAAAGTAGACATTAGATGGGCAGCTAACAGAATAGGCAAAGAATAAGAACTCCAAACAATGGGATAAACACACACAAGACAGAGGCACAGGGAACAAGAAACAGCATGGCTGGAGTGACAGGAGACCTAAGGTTGAACACATTCTATAAACTCTTGTGAGTCTGGACTTTATCGACAAGGGAAGTTAACAAAGGTATTTTAAGTAGAGAAGCAGCATGCTCCAATTTTTTTTTTTTTTTTTTTTTTTTTGAGACAGAGTCTAGCTCTATCACCCAGGCTGAAGTGCAGTGGCGCAATCTTGGCTCACTGCAACCTCCGCCTCTTGGGGACAAGCGATTCTCCCGCCTCAGCCTCCCAAGTAGCTGGGATTATAGGCACCTGCCACCACACCAGATTTTTGTATCTTTAGTAGAGATGGGGTTTCGCCATGTTGGCCAGACTGGTCTTGAACTCCTGACCTCAGGTGATCTGCCGACCTCAGGTGATCCGCCCACCTCAGCCTCCCAAAGTGCTGGGATTACAGGTGTGAGCCATCGTGTCTGGCCTGTTTTTTAAGAACATAATTGTCATAGTAATATAGAGAATAGCCAGAGATGGAGAGGTACAGTGGGAGAACAAGTTGCAGAGACTTAGCTGGCAGGCTGTTTAATACGTAGTCCAGACTAATAAGGGAGTGGCAATAGAGAGGGGAACAATGGAGTAAAAAAATACATACAAGGTAGAAAAGCTTCAAGATTTCCATACCTATTTTAACAGATGAGAAAATTAATCTTCAGATAGGTTAAGTGACTTGCTTTAAGATCATAAAACTATAAACATCAGTCAGAATCTAAATGGAGGTTTGATTCCCAGTCTGGTGTTCTATCACAACTATATCTAAAAACCCCAACGATGCTCTAAAAGGGAACTATTTTGAATCCTGTAACTTAAAGAATGTTCTGTGTATTGGATTAAAGTGTTTCCTAGCTATTCCAAGTGTCCCCATCTATTTCAATCTTAACATAATGCTCACATGTCACACAATGACATGGATTTAATGTCAATTTATAATACTAAGTATATTATGTTTCTAAAGTTACTATATTATTTGAAATAGTAAGGGTATCTGAAAGATTCAATTTGTGATGTCAAATTTACAAACTGTCCAAAATTTTAAAATTAAAAAAACAAAAACAAAAAACCACCACAGCGTGGTGGTTCTTAACTTTTGAACTTGTTCTGCAAATAAGTGCTGAATGTTCAAATTTCATTATAAATCTGGAATCAGCAGACACTTGAAAAGTTTCGTTGAAATTATGCCTCAGCTGGGCATGGTGGCTCACACCTATAATCCCAGCACTTTGGGAGGCCAAGGTTGGAGGACTGCTGGAGTCTTGGAGTTCGAGACCAGCCTGGGCAGCACAGTGAAACCCCATCTCCAGAAAAAGTACAAAAGTTAGCCAGGCATAGTGGCACATGCCCATAGTCCCAGGTGCTCAGGAGGCTGAGGTGGAAAGACTGCTTGAGCCCAGGTAGTTGAGGTTCTGGTGAGTCGTGATTGCACCACTGCAGCTTAGGCGACAGAGCAAAAAGCCTCCTTCTGAAACTTTGGATTCTGATAACTAACTTCCACTAGCATTCACCCAAAAAGAAAACTGGGCCAGACATGGTAGCTCACGCCTATAATCCCAGCAATTTGGGAGGCTGAGGCGGGTGGGTCACCTTATGTAAGGAGTTTGAGACCAGCCTGGCCAATGGGGCGAAACCCTGTCTCTACTAAAAATACAAAAATCAGCCAGGTGTGGTGGCGCGTACCTACAGTCCCAGCTACTTGGGAGGCTGAGGCAGGAGAGAATCACTTGAACCTGGGAGGCAGCAGTTGCAGTGAGCCAGGATCACGCCATTGCGCTCCAGCCTGGGCGACAGAGCAAAACTCTGTCTAAAAAAAAAAAAAAGTCAAAAGAAAAACTGTTACCTCACTTTAATAATGATACTATACCTGTTTTAGAAAAAGTCACTTGCCTAATTCTTCTAGAGTGGTGAACTTTGATTTTGCTTTATTACCATTGTACCAAGACTGGGTTAACAGGGAAAATGGTTTTAAATAAAGCCTAGGCAACACTGCAAGGCCCTGTCTCTCACAACAAAAATTAGCCAGGCATGGTGGCACGTGCCTGTATTCCCAGCTACTCGGGAGGCTGAGGCAGGAGGCTTGCTGGAGCCCAGGAGGCCAAGGCAGCAGTGAGTCATGACTACACCACTGCGCTCAGCCCGCTGTCAAAGTGAGACTCTGTCTCAAGAAAATTAAAAACTGGTAAAATAAAAATAAACATTATTTCCATTAAAAAATTATATAATAATATGTTTTTTACTTTACTGGGTTAAACCTTACTCTTCTGCTTCTTGATTCAATTAGCAACTTCACTGAATGCCCCTGTGCCAGGCACAGTGCTAGATACTAGAAATACAAATGTGAGCCAGTTGTACTATAGTTATTCAGACATACATCTGCATAATTATTTGAGTAATGTCAGTCTTCCCCACTAAATAACTATAGTATTATTTTTATCAATCAAAACAGGTCTGTAAATGTACAAAGATGATGCCTAAAACATCAACTTCATGATAATATATTATTCTGTCAATGACTCCAGGATTCTCTCACTCACCAGGCTAGAAATTCTTTCTTTTCAGCACCCACAAATGATTTTTCTTAAAATACACCTGTTAAAACACTCAACAAACCAGGAATATAAGGAAACTACCTGAACATAATCAAGGTCTTATATAAAAAACTCATGTTAGTATCATATTCAACAGGGAAAGACTCAAAACGTTTCCTCTAAGATCAGGAACAAGCCAAGGATGCCTGCTTTTACCACCTCTAGTCGACACAGTACCGGAAGTCCTAGCTGAGATTAGGCAAGGAAAAAAATAAAAGGCATCCAAATTCGAAAGCAAGAAGTAAATTAACTGTTTGCAAATGACACGATCCTATATGTAGAAAACTCCACAAAAAAGATTCCACACACAAAAAAACTATTAGAACTAATAAATCAGTAAAGTTGTAGGATACAAAATTAACACACAAAAATGAGTTGCATTCTTAAACATTAACAATGAACAATCCAAAAGAGAAATTAAGACAAGAATCCTATCTACAATCACATCAAAAAGAATAAAATACTTAGGAATAAACTTAGACAAGGAGACAAAAGACTTTTACACTGAAAACTAAAAAACACTGCTGAAATAAAGACACAAATAAATGGAAAGATATTCCATGTTCATGGACTGGAAGACAGTATTTAGATGTCAACATTACCCAAAGCAACCTAGAGATTCAATACAATTCCTAACAAAATACTAATAGCCTATTTTTTGCAGAAATAGAAAAACCCATCCTAAAATTCATATGGCATCTCAAGGAATCCCAAACTACCAAAACAATCTTGAAAAGAACAAAGTGGAGTCTCACACTTCTTGATTTCAAAAGTTACTATAAAACTACAGTAATTAAAATAGAGTGGTATTGGCATAAAAACAAACTTATGGACCAATGGAATAGAATACACAGCCCAGAAATAAACCCTCAAACTTGTGGTCGAATAATTTTCAACAAAGGTGCCAAGACCATTTAATGGGAAATGGACAGTTTTCTCAACAAATGGTAATGCAAAAACCACGTATATGGTAATAGATATCCACACATAAAGACCTAAATTAAGAGCCAGAACTATAAAATTCTTTAAAAAAAAAAAAAAAAAAAAAAAAAGGCTGGGCACAGTGGCTCACACCTGTAATCCCAGTACCTTGGGTTGAGGCGGGAGGACCACTTGAGTCCAAAAGTTCGAGACCAGCCTGGGCAACATAGTGAGACCCCATCTCCTCAGAAAATTTTAAAAACTTAGCCAGGCGTGGATGTACGCACCTGTAGTCCCAGCTGTTCGGGAGGCTGAGATGTGAGGGCTGTTTGAGACCAGAGTTCAAGGCTACTGTGAGCCATAATCACACTAGTGTACTCCAGCCTTGGTGACAGACCCAGAACCTATCTATCTTTAAAAAAGAAAGAAAACATAGGGGAAAAGCTTCCTGACACTGGATTTAATAATGATTTCTTGGCTATGACACCAAAAGCATAAGCAACAAAAGAAAATCTAGGTAAGCTGGATTTCATCAAAATTAAAAACTGTGTGTACATCAAAGGACGCTATCAACAGGGTGAAAAGGCAGCCTACAGAATGGGAGAAAACATTTGCAAATCATGTCTGATAAGGGATTGATATTCAGCATACATAAGTAACTTCCACACTCAACAACAAAAAAAAATCCTAATTAGAAAACAGGGAAATAATGTGAATATTTTTCTAAAAAAATACAAAAGATCAATAAGCACATGAAAAGATGCTTAACATCACCAATCATTTTTAAAAAATGCAAACCAAAAACACAATGAAATATCACTTCATACTCATCAGGATGAATATTAGGAAAAAAAAACCCAAACAGCAAATAACAAGTATTGGTGAAGATGTAGAGAAACTGGAACCCTTGTGCACTGCTGGTGGGGTTGTAAAATTTTCTGGATATAAAATTCATAAAATAAATGAAAGCAGAGACTCAGATATTTTAACATCCATGTTCACAGCAGCTTTATTCACAACAGTCAAAATGTGGATGCAACTTAAGTGCCCATTGAGGGGAACTTAACAAAATATAAAAATAACATACAATGGAATATTATTCAGCCTTAAAAAGAAAGCAAATTGTGACACATGCTACAATATGGATGGACCTTGATGACATTATACTAAGTGAAATAAGCCAGATATAGAAGGACAAATACTGTATAATTTCACTTATACGTGGTACTTACAGTAGTCAAAATAAAAGAGACAGTAGAACTGTGGGTGCCAGGGGCTGGGGGTAAGGGAAAATGGACAGTTTCGGTTTAGAAATATGTAGTCATGAGCCTAAGAAAACTCCAAATGAAAGAATTCTACAGATGGATGGTGGTGATGGCATGGCTACACAACAATGTAAATGTACTTATGCCACAGAACTATACACTTAAAAATGGTTAAGATGGTAAATTGTATGTGGATTTTACCACAATTAAGCCCACAGATATCTGCTATCCAAATCCTTCCTACTGACTTTATCCGGGTCTAAGATCTCCTATTTGGGTTACTACAGCAGCTACTGTCTTCCTTGGTTCATTACATTCTCTCCTCACTCTAACTTAACCTGTAGATCATTAACAGGTTTACCTTCCTGGTTTACCACATTAATCCCTGGCCTCCAAACTTTCAAAGGCTCTCTATACCTTGCACAACAGGATAAAAGTAGAAATCTCCTCAATTCAGCACTCAAACTCTTCTACAGACAAATAGCTTTCCAACTGACTAAAGTTTCCTAACGAAAACATTCTCCTCAGGAAATTCAGTTGTCAGCTCATCCTAGTCTCCTTCTATTTCCCTCCCCCTAAGCTAATCTTCACTTTACACTCTTGCTTTTTCCTCACAAAGTAACTGCTACAATCTCTCGGTAAATCTAAACTTTCATAGGCCAGCTCAAATCCGAAGTTTCCCAAGTTCTTTGGACTCTTGGGGTCTCACTCATCTCTCTCTACCCTGTATACCAACAGCATTCTTTGCATTAGTAGAACTCACTAGATTGTCTTCGAGACTCATGTTGGTACACCTGATCTTTCCAATAAGAACTTGAGGGAAAAGTCTATATGTTAATGGCAAAAACTGCAGTTACTTTTGCACCAACCTAATATTATGTTTCTTTCCTTTCTTCCACATCATTCATCTAATGCAAAACAAAAAGCAGACCTTCAACAGTCACCTATGTAATTTTGGATGTGTGAGCTTCCGTGACTAGAATCTGAAATCAGAATAACTTTGGCATTACTGCACTTCCGAAGGTTTACCTGAGACACACTATAAAAATGCTGTGACTCAAGATGATACCTGGAAACTAGGTAGTGTAACCTAGAAATCAACACAGGTGCTTTAAATCCTAAAATCAGAGTCTGATAGAAAAACCTTGTTTAAATGCTGGTGTTGGGACACAAAACAATACAGTAGTCAGGTTTTGTGGGACAGAATATTGACCTATGAGTTTTACTGAATTCATGCAAGAATGAGCCATGCTAAAACTGGGTGAAAATGTAGTCATGAGCCTAAGAAAACTCCAAACGAAATATCACTCCGTTTTTATTAAGTTCAGGTTAGGAAAAAAAAAAAATCTTCATCAGTTACTTGAAGTAGCTGTCAGAATGAGACAGAGGCTCTCATTTTCGCTTTCAACTTTATTACACCAAAACCCTATGGATAGGGGTAGGTAGTGAATGGTGAAGAATGCAATCAATGAAAAGTAAGCAGCTCAGCAGTGTAGTAACAATGAGCTCTCTAAATGGGGTAATGGGGTGTAGAGGCCTACATCTTAGTTTTGGTCTAATCCATCGCCAGCTGTAGGATCCACAACAAGTCACTCGCCTCTCTGGGTCTGGTTTCCCGGCTCTAAAACAATATTCACACCTTTAGATCTCTAAAAGTTTTTCTGACTCCAAAATTCCATGACAAGTCTAATAACAGTTGCTATTAACAACGTATGATTCTTGCAAAGCAATTTCAAGTCTTTCTTCCACATTTCAGGAAGAAAGCAATTCATTTCAGCAATCTAAAGGAAACAGATGCTATTAGGGACAAAAGATTGTTAGTTGACCAGACCGGGCGCGGTGGCTCACGCCTGCAATCCCAGTAGTTCGGAAGGACGAGGCGGGCGGATCACCAGAGGTCAGGAGCTCGAGACCAGTCTGGCCAACATGGTGAAACCACGTCTCTATTAAAAATACAAAAACTAGCCGGGCGTGGCAGCGGGCGCCTGTAATCCCAGCTACTTGGGAGGCTGAGACAGGAGAATCGCTTGAACCTGAGAGGCGGAGGTTGCAGTGAGTCGAGATCGCACCACTGTTCTCCAGCCTGGGTGACAGAGCGAGACTCCGTCTCCCCCCCCCCAAAAAGGTTGTTAGTTGAAAAAGCTAAGTAATTCTGTAAAAATGTCTACTTTCTCATTACAGTAAGATGTTTTCGCAGAGTTAACAGTGCTCTGGTGTAGATAACCAAGACTGCTTCTGTAAATTAGGCCTACTCCAGAGTACTTATTATCTGTGCTGGTATGTGAAGACGTGCAATTGTAGTTCACAGGAGAAACAACACTCCTCAGAGTTTCTTGAAAAACGGTGAGAAAGTTCTCACCCTCGGGGTAAAGCTAGCAAACACTGTGCAAATAAGGTACTGAAATATGCACACTTTTTGCCATTCAAGTAGTCCAACAAGCACAGCCTCCTCTTCTTTATCAAACACTCGGTATTGTCTCCCTCCCAACCTGTCAAAGCTCAATTCCAGGTTTATCCCGCAATAGTAACTTACCCGGACAATCTAACTTCCCCTGGGAGTAGCAGTCCTCAGGCCTGCTCCCTTCCCAGACCCCGCCGGCCACTCTCACGCCCACCCCTGGCGGTCGCAACCCCGCACCCGGGTAAACACGCGCCCCCGTCTCGGGAGCGGTTTCTCAGCGTCCTGGGAGCGACGGGTCCCGCCCCTCGGCGCCCGGAGCCCAAAGCCGGCCGGGCTGCCGTCGCGACTCCCTCGGGCCGCTCTCCCCGCCCCGAGCGCCACACCTCGCGCCCCTGCCCCAGGGACGGCGGCGCGCTCCAGCCCGCCCCTCGGAGCGCACAGAGACCGGCCAGTCCGGCGCCGCCGCGCCTCAGCCCCAGACGGACGACTGGCCCCTCCCCGCCCGGCGCCCCAGCGCCTCCCGCGGCGGCTTGGCCCCAGCCCCGGCGCCCCCACGCCTAAGAACAGCCCCTTCCTCTCCCGGACGCCCCGCGCCACACCGGACACAGCCTCGGCTCCACAGCCTCAGAGACACCAAGGGACACTCACCCCGGAGGCTCCTCCCGCCGCTGCTGCTGCCGCTGGGACCGCTGCCGTCGCCTCCGCCGCCGCCGCCACCAGCACCGCCGTCCGCACCGGCGCCAGCACCCCCGGCCATCCTCCTCCCACCGCCGCCGCCGCCGCCCTCTCCTCTCCTGTCAGTGGCTCAGGCTCCGGGACTGCTCCAGGTTCCCCTCGCCGCCATTTTGACTCCTAGACGGAGCAGGAGGGGCTCGGTTCGGCGTGGCCCTGGGGCGCCTGCGCGGCGCTGCGGAGCCGGCCGGAGCCCCCGCCCTCCCCTGCCGTCGTCCCGCTCAGGGTCACGTGGCCCGACGTCGCCGCGCGAGTCGGGCCGCGTGGGGGGGCGGTGCGTTCGCTGGATCCATGGGAGCGGAGTGCGCGCGCATTATTTTTGCTCGTCGGCTGGGAGCCGGGCGTCGGGTCGCTGGGAGTTTGCCTCTTGTGGCAGCATCCTGCTTAGTCCAGCGAATTGTGACACATTATTAAATGTATCAGAATATAAGAACTGTGTCACTACTACGTCACCAGATGGCCATTTCCACGAATTCATGTTTCCGTTCGGCGGCCGGCGTCCCTCGGGTGGTCGCATGCAATGAGTGCATCTTTCTCGAGAACAACTCTTCCGCGGAAAGTCATTGCTGACAGTCCTGGCATTCCGGTGGCTGCTTCTTGGCAGTGAGCACTTGTCTATCGTAAGCACTTGTCTGCATGGTACTTTTACAGGCACCACCTTGCTACTTGTGTAGTAGGTTAAAAAATAATCTTTAAGACACTGAAAAGTTTTCCTTAACAAGATACCCCTGTAAACAAAGGACAAAATTGATGAAAACACACAGTCGCCACGTGGGAGAGCCAAGTCGCTCTTCCCTAGATGCCCCTTGTTTGGGGGTTTGCAATAATTTCAGCGATGCAATAACAAAAATACTGTATTTATGGGGCACTGTCGTTTTCCAGAGAGATCCATGGTTTCATTTGAACGCCAAAGCCACCCTTTGTGGTAGTCAGGATAGGTGTTTTTATTGCTGTTTTACAACCAAGGAGACAGGCTCAGAAATACTAACAAGTAGGCAAGCCAAGATCAGAACCCAGGCATTCTGAACCCAGTGAGGAGGCACCGTTACACCTCCTTTTCCTCTGATAGACATTAGCAACTCTGGGAATTTATTTGAAAGTATTGTATTTGCATTTTCAATCTCTACCCATTGTTTAACAAGTTTTGTGTCACACAGTTTTTTGTTGTTGTTGTTCTGAAACCACCTCTAAGCTTCAAAGGATAAGAGCAATTTGGAATTTTGTGATGTGTTTTTAACCATCTCTTGACCCTCCATTATTTTATGCTTTTCATATTCAGTTGGAGACAATATCATTGTTGTTTTCCTCTGGACTTCCTTCAGATTTGTATTTTCCTCACCCTCATTCTTCATCACCTTACTTCCTTGAAAAGGATAGCTCTTTCCAATTTGTATTACTTCATTTTCTTTACCCATCTCACCCTTTTCACCCTCTTACCCAATCCTTGAAGGTTTGGAGATTGTAGCAGAGATTGTAGCAGTCCCTTGCCTGAAATTCCCCTCTAGCTGGTAAGGGTCACTTCAGTTGAACATACAGCCTCAGGGCGATAGACAAGAAATGCATGGAAAAGTGAGAAAATATAAAAGAAATAGGTCCATCTAATTGGAGCCAATGATTACCTCTGAGTGTCCACCTCTTGTTCCACACTTTTATACTTCCCCAAAGGCGTAAGTGAACCTTATCTAAATTCAAGCCATTTACTGTTATTTTCCATCATTTTACCTTTGTCTTAATTTGCTAAATACAGTTAACACTTGAACAACACGGGTTTGAACTGTGCGGATCGATCAATGCAACCTGGTACATGGGATTCTAAACACCGTATTGAGAGGGCCGACTTTTCTTATACTCACATTCCACAGGACGGACAGGCAGACTTGAGTATGCTTGGATTGGGGTATATGTGGTGGGTCCTGGAACCAATCCCACGTATATAGTATATGGGGGATGACTGTATTGCATTAACTGAAAGAGCTATGATTAGCAAACTAAAAAGCGGTGTGTAAACACTGCTTCTTTATAATTTATGGAAATGTTAAATAAGATCAGTCCCCACTGTTTACACTTATTACTAACCTTTATTACTTGACTTTGCTTCTATTTCCTAGCCACAATTTAAAAAACAAAATTAAAATGGTATCAACAACAATAGAATTCTAAGTAATTTCAGGATAACACTTTTTCTAACAGCCTTTGATGTGGAAATCTAAAACTTTTTGAAAAGCCAAGTAAGGTCTGCTGGTTGCACCTTGTCCTTTTGTCTATCTGCACAGCTGGAGACTTCTAGTAGACTGTTTGGATCTAGAAACCATTTGTAAGTGATCCATGATTTTTTTCTACCCTTTAATTCATTCACTGTTTCCTTATTATACCATTTAACTGTACTTTTGAGATCCTGAATTAGCTCAGTTTACACACTCATCAGAATTTAGATGTTTATTTTAGTTCAGTCCGATACACATTTAAAGTATCCAGTACCATGTGCCAAGCACGGTACTACATGCTGGGGGTAAAAAATAAATGGATCTTTGTACTTAAGGAGCTTAGAATCTAAATAAGAAGACAGAGTGAAAAACATTTTTTTAAGGCTAGTGTTAAGATGGTACTAAGTAGTGGTTAACAGCATGCATTCTAGAATCAGATAGATCTGGATGGCCATATGACACAAATAGGTCAACCAGAACCTTTTCTGGAAATTTTTGCCACACTCTCAGAGGAGATGTTTCTTCTTACTCTATTTCTCCGGGATTATGACTCGAAAGGACATGTAAATTGGCTTTGTTTGCCAATGAGGAGAAAGCCATGTGCGGTAGGAAAGGAGGAAGACCATAAACAAAGAAACAAAGTGAGAGAAAGGAAAACCATGACATCATTTGAATACCTGGGCCTACCTGGGCCTGAAACCAACCCATCCCTGGTCTTTTCATTTTTAGAAGCCATTAAGTTGCCCTAACACCTCTTTTTATCTTAAGTTAGTTGGAAATGGGTAAAAACAGTGAACTTCTGTGGCTTTCAACCAAAAGTCCTGAATTTATGTTTTGTTCCTTTCTCCACTCCCTCCATCAGTGAATGGCATCCCATCCACCTGGTCATCTATGTTGAAAATAAGAGTAATCAACATTTCATGGTATATTCCATGGTCTGTCACTCCAGTCTTTTCCTTCCTTTGTACCCCCCTTTTTTACCACACATAACCATCCACTGAAACCCATTCCCACACTCATCTTCCTGGAAATACAGGATGGAAGCTGGGTTTTTGAAATTAAGGAGAAAAGACAAATTTTATCTCCCCCTATTTCTCTGCATGTAACAATCCTGTTTTCATGCATTTTTCTGAATTTCCTGAAGTCTAAAAGGTGAAGAGGATTGAAAACCCCAGAACAGTGATAAGTACCTTGTAGATGCTTAATTAAGAAGTGCTTAATAATTATTCAATTTTCAATTTTTTTTTTTCTTGAGACAGAGTCTTGCTCTGTCACCCAGGCTGGAGTGCAATGACGCAATCTCAGCTCAGTGCAACCTCCGCCTCCTGGGTTCAAGTGATTCTCCTGCCTCAGCCTCCCGAGTAGCTGGGATTACAGGTGCGTGCCACCATGCCTGACTAATTTTTTGTATTTTTAGTAGAGACAGGGTTTCACCATGTTGGCCAGGCTGGTCTCAAACTCCTGACCTCGTGATCCGCCCACCTTGGCCTCCCAAAGTGCTAGGATTACAGGCGTGAGCCACTGCACATGGCCTTAATAATTATTAAATTAACAAATAATACAATTAATAAAGGTTTTAGAAAATAATATTGGAAAATATTCATTGCCTTGGGGAAGAAAAGACAAGCAAGTCACAGAAAACATTAATCATGAAGACAAGATTCATAGATTCAACTGTATTTAAAATATGAACTTAAGTGCATCAAAATGTACTGATATGGTTTGGATGTTTGTCCCCTCCAAATCTCATGTTGAAATGTAATCGCCAGTGTTGGAAGTGGGACCTGGTGGGAGGTGTTTGGATCATGAAGGCAGATCCCTCATGAATGGCTTCACACTATCCCCTTGTGATGGTGGTGGGAGGCAGACAGGTTCCTAGGTGGGAAGGGGTGGGTCCCTGGTGAAACCCCACCTTCAAACCAGAGATGGCCTAAAGCCTGGGGGCCAGGCTGCCAGTTCCCAGTGAAGTCCACGACCTGGAGTGAGAACTTCCTTGATGCCTTTCAGCCAATAAAGTAGTGCTTTTTCCAGGCCCGCCCACAGACCAATTAGCATGCATTTCTTCCTGCCCATGGACCAATCAGCATGCACTTCATTCTGAGCCAATAAAAACCCCCAGACCCAGCCTAACTCACAGACTCATAGAGTCTACGCACTTTGGGTCTTGGCTCCTCTGAGAGCTGTTTGGTTGCCCAAAAAAGCTCTTCTTAAGTTTGTTTCCCCTCCAGTTGTCCATGTAACTTATTCTTCCTTGACATGGGACAAGAACTCGGGAACCTTCGAGTGGCAGGAGTGAAAGGAGCTGTAACACTTTCCTGACTGGCTAGCTGACCTGTGGATGGTGACATACTCCCAGACTGTAGGAGTGAAGAGTGGCGAACCTTCTGGGGCCCAGACCTGGGGATTCCCCAACCCAGAGTTGTAACACTATAGCCCTCCTGCCCTCTGCAGGTGCTGGGCTGCCACCTCACATGATAGGAAGCAGTGGCAGGGCTGGGCCAGCCCAGGAGCTGCAGCCTGGAGTGGGGTGGTGGGATTGAAAGAGCTTTAACACAAATGGGCTGAAACATGCCCCCCTGAAACACACCCCTCTGCTTGCCATGCTGTGGGTGACAAGGAGGAGAGAAGAGCTGCAGCCCTTCTGGGAGCCTAGACCTCAGGGCTCCCCAAACTAGGGCTGTGACATGCTGTAACACTCCCTTTGGGGCTCTGTGGTTCCTGGTGTTTCCAAGCTTTTGGGTGCCACTGTGTTTGCCTTGTCCAGATGCTGGTGCCCACAGTAGAAGCCGCTTGTGGTATGTCTGGTCCAGCTGCAGCCTCACATGGAGCTGGTGTCTATGCCAGTGCCTGGAGCTGCCCACCTCACCCCAGCAGCCAGTGTACCTGGCTGTGTGCAGTGGCCAGATCCCATGCTGGCTCACTCACATACCCCTCACTGCTCTGCGCCTGGCTCGCCCTTGGCAAGCATGGGATCCAGGCTGGTAGCACAAGCCGAGCGCAGCCTGCCAGGCTGAGTGGGCAGAATGAGCCTAGCAGGTGTGAGCAAAACTCAAGCAGAGGTGCTGCCGGCCACAGAGGTTTCCAGCTGGCGAAGCAACACCTGAAGGATCCTGTGACATTTTGGGATGAGTGAGTTCTCTGAATTCACTGGTGATCTGGTTGTTTAAAAGTGTGCACCACCTCCCACCGACCAGTCCATCTCTTGCCATGTGACACTGCTTGCTCTCCCTTTGCCTTCCACCATGATTATAAACTTTCTAAGGTCTCACCAGTAAGGCCTGCAGAACTGTGAGCCAATTAAACCTCTTTTTAAAATAGATTACCCAGACTTAGGTATTTCTAGCAACACAAAAACGGACTAACACATACACAGTGGGGGAAAAAGACAAGCCATACAATGGAAAAAGATATTTGTAATACATAAAACCAAAAAAGAGCTTATATCCAGCATATGTAAAGAATGCTTACAATTTAGTAAGAACAAGACAACCAAACAGGAATGACAAAAGACTTGAACGGCTGAGTGCAGTGGCTTATGGCTGTTATCCCAGCAGGTTGGAAGGCCCAGGTGGGTGGATCTCTTGAGCCCAAGGGTTCAAGACCAGCCTGGGCAACATGGCAAAACTCTGTCTCTATGAAAAAAAGACAAAAATTAGCTGGGTGTGGTGGCATGTGCCTGTAGTCCTAGCTATTCAGGTGGCTGAGGTGGGAGGATCATTTGAGCCTGGGAGGTGGAGGTTGCTGTGAGCTGAGATCACACCACTGCACTCCAGCCTGGGTGACAGAGTAAGACCGTCTCAAAAACAAACAAAAAAAACTTCAGACAAATTAAATTTAATAGAGTTTACTTGGTTAAAATGATTTGTAAATTGGGCAGACCCCTTAACCAGAAGAGGTTCAGAGTGACTCTAGAGCTGCTATGCAGTCTGAGAATATTTATGGATAGGAAAAGGAAAGTGATGTACAGAAAATGGAGGTGAGGTACTAAATAGAGCATCCTTGACATAAGTAATGCCATCTTAGAAAAAGACTCCATCATATATTTTAAAAGGCATCATGCCAACAGGGTACAGATGTTCACACAGAGACAACCCCCAACCAGATTAGAGTGTAACCCTTTACTATCAGCCCTCACCAGATGACTCAAAGACTTTAGCAGGACTTGATCAGCTCTAGATGGCCATTTTTTTCTTTATTTTTCTTTTTTTTTGAGACAGAGTCTCACTGTGTTGCCCAGGCTGGAGTGCAGTGGCGTGATCTCGGCTCACTGCAAGCTCCACCTCCCGGGTTCACGCCATTCTCCTGCCTCAGCCTCCCGAGTAGCTGGGACTACAGGTGCCTGCCACCACGCCCGGCTAATTTTTTGTATTTTTAGTAGAGACGGGATTTCACCATGTTGGCCAGGCTGGTTTCAAACTCCTCACCTCGTGATCGACCCGCCTCATCCTCCCAAAGTGCTGGGATTACAGGCGTGAGCCACTGCGCCCGGCCTAGATGGCCATTTTAACAGATACTGTCTTTCTGTTACTCGTGGTCAGCACCTGGCATTTGCCTCTGAAGGCTCTGCCCAAATCACAGACTTTTCCTTGAAAGATGTTGATGACTGTCTGGATTAGCTCAGGACATTCTGTTTGTCCGTGTTGCTCTCCTTGTACTGGTTTGTTAACCCCTTTTACTATTTTCTTTTCTCCTGATGTTAAATTTTACTTTGATGTGGAAATTTTAATCTATGACATTTACACATTAAATATGCTAGTATGTATGGTTGCAATATTGACTGACTTGTGGATTGGCTTGAGTCTGTGCCCCCATGGCTCTGACTAGAGTGAACGGGAAGTAATAAGGAGAATGGCCTGTTTGGTTACTCTATTAGCTCATGGCTTTCGTGATTGAATAAGCATCAAAAAATGTTTGACCTTGTAGAAAGACACAAAAGTGCATGGACCTGGTTATGTCTGACCTTGTGCTGTTCATGACAGCTATAGAAACACCTGGACTGGTTACAACTTGGCAGTTGCCTTATTTGAATATGGTTTTAAGAGTTGGACACCTATGCTGGGTGCGGTGGCTCATGCCTGTAATCCCAGCACTTTGGTAGGCCAAGGTGGGCGGATCGCGAGGTCAGGAGATCGAGACCATCCTGGCTAACGCGGTGAAATGCCATCTCTACTAAAAATATAAAAAATTAGCCAGGCATGGTGGCGGGTGCCTGTAGTCCCAGCTACTCGGGAGGCTGAGGCAGGAGAATGGCATGAACCCAGGAGGCGGAGCTTGCAGTGAGCAGAGATTGCGCCACTGCACTCTAGCCTGGGCGACAGAGCAAAACGCTGTCTCAAAAAAAAAAAAAAAAAAAAAAAGAAGGCCACCTATGACTGGCCTGGCCAAAACTCTGTGATTAGTACGAAAGTAGTTTACAATCTGTTTATACATCCAGTCAGGTTACAGTTCACTATGTAGGAGAAACTTTTTTTTTTTTTTTTTGAGACAGGGTATCACTCTGTTTCCCAGGCTGGTGTGCAGTGACATGATTATAGCTCACTGCAGTCTTGACCTCCCCAGCCTCAGATGATTCTCCCAACTCAGCCTCCTGAGTAGCTAGGCCTACAGATGTGCACCACCATACCTGGATAATTTTTGTATTTTTTGTAGAGATGGGGTTTTGTCATGTTGCCCAGGCTGGTCTCAATCTCCTGGGCTCAAGCAATCTGCCCATCTCAGCCTCCTAAAGTGCTGTGATTACAGGTGTGAGCCACCATGTCTGGCCTACGAGAAACCTTTAGGCCCAAGTTAAAATACGTAAGGACGCAGCTTCAGGCTACACTTAATCTAATAATGGATACACATACTGTCTGATTTAACCTCCATATCCACATTCTAAGAGAAATATGCTTTATTTTCCTGAGGCTATGTGGTTAGTAAATGATAGTGCTGGAATTTGACCTTTGATCTTTTGGACCCCAACTGCCAATCTTTTCATGTCAGTATAACAGAAATCCATTGAAGAATATCTAGATGTAATTCAGGAGAAGAAGAGGAATGTGAAATTTAAAAATGAAAAGGTGGCCGGGTGCAGTGGTTCACGCCTGCAATCTTAGCACTTTGGGAGGCCGAGGTGGGTGGATTGGGAGTTCCTGAGGTCAGGAGTTCGAGACCAGCCTGACCAACATGGAGAAACCCCGTCTCTACTAAAAATACAAAAATGAGCCAGGCGTGGTGGTACATGGCTGTAATCCCAGCTACTCAGGCGGCTGAGACAGGAGAATCGCTTGAACTTGGGAGGCAGAGGTTGTAGTGAGCTGAGATCGCACCACTGTACTCCAGCCTGGGCAACAACTGTGAAACTCCGTCTCAAAAAGAAAAAAAATGATGAAAAGATGCCAGGTGTGGTGGTTTATGCCTGCAATCCTAGCACTTTCGGAGGCTGAGGCAAGAGGATTGCTTGAGCCCAGAAGTTTGAGACCATCAGCCTAAGCAAAATTGTGAGACTCTGTCTCTACAAAAAAAAAAAAAAAAAAAATTAGCTGGGCATGGTGGTGCATGCCTGTGTTCCCACCTACTTGGGAGGCTGAGGTGGGAGGATTGCTTGGATCCAGGAGTTCAAGGCTGCAGTGAATGTAAACCAAAAATAAAATTCTAAGGCCTCCCCCACCATCTAAATGAACCCCTCCTCTCTGCCAAGGGCATGCCACAGTTAACCCAACAGGGCAGCCATTAAATCTTAAAGCTCCAAAATAATCTCTTTTGACTCCATGTCTCACATCCAAGACATACTGATGCAAGAGGTGGGTTCCCAAGGCCTTGGGCAGCTATTCTTGTGTGGCTCTGCAGGATACAGGCCCCGTGACTGCTTTCACAGGCTGGTGTTGAGTGCCTGTGGCTTTTCCAGGTGCATGGTGCAAGCTGTTGGTGGATCTAACATTCTGAGTTCCGGAGGATGGTGGCTTTCTTCTCACAGCTCCACTAGGCAGTGCTGTAGTAGAGACTCTGTGTGGGGGCTGCAACCCCACATTTCCCCCTCTCCATTGCCATAGTAGAGATTCTCCATGAGGGCTCTGCCCCTGCAGCAAACTTCTGCCTGGACATCCAAGAGTTTTCATACATCCTCTAAAATCTAGGTGGAGACTCCCAAAGCTTAACTCTTGTCTTCTGTGCACCCACAGGACCAATACCACATGGAAGCTTCCAAGGCTTGGAGCTTGTTCCCTCTGAAGCAATGACTCAAGCTCTACCTTGATCCTTTTTAGCCATGGCTGGAGCTGGAGTGGCTGGGACACAGGGCACCATGTCTTGAGGCTGCACAGAGAAACAGGGTCCTGGGCCCACCCCATGAAGCCATTTTTCCTTCCTAGGCCTCTGGGCCTGTGATGGGAGGGGCTGCTGTGAGGATCTCTGAAATACCCTGGAGACATTTTCCTCATTGTCTTGGCCATTGACATTTGGCCTCTCTTTACTTATGCAAATTTTTGTAGTTGGTGGCTTGAATTTCTCCCCACAAAATGGGTTTTTCTTTTCTACCACATGGTCAGGCTGCAAATTTTCCAAACTTTTATGCTCTGCTTCTGTTTTAAGCATAAGTTCCAATTTCAGACCATCCATTCATAAATGCATATGACTGTATGCTTTCAGAAAAAGCTAGGTCACATCTTGAATGCTTTGCTGCTCGGAAATTTCTTCTGCCAGATACCCTAAGTAATCTCTTGCAAGTTCAAAGTTTCACAGATCTCTAGGACAGGGGCAAAATGCTGCCAGTCTCTTTGCTAAGGCATAGCAAGAGTGGCCTTTGTTTTAGTTCTCAATAAGTTCCTCATCTCCATCTGAGACTATCTCAGCCTGGACTTCATTGTCCATATATCATACTATCAGCATGGTATCATATATCATACTATCAGTATTTTGGTCAAAACCATTCCACAGGTCTCTAGGAAGTTCCAAACTTTCCCACATCTTCCTGTCTTCTTCTGAGCCCTCCAAACTGTTCCAACCTCTGCCTATTACCCAGTTCCAAAGTGACTTCCACATTTTTAGTTATCTTTATAGCAGTACCCCACTCCTGTTACCAATTTTCTATATTAGTCTGTTTTTACACTGCTATAAAGAACTACCTGAGACTGGATAGTTTATAAAGAAAAGAGGTTTAATTGATTCATAGTTCTGCATGGCTGGGGAGGCCTCAGCAAACTTACAATCATGGTAGAAGGCAAAGGGGAGCAAGGGGCATGTCTTCTTATATCATCTTCTATTACTGTTGTGCTTGCAATCCAAGTGTGTTACTGATGTTGCCAGTTGCAGAACTTGAATATGTTTCCCACTTTTGCAACTCTTCTGCTTTTGTTGCTTACTTATCTGAGTATCTCGATCATTGAGGTTGTGCAATTGTAAAGACAGATGCAAATACAAAGAGAAACACTTTGTTCCTCAAAGGCCTTTGGTTCTTTTTTTTTCCTCCCCTATTTTTCAGAGACTTTTGTTCTGAAGCCTTTGGTTCTTGAATCAGAATTAAACATGTTTTTCTAGAGAGGAATGAATTTGAGATATTTGGGGCTGAGGTAGTGCAATCTTAATTCATTATATAATTTTCTAGAACTTTAACACCAGTTTATTTAGAGCATGAATATTTATAAAAATCACATTATAAAAGGTAAGTGGGCGAGGGTGTCTTTCTCATTCATTGTGTACATACAGCTCAGAAAACCTGATCTCTAGGTTATAGCTCTAATTAAGTTCTTTTATATAACTGCAGAAGGAAGTTCTTGCATTGTGGGTCACTGAGAATACATCGAATCCCAGCCCACTAAACCCTTTATTGAAAATTGTAGAGGTTTGAGTTAACAGTGCTAGTCTTTTGTGACTTGCAGAAATTAAACTGAGGAATGTTGTTTGTATTGGTAATTTGAGCAGCTAAAAGAGCTGTCTCCTGGGGTGGGGGTGGGTGGCAGGGAGCTTAATTGTGTTGTGGCTGAATTTGGAGTCACCACTGTCGAAAGTGTTTTAAGGCTTTTGTTACAGAGAAAGACCTAAAATGCTTAAATCTCACTTGAATTGCACTCTCTTCTAAACTTCTCAAGATTAGGATTAAACCAGTCAAGCTTGCCTATTATTGGGCTCTTTCTCACTTTACTTCAGAATTTTTGTTGCTTTTTAAAAATTAAAAATGGGGTATTACCCAAAGAAAAAAGTCTTGACTAATATCGTCTTTCTTAAAGCTCTTTTGTTGTTAGCAATAGAAATGCAGCACCACCTAGTTTAAGCCCAAAGCAGGATTTATCATAAAGTATATAAAGAGAGGCCCAGAACTCAAGGAGAGGAAAGTGTCCTAACTTCAGAATAGGGAGAATTCAAACCAGGGCTTTGAACACAGGCAGGATATTCCCTCTGGTTCTTATCTCTGGTTCTTTGAGCAGCTTGGCTACATTATTAACTCACTGTGGAAGGGCTTTCTTGCTAGGCAGGGAAAAAAAAACATGGCTCCCAAGTTACAACATCCATCCCAACCAACAGACTGGGTCCCAGCCCTCTCTTTGGTCCAATATTTGAGTCAAGTAGTGTAACAACTGTGGCCAGGAAACAGAGCAATGTTGCACTAAATCATTTCTTACAGGACTCGTGTAAATCACAGGTGCTCAAATTATTATCTGGGGATATCTAAGGCAAAATTAGAGTTTACCTGATGTGACTGGGCAGGATGAGCCAAGGGAAGACTGAGAACAAGGAGATGAGGTTAGGGAGGTGGCCAGCCATGGTTCATGCAGGTCCTTGATTGGTTAGGGTAAGATTCCAGAGCACAGTTGCCCAGTGGAAATGTAACATGGGCTGGGCATGATGGTTAACTCCTGTAATCCTAACATTTTGGGAGGCCGAGGCAGGTGGATTGCTTGAGGCCAGGAGTTCAAGACCAGCCTGGGCAACATGGTGAAACATGCCCCAGAGTTAGGAGGCGGGGCCTTTGGGAAGTAATTAGATCATACCACAGCCCTCATGAATAGGATTAGTACCCTTATAAAAGAGGCCCTAGAGAGCTACCTTGTTGCTTCCATCATACGAGGACACAACCAGAACAAGGAAGTGGGCCCTCACTGGACATCAAATCTACCAGCACATTGATTTTGAATTTCTAGCATCCAGAACTGTAAGAAATACATTTCCGTCATTTATAAGCCATCCAGTCTGTTGTATTGTAACAGCCTGAACAGACTGAGACAGTAACAGAAAGGAACAAAAGTAACTGACCTGCTTCTTCATATTCATAAGCATGAAATGACAACCAAGGATCATAAGATACTTGAATAAAACTGGCAAGTTCAAAATAAATAAATAGAATGTACGCTAAAGAAACACAGTTCATGGAATAGAGATAACTTTTTAAAAGTTCAGATTAATATTCTGAAAGAAATCTAAAGTGATAATATCTATAAAATACTAACAGGTGACTGTAAAAGCAAAAAATAGTATGTTTTAAAACTATAATTCTAAAATAAAAAATCATGGGCTAGAAGAAAAAGTCAAGGAAATCCTGCAAAATGTAGAACAAGGGACAAAACGTTGATGAGTGAGAAAAAGGTTGAAAGACAGAGGTGACCCGCTAAGAAGGGCCAGTGTCCGTCAATAAGAATTTTAGGTTGAGAACAAAGAAAACAGAGAAGCAAATAAATAGGAATAGTGCTCCTATGGCTAAAGAACCATGACTTCAGATAGAAAGGTCTTACCCACTGCTAATCCATATGAATGGAAAAATACCCATATCTAACAGTATCCTGGAGGAACGTCACAATTCCAAAGACAAAAAGGAATGCCTAAAAGATTCCCAAAAGGAAAAAAGAGGGTACTCAAAGGAATGACAACTATATTGGCATTATATTTATCGGCTCACTAGATGCTGGAAAAGAAAGGAACAATGCCTTTTGAAAATCTCTGAAGGACAATGATTTTGAGCCCAGAGTTCTATAACCATTCAAATTAGCATTTAAATGGAGACCAATATATATATATTTTGATTTCCAAGGACTGAGGAACTTTATCACCTACAAACCCTTCCTGAAAGAACAGCTTAAGGATGTACTACAGCAAAACGAAAAGAAATCTAAGAAAGAGGAAGATACCAGGCTGCAGGAACAGAGGAATCCAGAGAAACCCTAGAGTGTTACTCGTGCAATAGGCCCCCAAAAGAAATAATGTGAAGACACAGGATCATTGTAGTGGATAAAGTTTTATTACAGTACTAAATTTAAAAATCACAGTATATTTACTTTTCCCTCAAGAGGGTCTGGGCACAGTGCCTCATGCCTGTAATCCCAGTACTTTGGGAGGCTGAGACAAGAGGATGGCTTGAGCCCAGGAGTTTGAGATCAGCCTGGGTGACACAGTGAGACCTGTCTCTACAAAAAAATAAGAAAATTAGCCGTAGTGACAGATAATTACATCACTGTTTCTACTGGGTCCAAACACTCTATTTGACCCTGCCATGAATATTTTTTATATCATCAGCCGACTATAGAAACTTGTTCTTGGTTTTCAGTGTTAAGAATTAACCTATAGACATTTTATGGAAGATTTAATTTGCATTAGAAACAGTGTGCTATAAACTCTGCCAATGCCAGGGCATGTTAAGAGGTATATAAAGTATAGGTAGAGAGGAAGACAAAGGAAAGGAGTAGGGGTGCCAAGTCCCTCACCTTACCCTGCAGAAAAGAGATACTTAGTGTGAGGTGGGGTTGGGGCTCAGGGGAGGGTGGCAGGAGAGTTTAGGAGAGGATAGGACACGTGGGTGGAAAGTGAGGTGAATGAGGGCTGGGAGGTTGCAGGGAGCCCTGAGTGGAAAAGGCGGGGCAGAGCAGGGGGTACTGAACTGAAGAGAGTGGAGCAGAGCAGGGGTGTGCTGGGTGGAAGGGGTGGTGCAGAGCAAGTGGTGCTAAGCAGAGGGGGTGGGGCAAAGCACGGACTGCTGAGTGGAAAGGGCAGTACAGAGAAAGGAGTGGTGAGCGGAAGAGGCGGGGCAGAGCAGGAGGTGCTGGGCAGAAGGGGTGGGGTAGGGGGCGAGGGCAGAGCGCCCCCTCGTGGCTGGGGCGCCTGCGCAAACCAGCTGCCTCACGAGCACTGGAGCTTGCGTTACTTGGCCTCACCTCACCTGTGCTGTCCACGCCTGGCTTTGTCTCACCTGACGCGATATGCCTCTCCTGCGTGGGCGCTGTCCTGCCCGCCGCCACTACCGCCGCTTGGCCCTGCTCGGCCTGCAGCCCGCTCCCCGCTTCGCCCACTCGGGGCCCCCGCGCCAGCGGCCCCTGTCTGCCGCGGTGAGTTGAGGCCCAGCCATCATGGTGGGCGGGAAGCGCGTGGCCCTGGCGGGGCGCCCCGACGGGTGGGGAGAAGGGAGGACACGGCGTGCAGGCCTCGCGTGGGAGGCTCTTGTGGCTTGGTCGCCGTTGGGGGAGGTTCCTGTGGCTTGGTCGCCTTTGGGGGAGGTTCCTGGGAGAGGGTCGCGGTGAGGATGCCGTCGTCGGGCACAGGGGCGGAAAGCCCGGGACCCTGAGGAACGCGCGGGGATTGGGCCTCCTTCGTTGTTACCCTTTACCGGCACCTGGCTCGGGGGCGGGGCTGTGGTTTCGCGGAGGAATGATTTACCATCCTCGGACGTCCTCGGCACTGCGAAGATCTAGCGTTTTCGATAAAATGGTGGAAATCCTGGGCCACATCGAAGTTCCAGAGTGCGAAGGTTGGAACCGGAGACCCCTTAGATGAAAAATGAATTAAAAAAAAAAATCAGGTGATCCATGAATCGATTTTCAGCATTTTAGATTTCACTAGGCGCCTGTTTCTAGGACAACGGTCTAGGTGCTCAAAATGTTTTTTTTAAGCACTTTTTGTTAGGCAGCAAGTCACTGGCCTAGGAAGCCATACTCAGCAGCGCGTGTCATCTTCTCTTCCAGGAAATGGCTGTTGGACTTGTGGTGTTTTTTACGACCTTCTTAACACCAGCTGCATATGTGCTAGGCAACCTGAAGCAGTTCAGAAGGAATTAGATGGAAGATGATGTTGAACAGCTGTTAACGTCCAAAAAACTTTCAGAAAAAGCTGTGTTTTTGTTAACGAGCAAAATTGCCTAGTTGAGTTGATGCAACCATTGTGGTATTCACTTTCCTCATGTTTATGATGAATATTTTGCACTTTTTTAGTACTGTGCATTATATAGATGTATAGTCAAAAATGTTCTGCTTAAGTGTTAAATAAAACGGAAACACTTATTCGTGCTTGGTAATATGTGTGCAGATTATTTTCTAAACATCGTGAAAGCTGATGAAAATTTACCGAGAACTGCTGTGAAAGGTCTGACTTAGTGACTCAGGGAGTGACATTGTTACTATATGGGAGTGAATGTATCTAGTGACATCACCCTTAAAAGATTAGATGTGTAGCTGTGAGGTAATATAAGTTTAGCTAAATGGTTTTTATGTTCTATTAGTACTGCCATGCCACACTTCACAATTTGCTGTGAGAAGTACAACCATTTCTTTGCCTCTTTAAATGACTACACGTCAGAATGTGAAGAATGAGTACATCTCCTATTTTAATGATTTTATTATCTTCTCTTAGTCTTCTGTGAGGTTTGAAGAATCATACACATCTTTGAACTGTCTTAGCTGTTGATGATGCTGTTATCATGGGCAACATAGTTCAACTCTGAGTCTTGGTTTCCTTATCTCTGTAATGGGGACTTAAAATTGCTGTCTTGAAGTGATGTTGTGGAAATAAAACATTGAACAAAGAAAGATAAAGTACCTCTCAACATAGTACCTGAAACAATAGTCAATAAATAGAAGTTGGGCAACCCGCTGGGGTCCCCTTCCGCACTGTGGAAGCTTTGTTCTTTCGCTCTTCGCAATAAATCTTGCTGCTGCTCACTATTTGGGTCCGTGCCGCCTTTAAGAGCTGTAACACTCATGGCAAGGTCTGCAGCTTCACTCCTGAAGCCAGCGACACCACGAACCCACCAGAAGGAAGAAACTCCGGACACATTTGAACATCTGAAGGAACAAACTCCGGACACACACCATCTTTAACAACTGTAACACTCACCGTGAAGGTCTGCAGCTTCATTCTTGAAGTCAGCGGGACCAAGAACCCACCAATTCCGGACACAATAAGTGATTAACAGCAGATATACCAATTGTGAGAAACACATATTCACCTGGCCAAACCCTTGGAGACATGAAGAACAGCAGAAGCGAGACTTTTAATGGCAGACTTGCAAGACTGGCCGTCTGGTAGGCAGGCACACCTGGGGCAGTTACAGCAGGTAATTTATCCCCTAGCATGTAATAAGTCCCTCCCCGAGTTCCTCACTAGTCAAGTACTATGGGGTTACAATCTTCCTGGATGTTGCCTAAGTTTCATTATCCCCCTATAAGGTTATACCCCAGTCCCCTTCCCCACTTAAGTTTTGATTTCCCAATAACAAAACTTTCTTCCCTTTTATGGGCTGATCTCTCCTCTACATTCTGTTTGCTTATTGACCTTCTAGGTGCGTGAGCTGTGTGGTTTGTTACATCCACAGGCTGGCTGCACGTACTTAGATTTATCATGCCTTGAAAGTGGACTGTTTAAAGTGTTTTCTCACACCAATTATTTTATATCTACCTTCGCTAAATATTTCAGGTTCAATAAAAACAGCTGAGGCTTCTGAATTATTGGCAAAATGTCCTTGTGGTTAAGGTTCTTACTCAGGTGAACCTGATGTTCACAGGCTTTATAAATGATTAACAGAAATAATTTTAAATGACAACTAGTTTTGTCTAATATCTTCATTTTTCAGAAGTAATCTAGATAAACTGTTAAAAATAAAAAAAATTAAGTGCATAAAAATAGGATAAATGCTTCCAGGTAAACTTTTTATGTAATTTTAAAATCGTAAAATTATTTTGGATGCTTGTTGAATATTTGGGTCATTTCTAACTAAGAAAGGGTTATAATATGGGAAAATGTATTTCTAAAATTGTAGAGTGGTTTCGTCTATAAAATGTTCACATCTGATAGTTCAGGATTTCTTGCTTCCTAGGTTTTCACTAAAATTTAAGGTTACTAAGAATAAGAATTCTAGTTAATATATAATTCTTATATAATTCTAAAAGTTGTGTTCTTGAGAAAAAATAATTTTGTATAATTTAGAAGTTATTCAAAAGTTAAAAAAGGTAAAAAGAAAATAGGAAGTAAAAGAGATGTGAGAAAAGTTATGAATGTGAATATATTTTTGGTAAGTAAGATTGTTTAAAAATAATAATTTTATCTAAAGATCTTGTGTGGTAAATTTTTGTCTTAAAGTAAAATAACTGGTTATTTTTAAAAAGAACTGTAATGTAAGACAAGTAAGAAAGTAAAAAATGTTATAAATGGGCTGTGTAAGTGGTTATAAGGTATAAGAAACAGAATTTATAAAAGGAACGTTGTAAGTAATTAAGTTGGTTATAATTAAAAAGGAAACCATTATAATAGTCTTTCTAAAGGTTAGCCCCTTACATTAAAACAGGGGTTACTTAAGGTATTGCTTTGCTTTTAGGGAAATTACAAGAGGTTTTGATTTTTAATTATATAACCAATTTCTTTTAAAAACTTCTTAGATTCGTATCTCAGAGGTTCAACATTTGTTGTGTCTTGTTGCTTTCAGCTTTTCCTCCCCTTGAGAAGGCTTGAGATGACAACTCTCTTCCTCAGTTTTTTCATCACACCTGAAATTTTTTGCCTCTAGTTCCAGCTGTTGTGGCCTAATACTAAAATGTTTTATCTTCAAAGTCTAAAAAAGCAATGTTTACCTCCAGTATAACTTTATCTGTACTCTTGATTTTTCTTGATAAGTCTAAATTTTTCAATGTAATCAGGAATTTCTCATGCTATTACTAAGAGTCATGTATTCTCCTGCTATACTCATAACCTTGAACAGACTCTGTGTCTGATTAAATTCATGTACTCTTTTCAACAGGTTTGACTTTTGGGTTATCTTTAGATAAAGCCCATTTATGGGCTTCCCATAAAGAGAAGCAATTACACTGCAGGAAGTTTTCTTTGCCTTTTTGGTACTTGGCTTAAAAAAATGAAGATTTTACATTTTATTAATAGCAAAATAATTTCTATATTATATTCGTAGGTTTTTGATTCTTTAGGAAAACTAAAATTTAAAAGGGCTAAGGTATTTATATTCATATAACTTTGTGTATTGCTTTTAAAGTCTTTTAATTATCAATCTTTGGTTAAATGAACACATTTTTTGTTTTGGTGAAATGTTTTGAACCTTTTAACATCTTTAATAAATATTCTTGAAATAAAAAATAAATAAATAGAAGTTATTGTTTGAGGATATACAAGTTTGCTAATATTCATTCATTCAACAAATACTGAATTCCTGTGATGTGCCAGGTGTTATGTGAGGTCAGTATACCCCAAATAGACTCCTTCCTTGTTTAGCTTACAGGTCTTAGAGGGCTAATGTTTTGTTACTTTAGTATTTTTACATTTCTATCTCAAAATTTATATTGATGTATTAGTTGATGTTCTCCGTAGAAACAGAAAAAATAGGATGTGTATATATACACATTTATATATGGAGAGAGAGAGAGATTGGTTTATTTTAAGGAATTGGCTCGTGGTTGTGGAAGCTGGCAGGTCAAAAATCTGCAGGATAGGCTGGCAGGCAGGAAGACATAGGAAGGAGTTGGAGTTCCAGTCTGAGGACAGTCTTCTGTCAGAATTCCCTTTTTGCTAAGGCCAGTCTTTAAAGCCTCCGACTGATTGGATGAGGTCCACCTACACTTTGAAGGACTATCTTCTTTATTCAAGGCCTACCGATTTAAATGTTAATCTCTTACAGTCTTCACAGAAACACCTAAATGGTATTTGACCAGATACCTGGGAACTGTGGCCTAGCCAAGTTGACACAAAATTAACCATCACAATTGGATAAAATTATTTTTCGGAGTGAGAGAGCATGAAAAAGGTTGGTGATACCCTGAAATGTAAAGGTGTGAGCACAGTGGCTAATCAAAATATTAGCAGTTTCTTAAGATCTATCTTCGCTGTTCACTGGTTGCAAACCTGCTCCTAGGCCCTTTACGTGAACTCCCATCGGGACACAGGCTCAATCTTCTGATTTCTTGTATTCAGTGAGACCTTACTTTTGCTGCCAATTTTGAACTTACTTTTTCCTTCTCTAACTTTGGCGGCTTTGTATTTCAGCTTCTGATGCCTACCTTCATGTGCTCCAAATTATGGCAAAAGACAGCTTTACCCTCCTAGCTGGGGAAGAATATTGAACTATAGGAATCTTTTCCATAGAACTTTAGCACTTAGTGTTTTGAACCGTTTGACACTCAAGTTATTGAGTACTCTCATGCAATAATACTGTATGTTGGGAAATGGTACCTTATTTTGATGAATGAACTCTGTTGCCCTGTCTCATTAATTTTACACTCATAAAGGTGTCACATTCAAGGTACAGTTTGTTCTTGTTTGGGGTAGTTTTGTTCTATAAAGGCACTGTGAACACTGAATTAATGAATACTGAACTCCTAGGGGAAATTCAGGGTTAAGTTCCTGTGAGCCTCTGGTCATAACATTTTTGTCAGCCTCTCAGTCTATAACTTATTTTATGTCTGTTTCTTTTTAAAAACACCTTATTTAATATACAGATGCTCTTGGACTTAACAATGGGGTTACCTCCTGATAAACCCATTGTAAATTGAAAGTATTGTAAGTACTGTAAGTTGAAAATGCATTTAATCCACCTAACCTGAATATCATAGCCTACCTTAAACGTGCTCAGAACACTTATAAATCAAGTGCTGTTTTAAATGGAACCTATTTATAGTTTATGCACATATGCACAAACATAGACATACAATATGATACTTTGGTAGGTTCAACAGTTGGGGGAATCACATCTCTAATGTCATATGTGATGTCAGCCTTCAATCAGCTGAGCTTCCTTATTCCACTGTTCCCACCACACCTTGACTTGACATCACTGAGATTTCTACTTCTTTCTTCTCCACAGGACCCTGCTATTTTTCCTTTTACTTATCGAACCTTATCTTTTTGTAGTATGTGGAACTACTTTATTTTTTATTTTTATTTTTTGAGACAGTATCTCACTGTGTCGCCCAGGCTGGAGTGCAGTGGCACAGTCACAGCTCACTGAAGCCTTGAATTCCTGGGCTCAAGTGATTTTCCCACCTTGACTTCCCAAAGCTTTGGATTATAGGCATGAGCCACTGTGCCCAGCATATTCAGCATATTCAAACTCTGTTTGAAATCACCTTTGCCATAGTATCACACACTGTGGTTTGGCTGCATCTTATTTTCCTGCTATGAGTTTGATAGTTCTTTCTTAGTCTTAGCCTCTCTTTTTTTCTGTTGTAAAATTTATTCTTTCTTTGTATTCTCATTCCTTGAGTAACTTCAGTTACCATATACTTGTTTACTCCCATATCAATCACCCTGTCCCATATCGTTCTCCTGAAATCCAGATAATTTTGTGTATTTGCTTAACATTTCCTCTTGAATATTGTGTAGACACTTCAGATTTAAAAATCCAAACCTGAAACCTTTCTCTCCTCAAACTTGCTCTTCTTCCTGTGCATTGAGTGATTCGTTCAATATTTGATCACGTTTGGACACTTACTGTACACCACTGTACACTGTGCTAGGAACTGGATATTTACTGAAGAACCAAAAAGAAAAAGTCAGTGCCCTAACTTGCTCTAGAGGAGGAGATAGACAAACATGTAACCTTAAATACAAAGACAAAGTCAGTGCCCTAACTTGCCCTAGAAGAGGAGATAGACAAACATGTAACCTTAAATACATAATCAAAAATAGGGTATGGAAAATAGCCATGGGACCTAACTTAAACTGGGGGAGGAGGGAGTCACAGAAGTTATGTTTGCTAACATGTTATTTAAGTTGACCTGAACGATAAATAGATGAAGAATGGGGGAAAAAAACTAAAATTTTAGGCAGAAAGAACATCATATATGACACCCTGAGGGGGCCAATATCTTTAACATTTTGTAGAATTGAAGAAAGCTATGTTAACTTTAAGGGTTTTGAGTGAGAAGGAAAGTGATATGAGAAGATGATGATGGGCAGGTGAGAGCCAAATCCTTACAGGCTGTGTTTTATGGACATTTAAAGTTTTATTGTAAGTACAAGTTGAATACCTCTAATTTGAAAATCTGAAATCCAAAATGCTCCAAGATCTGAAACTTAGGAGTGCTGACATGATGCTCAAAGGAAATGCTCATTGGAGCATTTCAGATTTTGGATTTTTAGCTTGGGATGCTCAAGTGGTAAGTATAATGCACATATTTCAATATCCAAGAAAATTCAAAATCTGAAACACTTCTGGTCCCCAGCATTTTTTTCTTTTTTTGAGACAGGGTCTTACTCTGTCACCCAGGCTGGAATGTAGTGGTGCTATCGTGGCTTACTGTACCCTTGACATCCTGGTCTCAAGTGATCCTCCCACCTCAGTCCCTTGAGTAGCTGGGACCACAGGCATGCGCCACCATGCCCAACAAATTAAAAAACTTTTTTTTTGTAGGGACGGGGTCTTGCTATGTTGCCCAGACTGGTCTTGATCTCCTGGGCTCAAGTAATCCTCCTGCCTTGATCTCCCAAAGTGCTGGGATTACAGGCATGAGATACTGCACCCAGCCCTAAGCATTTTGAATAAGAGATATTCAGTCTATACAGGAAAAGGGTTTTGAACAGGAAAGGGTTAGGATCTGGTTTTGGTAAGACAACCCAAGTACTTTATGAAAGTAAATATAATGAGAAGTAGATCATGTTTGGCTTGAATCTCAAAAGTAAGCTAGTATGGTCATTTCAGCCACCAGAGATAGACATGGAAGCCATCTTTGTCTTTAGTGTAGCTCTAATTTTACAGCCTTTTTTTTTTTTTTGACAGAGTTTCGCTCTTATCACCCAGGCTGGGAGTGCAATGACGTCATCTTGACTCACTGCAACCTCCTCCTCCTGGGTTCAAGCAATTCTCCTGCCTCAGCCTCCTGAGTAGCTGGGATTACAGGCGCCTGCCACCATGCCCGGCTAGTTTTTTTTTCCCCCTGAGACAGAGTTTTGCTCTTTCGCCCAGGCTGGAGTGCAGTGGCACGTTCTCAGCTCACTCACTGCAACCTCCGCCTTCTGGTTTCAAGCAGACTCTCCTGCCTCAGCCTCCCAAGTAGCTGGGATTATAGGTGCCTGCCACCATACCCAGCTAATTTTTGAGTTTTTAATAGAGACGGGGTTTCACCATATTGGCCAGGCTGGTCTCGAACACTTGACCTCGTGATCGGCCTGCCTTGGCCTCCCAAACTGCTGGGATTACAGGCGTGAGCCACTGCACCCAGCCAGTTTTTTGTATTTTTAGTAGAGATGAGGTTTCACCATGTTGGCCAGGGTGGTCTCGACCTCCTGACCTCCAGTGATCTGCCCGCCTTGGCCTCCCAAAGTACTGGGATTATAGATGTGAGCCACCGTGCCTAATTTTACAGTCTTAATAATTTTACATTTTTAACTTCTCTTACATTGACCACCTCTTTCCATCCAGGTTCAGCTTCATCTCTTAACAACTCTTAACTGTCTTCCTAACTATGCTCTTGTTATAGTCAACTACTCATATTTTCATGCCCCTATCCTATCAATGCACCAGTTTTTCAGATTGCCTGCAGCCTTTACATAGGTAGCTACTGTCTCTAGAATGCTTTTCTCCTTCTTCTCCAATTTGTACTTTGGCTTGGATAATTTTTACTCCTATTGCTCTCTCAGCTCTCAGATTAAATGTGTCCTTTGGATAACCTGCCCATCTCCTGTGTTCCCATGACATCCGTAGCTTACTCTTATTACAAGTGTAGTCTCTTCAGGAATCTATTACTAGTGTACTTTTTTTTTTTTTTTTTTTGAGGCAGAGTCTTGTTGTGTTGCCCAGGCTGGAGTGCAGTGATGCGATTTAGGCTCACTGCAACCTCCGCCTCCCGGGTTCAAGCAATTCTCCTGCCTTAGCCTCCCAAGTAGCTGGGATTACAGGCACCTGCCACCACGCCTGGCTAATTGTTGTATTTTTAGTAGAGACAGAGTTTCGTTGGCCAGGCTGGTCTCAAACTCCTGACCTCAGGTGATCCACCGGCCTTGGCCTCCCAAAGTGCTGGGATTACAGTACAGGCATGAGCCACTGTTCCCAGCCACTTCTATTTCACTCTTGTAGGCTGCAACCCTTTGAGGTCTTAACCCAAATTGATGTGGGTTCACCCAATCACCTGATTCCTCTCCCAACACAGATCCCTTTGTACTCTGGGCTCCAATCTCTGTTTCCTCACCCACGAGAGACTGTCAAAAGCACTTCTCAGGCACTTCTTCCAGAATTGCCGAATGCAGGGCTCTCTTGATCTCTGTATTTCACCAGTGTCTGGCCTGGTAGGTCTTCAGAGTTTTGCAGTTCTTCAGTACCTTCAAGGAGATGTTTGTGTATTTTGTTCTACTTGTCTAGTAGATGAGCAGAAATAACTGGCTTTACTGACCCATTCTGCCATTACCAGAAGTGCAAATCCACTATATGATCTGATTTTTCAGGTTTTGAAATATTTAAAAAATTTTTTTGCCACATCTGGCCTAGTAATCTGTTTTTAAAGCTATGGTTAAAGCAAATGAATAGCTCTCTTTATATAAGGTGAATGGAGAATTTGAAATAATCTAAACTCAGGTTAAAAATTTTTTCCCTAGCTTTTATTTTAGGTTTGGGGGTACATGTGCAGATTTGTTAATATGGGTAAATTGTATGTCGTGAGGTTTGGGTATACAGATTATTTTGTCACCCAGGTAATAAGCATAGTACTCAACAGGAAGTTTTTCAATTCTCACCCTCCTTCCACCCTTCAAACTGAAGTAGGCCCCAGTGTTTCTTGTTCCTTTGTTTCCATGTGTACCCCATGTTTCACTCCCACTTACAAGAGAGAGCATGTGGTATTTGGTTTTCTGCTTCTGCATTAATTCACTTAGGACGTGTGTTAATTCACATAGGACGATGGCCTCCAGCTCTATCCATGTTAGTGCAAAGGACATGATCTCCTTTGTTTTCATGGCTGCATAGTATTCCATGGTGTTTATATGCCACATTTTCTTTATCCAGTCCACCACTAATGGGCATTGTGATGGTCAATACTGAGTGTCAAGTTTATTGGATTGAAGGATGCAAAGTATTGGTCCTGGGTGTGTCTGTGAGGGTGTTGCCAAAGGAGATTAACATTTCAGTCAGTGGGCTGCGAAAGGCAAACCCACCCTCGATCTGGTTGGGCACCATCTAATCAGCTGCCAGTGTGGCCAGAATATAAAGCAGGCAGAAAAACGTGAAAACACTAGACTGGCTTAGCCTCCCAGCCTAAATCTTTCTCCCATACTGGATGCTCCTGCCCTTAAACATCAGACTCCAAGTTCTTTAGCTTTGGGACTCAGACTGGCTTCCTTGCTTCTTAGCTTGCAGATGGCCTATTGTGGGACCTTGTGATTGTGTGAGTTAATACTACTTAATAAACTCCCATATATATATATATATATATATATATATATATATATATATATATGGATATATGGATGTATATATATATATGGATATATGGATATATATATATGGATATGTGGATATATGGATATATATATATGGATATATGGATATATATATATGGATATATGGATATGTATATATATGGATATATGGATATATATATGGATATATGGATATATATATGGATATATGGAGATATATATCTATATATATCCATATATATAGATATATATGGATATATGGAGATATATATCTATATATATCCATATATATAGATATATATCTCTCTCCTGTTAGATCTGTCCCTCTGGAGAACTCTGGTGAATACAGATTTTGGTACCAGGAGTGGTTCTAGAGGAACAGAATATTAAGGATGGAGTTCTTTCACTGGTTTTAGGGTTTCTGGAGTTGGTTGCTTAATATGATTAGACCCCATAATGGTAAGGATGCTACTTCTAATAGTATGGAGAACACTGATAGTCCTTGGCATGAACTGTTTAGAGAGTTATGCAAAATAAATGCATTTGACACCCCTGAGAGGCAAGGAGTTTAGTGACTCTATACATCATACCTTTGACTATATGTGGAGGACCAAGGAACATAATGAAGTTGGTTGGTTGCTCCTAAGTTCACTGGACAAAGTGATGAAAGAAAATGATGAACTCAGGGATTCTAACTGCCAGCTTCAGAAGCAGATCCTGAGCCTCAAATCTTCTAAGATTGCCCTGAATGAGAGTCTTATCTCCTGTAGAGAAAGAGCTGAAATTGTAGAAAAACAGACACAAGCTCTTATCACGTGCATGGCTGACCTGCAATGAAAGGTGGATGCACAGCCTCACCAGGTGTCTACTGTTAAAGTGAGGTCATTGATTGGAAAAGAATGGGACCCTGCAACTTGGAATGGGGACATGTGGGAGGACCGTGATGAAACTGGAGACACTGAGCTTGTAAACTCTGATGAACTTTTTTTTGCCAGAAGAAACAGCTTCCCCATTCCCAGTAGTGGCAACATCCCCTCCCTGATCCATGCTGCCATCAGCCTTTCCACCTTTGTCTGAGGAGATAAACCTTGTGCTGCTGCCTGAGGCAACAGTGATGGCCTCCCCTGTGTCAGTTGCCAGGCAAGATAATGTTGATTCTCCTTAGGAGCCACCCCCAACACCCTTGTCTACTTCTAGAACTATAACTAGACTAAAGTCCCAGCGGGCCCCTAGAGGTGAGGTTGAGAGTGTTACCCATGAAGAGGTGCACTACACTCAAAAGGAACTACTTGAGTTTTCTAATTTATGTAAGCAGAAATCTGGAGAACAGGCATGGGAATGGATATTAAGGGTGTGGGATAATGGTGGAAGGAACATAGAGTTGGATCAGGCTGAATTTATTGATTTGGGCCAATAAATAGGGTTTCTGCATTTAATGTTGTAGCTTGGGTAGTTAAAAAAGGTTCTAATAGTTTATTTGCTTGGTTAGCTGAAATATGGATTAAAAGATGGCCCACTGCAAGTGAGCTGGAAATGCCTGATCTCCCTTGGTCTGATGTAGAGGAAGGGATCCAAAGGCTTAGGGAGATTGGTATGGTGGAGAGGATTAGTCACTTTAGACCTACTCATCCCAGCTGGGAGGGTCCGGAAGGTATACCCTTGACCAATGCTTTGCAAAACAGATTTATGAGGGCAGCACCTGCATCTTTGAAAAGCCCTGTAATTGCTCTTCTCCGTATGTCAGATCTAACAGTGGGAACTGCAGTCACTCAACTACAGAATTTAAATAAAATGGGGATAATTAGATCCCATGGTGGCAGGGGCCAAGTGGCAGCACTCAACAATCAAAGGCAAGGTCAGCATAGCTACCATAATGGACAGCAGAGGCAAAGCAACAATTAGAATAGTCTGACTCGTGTAGAGCTCTGGCATTGGCTAAGTACATTGTTCCTAGAAGTGAAATTGATAGGAAGCCTACTGCATTCCTACTTAATTTATATAAGCAGAAAACTTCCAGGTCAAATGGACAAAAGGCTAATTTGAATTATAAAAAGAGAGAATCATGTCCCCTCAATTAATTTCCAGACGAGCCACTTTACAGACCCAGAACCCCTTGAATGAAGGGGAGGCCGGGTCTCTTTGAGGAAGGACCCCACTACACTACCAACAATTTCTGCTGTTCATCTTTTTCCCATCCTTCCCCACGGAGACATCCAGCCTTTTACCAGGGTAACTGTGCACTGGGGAAAGGGAAATGATCAGACATTTTGGGGATTACTGGATACCGGATCTGAGCTGATGTTGATTCCAGGGGACTCAAAACATCATTGTGGTCCTCCAGTTAAAGTAGGGACTTATGGAGGTAAGGTAATTAATGGAGTGTTAGCTCAGGTCAAACTTACAGTGGGTCCAGTGGGTCCCTGGTCTCATCCTGTGGTCATTTCCCCAGTGCTAGAATGCATAATTGGCATTAACATACTTAGCAGCTTGCAGAACCCCCACATTGGCTCCCTGACTGGTAGGATGAGGGCTATTATGGTGGTAAGGGCTGAATAGAAACCATTAGAGCTGCCTCTACCTAGGAAAATAGTAAATAAAAAACAATATCGCATCCCTGGAGGGATTGTGGAAATTAGTGCCACCATCAAGGATTTGAAATATACAGAGGTGGTGATTCCCTTCACATCCCCAGTCAACTCATTTGGCCTGTGCAGAAGACAGATGGATCTTGGAGAATGACCGTGGATTATCGTAAGTTTAACCAAGTGGTGACTCCAATGGCAGCTCTGTACCAGATGCGGTTTCATTGCTTGAGCAAATTAACACATTTCCTGGTACCTGGTATGCAGCCATTGACTTGGCAAATGCCTTTTTCTCCATTCCTGTCCATGAGGCCCACCAGAAGCAATTTGCCTTCACTACCTCAGGGGTATATCAACTTTCCAGCTTTGTGTCATAATCTTATTCGGAGAGAACTTGATTTCTTTTTGCTTCTACAAGATATCACACTGGTCCATTACATTGATGACATTCTGCTGATTGGATCCAGTGAGCAAGAAGTAGTAAACACACTGGACTTATTGGTGAGACATTTGTGTTCCAGAGAATAAATTTGACTGAAATTCAGGGAACTTCTACCTCAGTAAAATTTTTAGGGGTCCAGTGGTGTGGGGCCTGTCAAGATATTCCTTGTAAGGTGAAGGGTAAGTTGCTGCATTTGGCCTCTTCTACAACCAAGAAAGAGGCACAGGCTGGGTGCGGCAGCTCATGCCTGTAATCCCAGCACTTTGGGAGGCCAAGGCAGGTGGATCACTTGAGGTCAGGAGTTCAAGACCAGCTTGGTCAACATGGTGAAACCCCGTCTCTACTAAAAATACAAAAATTACCCGGGCATGGTGGTACACGCCTGTAATCCCAGCTACTCAGGAGTCTGAGTTAGGAGAATCACGTGAACCTGAGGTGGAGGTTGCAGTGAGCTGAAATCATGCCACTGCACTCTAGCCTGGGTGACAGAGCAAGACTCTGTCTCAAAAAAAAAAAAAAAAAAAAAAAAAGAAAAGAAAAGAAAAGAAAAGAAGGAGGCACAACGCCTAGCAGGCCTGTTTGGATTTTGTAGGCAACACATTCCTCATTTGGGTGTGTTACTCCGGCCCATTTATTGAGACCCTATCTCTATTAAAAAAAATTAGCTGGGCATGGTGGCCTGTGGTCTTAGTTACCTGGGAGGCTGAGGTGGGAGGATTGCTTGAGCCCAGGACATTAAGGCTGCATTGTTCCATGTTTGAACTACAGCACTACAGCCTGGGCGACACAGTGAGACACTATCTCAAAAAAAAAAAAAAAGAAAGAAATGCTACTGGTTTTTATACCCTAAAACTTTGCTGAAGTTGTTTCTCAAATCTAGGAGCCTTTGGTCAGACTATGAGGTTTTCTAGATATAGGATCATATCTACAAAGAGAGATAGCTTGACTTCCTCTCTTCCTTTTTGGATGCCTTTTATTTCTTTCTCCCACCTGATTGCTCTGGCTAGGACTTCCAGTAATGTGTTGAATAGGAGTGGTGGGAGTGGGCATCCTTGTCTTATTCTGGTTCTCAAGGGGAATGCTTCAAGCTTTTACACATTCAGTGTGATGATGGCTGTAGGTTAGTCATAGTTGGCTGTAATTATTTTGAGGTATGTTCCTTCAATACCTAGTTTGTTGAGGATATTTAACATGAAGGGGTGTTGAATTTTATCAAAAGCCTTTTTTGAGTCTATTGGGATGATCTTGTGGTTTTTTAGTTCTGTTCATGTGATGAAAACATTTATTCACTTGTGTATGTTGAACCAACCTTGCATCTCAGGAATAAAACCTACATAATCACGATGGATTTGCTTTTTGGGTGTGCTGCTAGATTTGGTTTGGTAGTATTTGGTGGAGGATTTTTGAATCTCTGTTCATCAGGCATATCTGCCTGGAATTGTCTTTTTTCATCGTGTCTCACCAGGTTTTGGTATCAGAATGATGCTGGCCTCAGAATGAGTTAGTGAGGGGTGCTTCTTTGTCATTTTTTTTGAAATAGTTTCAGTAGGACTAGTACCAGTTCTTCTTTATATGTCTGGTATAATTCAGCTATGAATCCATCTGGTCCAGGGATTCTTATGGTTGGTAGGTTTTTTATTACTGATTAAGGTTTTTTTTTGAAACAGAGTCTCATTCTGTCACCCAGGCTGGAGTGCAATGGCGCTATCTTGGCTCACTGCAACCTCCACCTCCCGGGTTCCAGCGATTTTCCTGCCTCAGCCTCCCAAGTAGCTAGGATTACAGGTGTGTGCCACCATGCCCGGCTAAATTTTGTATTTTTAGTAGAAATGGGGTTTTACCATGTTGGCCAGGCTAGTCTCCAACTCCTGACTTCAGGTGATCTCCTGCCTCGGCCTCCCAAAGTGCTGGGATTACAGATGTTAGCCACTGTGCCAGACCCTGATTCAGTTTTGAAGCTTGTTTTTGGTTTGTTCAGGGTTCCAATTTATTCCTGGCTCAGTATTGGGAGGTTGTCTGTTTCCAGGAATTTATCAACTTTTTTCTAGGTTTTCTAGTTTGTGTTCACAGAAGTGTTTGTAATAGTTTCTGAGAGATTTTGTTTTTCTTTGAGTTGGTGGTGGTGTCCCTTTTGTTATTTCTGCTTGGGTTTATTTAGGTCTTCTGTTTTTTTCTTTATTTTTCTAGTTAGTGGTCTATCAATCATATTCTTTCAAAGAATAAACTTTTGGTTTTTATGGCTTTTTGTGTCTCAGTTTTGTTCAGCCTAGCTCTAATATGATTATTTTCTTTTACTAGCTTTGGGGTTGGTTTCCTTTTGTTTTTCTAGTTCCTCTAAGTGTGATGTTGGGTTGTTAATATGAGCTCTTTCTAACTTTTTGACGTGGGTATTTAGCACTATAAACTTTCTTCTTAACACTGCTTTAGCTGTGTCCCAAATATTATAGTATGTTGTATCTTTGTTTTCATCAGTTTCAAGGAATTTCTTGATTTCTGCCTTAATTTCATTGTTTACCCAAAAGTCATTCAGGAGGAGATTGTTTAATTTTCGTGTAATTATATGATTTTTGAGAGCTCTTGGTATTGATTTCTATTTTTATTGTGCTGTAGCTTGAGAGCGTAATTGTTAAGATTTTGGTTTTTAAAAAATTTATTGGGAATTGCTTAATCTCTGATTGTGTGGTTGGGTTTAAAGTATGTGCCATGTGCCTCTGGGAAGAATGCATATACTGTTGTTGTTGGGTGGAGTGTTCTGGGGATTTCTGTTAGGTCCGTTTGGTCAAGTGTTGAGTTTAGGTCCCAAACATCTTTGTTAGTTTTCTGCTTTGAAGATTTGTTTAATCCTATCAGTGAAGTATTGAAGTCTCCCACTGTTATTGTGTGGTTATCTAAGAGTCTTTATAGGTCTCTAAGAACTTGTTTTATGAATCTGGGTGCTCCAGTGTTGGGTGAACATATATTTAGGATAGTTAGGTCTTCCTGTTGAATTGAACACTTTATATCACTATGTAATGCCTTTCTTTTTTTTTTGAGATGGAGTCTCACTCTGTTGCCCAGGCTGGAGTGCAGTGGTGCAATCTGGGCTCACTGCAAGCTCTGCCTCCCAGGTTCATGCCATTCTCCTGCCTCAGCCTCCCAAGTAGCTGGGACTACAGGCGCCTGCCACCACACCCAGCTAATTTTTTTTGTATTTTTAGTAGAGACAGGGTTTCACCTTGTTAGCCAGGATGGTCTCGATCTTCTGACCTCGTGATCTACCTGCCTTGGCCTCCCAAAGTGCTGGGATTACAGACATGAGCCACTGCGCCCGGCCTATGTAATGCCTTTCTTTGTCCTTTTTGATCATGTTGGTTTAAAGTCTGTTTTATCTGAAATAAGAGACCCCTGCACACCAAAACCTTTTTAGTTGAAGTATAACACAGGTATACAAGTTCTAAGTGTATGGCTGAATGAATTTCACAAAGTTAGTATACCCATGCAACCAGCTCCCAGAGCAAGAAACAGAACATTACCAAGACCCAAAAAGACCTTCTTGTGCCCTCTTCTATTCATTAGCCCCCTAAAGATAACCCCAATCATGACTTCTAACAGCATAGATTAGTTTTGCCTGTTTGAACTTTAATATAAATATAGTGCTATAGAGTGTACTATTACCTCTGACTTGCTTTGCTCAATGTTATATATGTGAGATTTATCCATATTGTAGTTTAGGTTTTATTTTAATTTATTGTAGGTGGAGAGATTAGATCAAGAAGGTGGCACATATGTTCCACCTCCAAACAAATCTGGAGAAAAACATAGCTCAGTAGTCACAGTAGAAGGGTGTTTTAGATGTGGGAAATTCCAGGCTCAGTTTCAACATATACAAGGAATAGAAAAGGGGCCTGGGATAATCGTCAGTGGGATTGTTAAGGGAACTATACTTAGCTATTTAGCATGTCAAACCCTCTCCCATCTCAGTTTGTGGCACTGGCTTAAAAAAATAACTTTATTGAGATATAATTTACATATCATTCAATTCACTAGCATTGGCTTATTGACTAATGTTGTAAATGTGGATACTGGGGCCTAAAGGTCCTGGGATTTTTTTCCAGGTAGTTGCTACTGCCCTTTAGAAAAAAATGGAAAGCTTTTACAACTATAATAGGTGCCACATGTCCTGCCCCTCCTCCTATATTTACCAGAATCAGGTCACAGTAAAAATAAACAGAAGGACAGAAATTCTCAAGTACAGAAGTGCTCAGGGCTGGGTGCAATGGCTCATGACTATAATCTCAACACTTTGAGAGGCTGAGGAGGGAAGATTGCTTGAGACCAGGAGTTTGAGACCAGCTTGGGCAACATAGGGAGACCCTATCTCTACAAAAAAAAACCTTTTAATTAAAAAAATGTTATCAGGCCAGGCATGGTGACTCACGCCTGTAATCCCAGCACTTTGGGAGGCCGAGGTGGGTGGATCACTTGAAGTGAGGACTGTGAGACCAGCCTGGCCAACATGGTGAAACCCTGTCTATACTAAAAATACAAAAATTAGCGGGTTGTGGTGGCAGGTGCCTATAATCCCAGCTACTTGAAGGCTGAGGCAGGAGAATCACTAGAACCTGGGAGGCGGAGGTTGGCGTGAGCCGAGATTGTGCCACTGCACTCCAGCCTGGGTGACACAGTGATACTCCATCTCAAAAAAAAAAAAAAAAAAAATGTGATCAGACTACCAAATTTCACCAAATACTTGAGGAAAATCAATACCATAAAAAAGAAGTACCAAACTCAAGAAATAGAACTAATACTGAGAACTCAGAGTTAACATGGCAAGCAGAGAACGATTTTTAAAGCAAACATATTCTCATAGATTTGACAATGGAACATCCTTGACTATGAAGCAGAGATCTTGAATATTAAAAATATAATTATTAAGATGAAGAACTCAACATCTGCGCTAAATATCAGAGTGATACAGTCAAAGATCAAATTAGCTGCCAGAGTAAGCTGTGAAAGTCTTTAAGAGCATAGAGAAAAGACGAAGGAATTAGAAACAGTGAGAAAAAAGGGCACATGGAATATAGATTCAGGAATTTAATATCTGTCTAATAGGAATTTCAGATAGAGAAAATGGAAGGGAGGAAATAAAGGAGTCAAATAAAAGTTTCCCAGAGCTGGAAATGATAAAAGGCCTCAGATTGAAACAATCCGTCAACTGGAAGTAGAATAAATTATAAAAAGCCTACACCTAAATACATTCTGGTGAAATTTGAGAAGACAAAGGATAATGAGAAAATTCCAAAAGCTTTCAGACAGAAAAAAAGAGGTTGTCTACAAAGCAGTAATCACATCTTTTATTGTAGCACAATCTTTGCAGGCAATGAAACAACACTTTCAAAGATAGAAAAGAAAATGATTTTTTAACCAATTAGAATACTATACCTACCCAAAGTAACATTTAGGTGGGAGGGCAAACTAAAGATGTGCAAGGCCTTAAGGTTTCCCACGTGAGGTATTTCAGGTGGATTGTGGGTTGTAGAAAATGTTCCTTCCCTTCCTTGTCTGAGCAAAGATTTTTTAAAATTTATGATTTAACTAACTAAGGATATAAATGTTATCACAAATGAGTTGGTTACACAGAGCAGATCCGAAACAGTATCTGTTCAGTGCATCTTTCCATGGCTCTCAGGTTCTTAATGGGATGTATCATTGCTGGAGATGATGTCCAGCCAGAGCAGGGTCCTATGGATGTGGGAAAACTCAAGTCTTGCTAAGCTTTTATTATTTTATATATTTAGGGTTGAGGCGACCATTCAGAAATAACTTAATCCATGTGTTTCCATTAGTGTAAGCAAATACTAAGTTCTCTTGATTCTTTTTTTATTCTTTTTTTTTTTTTTTATTTGAGACAGGGTTTTACTCTGTCACCCAGGCTGGAGTACAGTGGCATGATCTTGGCTGACTGCAACCTCTGCCTCCGGGGTTCGAGCGATTCTTGTGCCTCAGCCTCCTGAGTAGCTGGGATCATAGGCGCGCAACACCACGACCAGCAAATTTGTGTATTTTTATTAGAGATGGGGTTTCACCATGTTGGCCAGGCTGGTCTTGAACTCCTGACCTCAGGTGATCCACCTGCCTCAGCCTCCCAAAGTGCTGGGATTATAGGTGTGAGCCACCGTGCCCAGCCTTTCTTAATTCTTTTTATTTTACCCAATAAATATAAGTGCTAGGACTCTTGATTCTTAACCAAAAGACAGTATTACCAAGGACACATCCTCTGAGTAGAAAAAGCAGTTGATTCCCAGTGTTCCTGAGCCTCTTGTTTCACAGACATCTATTTTTTTCCCACAGCCCTCATCTCCTGCTCTTATCTGGGAGGCTTTCATACTGACTTTGATTTGAAGACATTGTAAATCCAGTTCTCCATTTCTTTCCTATTAAATAGTGATTAGAGGCTTCATTCCTGCAAAACAAATCTATTATCACATAGGAAGCAAAAATAAAAATAATAAAATAGTAAAAAAAGAAATCTAAGGACGAGGAAGAAATGGGTACAGGAAATAGTGGTGAAGAATGCCAGTCAAACAAAATAGTTAAGTCCAAGTAATAGTTGATTCATTAAGTCAAACAATTTAATAATCCAGAACTGAACCCTCAGATGGTAGAACATGTGTCGTGGTAAAAGTGGATGGTAGCCAGCAGGGAAGGCTATAAATACTGATACTGATGGAGATACTTTTGGCCAATGAAATTGTGTTCCTTTATCAATGCTGTGTGAGAAAAGAAAAAAAAGGGTATTCCTTCAAAATTTAAGGTTAACTATAAGAAGCAGGGAAATAGGCTGGATATTTTCCAAACCATTAGAGTAAAAACATGGAAAAGAAAATGAATCCAAAATGAAAAGGCAGAAAAGTTAGAGTAGCAACAATAGGTATGGTAAATTGAAAAAATAGGAAAAATAACATAAGAGGGTAGGAATAAATTTTAAAAGATTAGTAATCACAACAAATGTGTTGACTCCCTGTGTTAGTCCCTTGTCTTGGGAAGCCCATCTATCTTGAGCAGTGTTAAGGGCAGGTAGACCAATCTAGGCAATAGGCTTCCTAATTTACTCTCTTCATCTCTGACTTGAGAAAAAGTGACCATTTGCCTTCCCGTAGTCCATGATTTCTTCTATGGATGGAAATAGTTGGAATAGAGAAGAAGTCAATATGGACACAATAGCTGCATGATTGATTACAATGACCTGATCAGAGTCAATGTGAGAGGAAACAGGAACACAGCATCCCAGTGACACAGGATTGAATTTACACATTTATGTAAAATTCAAAACTCACTCCTTAATCTTTGTTCCTATTTGACCCTTTCTCAGAGTGATTCTGCTATATGACTTATCCTGGGACCTTTAGTTAGGCCTGTTCTTCCAGTTTTGTTCATTTTGCAGTCATTGCATGAATTAGATATTGCCTTCTCATTGTTTTTCATTTTTCTTTGATTATTTTGATTAGTTTCATTTATATCTGGATTCTACTGAAGGATAAGTGTTTCTAAAACACTGAGACTTATTTTACTTGCTATCAAAATTTTAACAAGTTAAATTCACCTATTAGAATGTTCAGATTTTTAAAAATCTAAAGATATGTTTACTAGAGACAACACCCCTCTAAAAAAGTTTAAAATAAAGGGATGGATCTTCTGCAAAAGATGATGGGGAGTGGGGAGAAGGCATTTTTACTCTCTTCTTCTTTGACAATAAAATGACAAAAATGAAAATGTAGAGAAAAAATGCCATTTTCTTTTTTTTTGAGACATAGTCTTGTTCTGTCGTCCAGGCTGGAGTGCAGTAGGATGATCTTGACGCACTGCAACCTGTCTCCTGGGTTCAAGCAAGTCTCATGCCTCAGCCTTCTGAGTAACTGGGATTACAGGTGCATGCCACCACACCCAGCTAAATTTTTGTATTTTTAGTCGAGACAGGGTCTTGCTATGTTGCTCATGCTGGTCTCAAACTCCTGGACTCAAGTGATCCACCCGCCTCAGCCTTCCAAAGTGCGGGGATTACAGGCATGAGCCACTGTGCCTGGCTCAAAAATGCCATTTTCAAAGAATTGGAAAAGCTATTAAGACACAAACTACAAAATAGTATACCTTAGCAAATATTGTAAACAAGTGAACCTGAAACAAAGACTGAAAGCTGACTGTCTCCTTATTCCTTGAGCAGAATCCAGATTTCACCAAAAGTTCTTAAAGGCATTCAATGTTTATTTATGGGTGCTTGGATGAGGTCACTGGAGAAGACAAATGCCCTTTAGAAAACTTCTTTATTGCAGGGGTTTGAGTTTACTTGTCATTTCTATGATATATTCTCCTAGTCAACAACTGCAAGAGGTGAAGTAAGGTGGAGGAAGACGAGGCAATGATTGCTAAATCACAACACAACATACATTAACCCAAAGGGTGTTGTTGTGAGCTTTGGTGCAAAAAACTGGTAGTAGTAAAGGAAATACATTAGGTAGGAATGTGTTCCAGACAATAAACTTGTGTGAAATTCTTCGACTTGATTCCCCTTCTACTTATACTGTTCTTCAACATATTCCTGGCCCAATTCAAAGACTAGACTGTGCCTAAAAACATTTTTACAAATTGTAGTATAGAGACTTCCAGTTTCCAGTTCTGCATGTGAGGAACTTGAAAGCTGCCACTCCATTTTAACAACAAGTAAAAAGCTGAACTGACTGAAAAAATCAATAACTCTTCTTAGATTCATAAGAGAAGTAAGGAAGCAGAGCACACTGCTGCTTCCAGGATTAGAGTGTCATGCTTACCAGAGCAGAAAAGTCATGAACAGACACTGCCGTGGGAACAAGTGCCCAGGTAGGAAAACCTGAACTGTAATTGGCATATTAGTAGAGGCTCAGTGTGAATGAGTCTGAGGGTTAAATATTCCTGGGGACCTAGTCATAGGAACCCCTCCTTCCTTTTGTGAGTTTTACCTCTAGGCAGGTCGGCCTGGTTAGCCACGGTAAGTATCAGAGAAAAATCCCCTTGTGTTTCTGGCAGGCAGAGGGAAAAGGAACCATTTTGAAATATGCCAGATTAATCTGTTCTTAACAAGGCCTGCCTTTAGGGGAACTAGTTAACCACAGCCTGACCTACTGGGGTTTCATTGCTGCCTAATTTAGCTGAGGGACAGGAAGTAACCAGCTCCAGTTAGCTTTAGCCTTCCATGTGGGAGAAGGGAAATAACCCAATTCTAGCCTATGTAGCCATCCTGTCCCACTTAAGAGGGGTGAGAAAAAAATGATAAATACTTGTGGAGTTCGCAGTCCAGAAGCATAGGCTCACTAAAAGACTGAGGCTTAATCACAGGACTATAGAATGCTTCCCTTCCCCTCATACCTAATCACTACATTACTAAAGACCTATTTATGGCAGTTCCTTTTACCTGGCACACGATATCCGGCTATCAAGAAAAACATTACAGGACATTCTAAAAGACATAAAGAACGATTTGAAGAAACAGAGCAAGCATCAGAAGCAGACATGGAAGGGATGTTGCAATGATCAGACCAGGAATTTAAAACGACTATGATTAATTGCAAAGGACTCAAATAGATAAACTAGATTGTGTGCAAGAACAGAGGGACAATGTAAGCAGAGAGGTGGAAACCTTAAGAAAGAGCCAAAAAAAAGTGCTAGGAATCAAAAACACTGTAACAGAAATGAAGAATGCCTTTGATGGGCTTATTTAGTAGACTAGACACAGCTGAAGAAAGATCTCTGCGCTTAAAAATATAGTAATAGAGGCCAAGTGTGCTGGCTCACGCCTGTAATCCCATCACGTTGGGAGGCCAAGGTGGGCAGATCACGAGGTCAGGAGATCGAGACCATCCTGGCTGACACGGTGAAACCCCGTCTCTACTAAAAATACAAAAAATTAGCCAGACGTGGTGGTACATGCCTGTAGTCCTGGCTACTCGGGAGGCTGAGGCAGGAGAATCACTTGAACCCGGGAGGTGGAGGTTGCAGTGAGCTGAGATCTCACCATTGCACTCCGGCCTGGGCTACAGAGCGAGACCCTGTCTCAAAAAGAAAAAGAAAAAGAAAAGATGTATTAATAGAAACCCTAAAACTGAAAAGCAGAAGACAAAGATTGAAAACAACAATGACAACAAAGAATATCCAAGGACTGTGGAACAACTACAGAAATGTAACATACAAGTAATGGGAATACTAGAGGGAGAAGATAGAAAAAAAAATAGAAGAATTATTTGAAAAGATAGTAATTAAGAATTTCCCTAAATTAATGTCAAACACCAAACTCCACATCCAGGAAGCTCAGAGACACAAAGCAAGGTATGCTCCACCTCCTGCCAAAAACCAAAACAAAACAAAACAACAACAACAAAACAGGGGTGGGTGCGGGGTGGCTCACCCCTGTACCCTGTAATCCCAGCACTTTGTGAGTCTGAGGTGGGCAGATCACAAGGTCAGGAGATTGAGACCATCCTGGCTAACACGGTGAAACTCCATCTCTACTAAAAATACCAAAATTAGCTGGCATGGTGGCACGTTCCTGAAGTCCCAGCTACTCGGGAGGCTGAGGCAGGAGAATTGCTTGAACCCAGTAGGTGGAGGTTGCAGTGAGCCAAGATCGCACCATGGCACTCCAGCCTGGGTGGCAGAGCGAGACTCCATCTCAAAAAAACAAAAACAAAACCCAAAAACACACACACAAACAAAACAAAACAAAAAAACGCAGAACACAACACTTAGGCACACTGTTTTCAATGAAAACGCAGAAAAAAATTCCTGAAGGAAACCAGTGGGGAAAAAAACTTCTTACCTGTAGAAGAACAAAGATAAGAATTACAGCCGGGCTAGGTGGCTCACGCCTGTAATCCCAGCACTTTGGGAGGCCGAGGCGGGTGGATCACGAGGTCAGGAGATCGAGACCATCCTGGCTAACATGGTGAAACCCTGTTTCTACTAAAAAATACAAAAAATTAGCCGGGCGTGGTGGCGGGCGCCTGTGGTCCCAGCTACTCGGGAGGCTGAGGCAGGAGAATGGCATGAACCCAGGAGGCAGAGCTTGCAGTAAGCCCAGATGCACAACTGCACTCCAGCCTAGGGGAAAGATCGAGACTCCGTCTCAAAAAAAAAAACCAAAAAAAACAACTGACTTCTCAGAAACCGTGCAAACAAGATGATAGTGGAGTGAAATATTTAAAGTATGGAGAGAAATAAACTCCTATAACCTCGAATCCCATAACCCGCAAAGTTATCTTCAAAGGTTAAGAAGAAATAAAGGCATTGACAAATAAAAATGAGGAAATTCATTGCCAGTAGACCTGCCTTGCAAGAGAAGTTAAAAGAAGTTCTTCAGAGAGAAGGAAAATAATATAGGACAGAAACTTGGATCAACATAAAGAAAAAAGGAACACTAAAGAAGGAATAAGTGAAGATAAAATACTTTAATTTTTCTTCTTAATTGGTCATAAATAATTTGTTCAAAATAATAGCAACAATGTATTCAATTATATATGCTTATGTTCATATGTGTATAAGTATATATACAGTAACAACTCTGTATCTAATGTGATTATATTACATACAGTAACAAACACTAAACCAACTCTATTAATAATAATTTTGAATGTGAATGATTTAATACACCAGTTAAAAGACAGAGATTGTCAGAGTGGACCAGAAGACGTGACCCAACTATATATTGTCTGCAAGATACCTACTTCAGATATAAAGACACGTATAGTTTAAAAGTAAATGGAGAAAGATATATCATGCTAACCTCAACCAAGAGAAAGCAGGAGTAGCTATGTTAATTTCAAACAGAGAAGACTTCAGACCAAGGAATACTACTCAGGAGAAATTTGTGCATTACGTAATGATAAAAGAGTCAGTTCTTGAAATACAATCCTCAATGTGTTTAAGCACCTAACAACAAAGGATCAAAATACATGAGACAAAAACCAGTAGAATTTCAAGGTCAAATGGATGAATCAGTTATTATATTTGGAGACTTCAATACCCTTCTTAAAATGGACAGATCCAGCAGGTAAAAAATCAGTAAGGCCATAGTTGAACTCAACAACACCATCAATCAACTGGATGTAATGGTCATCTATAGACTACCTTATCCAACAACAGCAGAGTACATGTTCTTCTCAAGGTCACAAGGGACATTCACTAAGATATAGCACATTCTGGGCCATAAAACACATGTTAACAAGTTCAAAAGGATAGAAATCATACAATGTTTGCTCTCAGATCACAATGAAACGAAACCAGAATACAATAACAGAAAGATAGTTGGAAAATTTCAAAGTACTTGGAGAGGAAACAACACACTTCTAAATAACACATGAGTCAAAGAGGAAATCTCAAGAGAAATTAAAGTATATTTTGAGCTAATGAAAATGAGAACAACTTATTGAAATTTGTGGGATGCACAAAAGTAGAGCTTACAGGAAATTTTATAGCATTGAGTACATATGTTAGAAGAGAAGACTAATCATCTAAGCTTCCACCTTAGAAAACTAGAAGAGCAAATTAAATCCAAGTAACCTGAAGAAAACAAATAATAATGATTAGAGCAGAAGTCAATGAAATTGAAACAGGAAATTAATAAAGTCAACAAAACCAAAAGCTGGTTCCTAGTAAAGTTTAATACAGTAGATAAACCTCTAGCCAGGCTATCTGAGAAAAAAAAAAGAGAGAGGACACAAATTACTAATATCAGAAGTGAAAAAGGGAACATCACTACAGATCTTATGGACATTAAAAGGATAATAAAGGAATAGTGTGCACAACCTAATTCCTTGGAAGACAGTCTGCCAAAACTCAAACAAAAAGAACTAGATAATCTGAATAGGCTGATATGTATCAAAGAAGTTGAATCAATAAATAATTAACCTGCAAAATAGAAAACACCAAGCCCAGATGTCTTCACAGGTGAATTCTACCAAACATTTTAGGAAGAAATCATACCAATTCTTGACAATGTTTTCCAGAAGATAGAAGAAGGATAAATACTTTCTAACACATTCTGCAAGGCCAGCATTACCTAATAAAGCCAGACAAAAACATTATAAGAAAAGAAAAAAACTACAACCCAGTATCTCTCATCAACATAGATGCAAAAAACTGCAACACGATATTAGTAATTCAAACCCAGTGATGTGTATTTAAAAACATCATACACTATGACTAAGTGGGATTTATCCCAGGTATGCCTTAGTTGCATCCACATGGTGCTAATTCTGCAGGCTTGAAAAAATCAAAAGCGGTGGAGGCTTGGCAACCTCCACCCAGATTTCAAAAGATGTCACTGAAAGCCTGGGGCCCCAAGCATAGACTTGTCACAGGTATGGTGCTACCACAGAGAGCCCCACTAGAGCAATGCTGAGCAGAAATGTGGGTCTGGGGCTGCGGCAGAAAGTTCCCACCAGGGTAATGCCTAAGTGGAACTGTGGAAGCAGGACCGCTTCCAGGACCCTGGAACTATGGAGTCACCGGCAACATGCAACATCCACCTGGGAAAGTTTCAGGCACTGGACTTCAATCCATACAAGCAGCTATGTGGGTTGCACCCAGCAAAGCCATAGGGGTAGAGTTACCTGAGGCATTGGGGGCTCAACCTTGCCCCAGTGTGTTCAGTAGGTAGAACATGGAGTCAAAAGCAATTATTCTTCAGCTTTAAGGTTTAATGTTTACCCTGCTGGGTTTCCGACTTGCTTGGGGCCTGATACTCTTTTCTTTGCCTACTTTTCTCTTTTGGAATGCAAATGTCTGTCTTATTCCTGTACCACCATTGTAGCGTTCTTTCTTTCTTTTTTAAAGTCACTTTTTTTGAGACAGGGCCTCACTTTGTCACTTAGGAAGGCGTACAATGGCATGATCATGGCTCACTGCAGTCTTGACCTCCTGGGCTCAAGCGATCCTCCCACCTCAGCCTCCTGAGTAGCTGGGATTACAGTTGAGTGCCACCACAACTGGCTAATTTTTAAAAAATATTATTTTTTATAGAGACAGGGTCTAACTACGTTATGCAAGCTGGTCTCAAACTCCTGGGTTCAAGTGATCCTTCTGCCTTGGCCTTCCAAAGTGATGGGATTACGGGTGTGAGCCACCATACTCGGCCTCCATTGTATCTTGAAAGTAGAAAAGTTGCTTTAATTTCACATGCTCACAGATGAGACTTTGGACTTTGGAGTTTTGAGTTGGTGTTGGAGTTAAAGCTTTGGGGCTATGGAGAAGGAATGAATGTATTTGTATATGAAAAGGACATGAGTTTTGGGGGGTCAGGGGTGGAATGCTATGACTTAGATATTTTTTCCCTCCAAAACTCATGTTGCAATTTAATTCCCATTGTGGGAATATTGAGAAGTGAGTCCTTTAAGAGATGGTTGAGGCTGGGTGCAGTGGCTGACACTTTGGGATGCTAAGGCAGGAGGATCAGTTGAGTCCAGGAGTTAAATACCAGCCTGGGCAACATTGCAAAACCCTGTCTCTACAAAGAATACAAAAATTAGCGGGTCATGGTGGTGGTGCCTGTAGTCCCAGCTACTCAGGAGGCTGAGGTAGGAGGATCACCTGAGCCCAAGAGGTCAAGGCTGCAGTGAGCTGTGATTGCACTGCTGCACTCCAGCCTGAGTGACAGAGTAAGACCCTGTCTCAAAAACAAATTTAAAAAGGTGATTGAGTCATTGGGCTTCTGCCTTCATGTATGGATTAATCCACCCATGGATTAGTAGATTAATGGGTTAATGGATTAATAGGTGTATTAGTCCATTCTCACATTGCTGTAAAGAAATACCTGAGACTGGGTAATTTATAAAGAAAAGAGGTTTAATTGGCTCACAGTTCTGCAGGCTGTACAGGAAGCAAAGTGGCTTCTGCTTCTGGGGAGGCCTCAGGAAACTTCCAGTCATGGTGGAAGGCAAAGGGGGAGCAAGACATCTCATATGGTGGGAGCAGGAGCAAGAGAGAGTGGGGAGGTGCTGCATACTTCTAAATGACCAGATGTCATGAGAGCTCTATCACGGGAACAGCACCAAGGGGATGGCACTAAACCATTCATGACGGATTACCCCCATGATCCAATCATCTCCCACCAGGCACCACCTTCAACATTGGGGATTACAATTTGACATGAGATTTGGGCGGGAATACAGATCAAACCATATCAATGAGTCATCGGGAGTGGGACTGGTGGCCTTATAAAAAGAGGAAGCGAGACCTGAGCTAGCATGTTAGGCCCTTCACCACGTGATTCCCTGTGCCACCTTGGGACTCTGCAGAAAGTCCCCACCAGCAAGAAGGCTCTCACCAGTTGTGACCTTTTGACCTGGGGCTTCTCAGCCTCCATAACTGTAAGAAATAAATTTCTTTTCTTATAAATTAGCCAGTTTGAGGTATTCTGTTAATAAGCAATAGAAAATGGACTAAGACATGAATTATAACAAGGTGTTTAAGTTTCTAAGTTTTAGGCTAGTTTGTTATGCAACAATAGATAACCAGAGGCACTTAATATGTATTGATAGAAAAGAGTGTTGAGGGAACTAGAGAGATTTTGGGGAAGAACAGAACTATCTTATAGAGATTTAAATTTTTTCAAATGCTGTGTGGTGATATAAAATCTTTCTCTAATCTTTCCTTACAGTCTTCAGGAAAATGAGCATTATTTACTAATGCGTTCCAGGGTAGAATAGAACTGGTGGTCTTCTAAAGAAGAAAAAAAAATCACAGGGGCAAACCGTATATTTATATGTATCTATATCCTATACACATATACACATATAGCTATGTGTGTGTGTATGTGTTATATTGCTAAAACTTTAGACAGTTGGAATTTAAGAGTTTATTTGAGCAAAGAACAGTTCATGAATTGAGCAGCACTTGGAACCAGAAGAGGTTCAGAGAGCTCCAACCAGCAGCATGAGCAGTTAGCTATTATAGAAAGCAGAGAAATCATCTGGTTGGCTCCAGCTAGGTTTTTGCCTTGTTTGGGTATAGTGTGATAAATTCGGTTTTTGTGATTGGCTGAATCTCAGCTATTTGTTACAAAAAATATACTCCTAGGTTGGAATTCAGTTTGTTTGTATACAAAGTTAGGTTGCCTCAGGTCAATCAATGGCTTTTTGCTTAATTTAATTATATATAAAAATATATAAAATATATAAAATATATATTATATGTTATATATATTATAGCTTTCTCTCATGCACTCACCTATGTACATATATGCAAGGATGCAAATGACAAGAGTTCTCCTTTTCCCTTTGAGGGATCAGTGAAGGAGTAGACAGACTTCACTGACTGCATTTAGCTGCACCCGAAGCAGTGCAGTTTGCAAGATTCAAGAAAGAAGTGCAATGAGAATAGTTGTTTCTTTTTTTTTTTTTTTTTTTTGAGATGGAGTCTCGCTCTGTCACCCAGGCTGGAGTGCAGTGGCGCTATCTGCAATCTCCACTTCCCAGGTTCACGCCATTCTCCTGCCTCAGCCTCCCGAGTAGCTGGGACTACAGGCGCCCGCCACCATGCCTGGCTAATTTTTGTTTTTGCATTTTTAGTAGAGATGGGGTTTCACCATGTTAGCCAGGATGGTCTTGATCTCCTAACCTCGTGATCCACCCGCCTCGGCCTCCCAAAGTGCTGGGATTACAGGTGTGAGCCACTGTGCCTGGCCGAGAATAGTTGTTTCTTAAAGAAAACGGTGATGTACTGAGGGTTGAGGGCTTCAAAAGAGCAACCACAAGGGGAAGAGGAAAAGTATAGGAGAGAAGGCAAGAGTTGGAAAATAAAATAGTGATTACCGGGATACAATCTGAAGGCTCAACCAGTGAGGTCTTGCAAATGTTGTGTTATATAAAGGGGAGAATGAACTATAAAGGAGCACAACTCTCAATCTCTCAAACTCTACATTTAGGACACATTTTGAAATCCTATAACGGAACTGCTTATAGCTGTAGTGGAATCCAATGTATATTGGGTGGGATAACAGCCAATGTGGTTTTGGAAAGGGGTAATCTACTCATAATCCTACCACCCATCTTGTCCCAATAAAATATTATTGCACGAAGATGTGTATTGACCATCAGAATGCTCCCACTGCAGTATGAAAGACCACCAGAACAATTCCCCTAATTCTTACCCACTCCCAGCAGAGAATTACATACAGCTTTCATAGCAGGAGGATCCCTGCCGTGTGGTCTGTTTTTACTGGTAGACAACAACGAAATACATTTTAGTGTTTAAACAGTTTAAGAAGTTGGAAAATATTTGAGGTAATAATCAGGTATCCAGACTTAACACTTGTTTTAGAAATCACTAAAAATAAGCCTATTGGTAAATGAGTTAGGGATAGAAAATAAGCCACGGGATTAGGACTGTCAACCAATTTTGATTCTTTGATGACTGTTTACTGTCATGCTTAAGCTCTGGAGATATAAAGGAGTATTTCCCAAATGCTTTTGTCCTCCTTACCACAGCTTCCCTGCAGGGACAAGATAATACTTCTCAGCTTCAGCTCACATGGAAAGGTGGGAACACACTTGCCCAGAGACCTGTATTGACTTCTTGAGGATTGGCATTCTCACTGTATCTTTAGGTGATTATAAGAATTTTCAGTTCAGGAAGACAAAAGTTGTAAATTTTAACCTTTGGGGAACTTCCTACTTGGGATTAGAGACTATAAAGTGAATGATACAGCCTTGTTAGTGGTACACGTTTAGTATCCCTTATCTGAAATGCTTAGGACCAGAAGTGTTTCAGATTTTGTTTTTTTTTCAGATTTTGGAATATCACCATATACATAATGAGATATCTTGGAGATAGGATCTAAGTCTAAACACTAAATTCATTTATGTTTCATATGAACCATATACAGATAGCCTGAAGGTAATTCTATACAATATTTCAAATAATTTTATGCATGAAACAAAATTGTAGCTCTATTTTAATTGCAGCCCATCACATGAGGTCAGGTGTGGAATTTTCCACTTGTGGCATCATGTTGGTACTCAAAAAATTTTAAATTTTGGAGCATGTTGGATTTTGGATTTTCAGATTACAGAAGCTCAACCTGTAGTAGCATATGCTACTTATGAAATCAAAGTGGTTGCCAGAATTATGTCTCTTCTTTCAGTGTGATGTATTTAAGAAAAAGCGAAAACTTAGATACATGGTAGCACTATATAACAAACAATAGAAGATGAGACTCAAAAGGCCAGAATGTGGAGTAGCTGGAAAGGCTACACGAGGTCCTATGGAAGCCAACTTTAGACAGAGCTGGCACTATGAGAAAGTAGCAAAGTCTGGATCAGGAGGAGCAAAAGAGTATAAGAGAGTCAAGTTAACAGCTGAGCAAAAGAGTGGGGATTCATGAATTTCCACTGCTGTGATTGATCTCTGCTTTAAATCTGCAACTACTTCCAGCTCACACCTGTACTTGGGCTTCTGTTTGTGAATATCTATGATATTCCTCTTATTACTCCAGGTATAATCTTTATCAACATCTTTTACTTGAACTACAGAGAATATGTCTTTGTTAGTTTCCCAAAGAGCCAAACAAAAACAGCTAGACTTACAAACTGGTGGAGGTTGAGAGAGAGTTTGCACAGGCTATAGATAACCAAAAAAGTCATCATCTGTAATTAAGCAGGATTTGGTAAATATGAACAGGCTAGTAAACTTTTTTGAGGTTGGCAAATTAGGGAGATTTCTGTAGTTGGCCATAAATATTAAAGGTTTCATGACTTTAAGCCCAAGTATCACCTTACATCCTGCAGACATTTATCATACACCTCGTTTGGTATATTTCAGACTTTAATAAACTGCAAGATTTCTTCACTATGATTTCTACCTACCTTAATATACAATTCATATTTAAAATCACCCATTAAACCAATTGTTGTGGCTGCTTGGGATTCTAATTTGCAGAAGTACATTTTGGAAACCTGAATGCAATAAGAATGATATAATGGACTTTGGGGACTGCAGGGGGAGGGTGGGAGGGGGGTGAGGGATAAAAGACTACACATTGGGTACAGTGTACACTGCTTGGGTGACGGGTGCACCAAAATCTCAGAAATCACTACTAAAGAACTTTTCCATGTAACCAAAACCCATCTGTTCCCCAAAAGCTATTGAAATAAAATAAAAATAATAAAAAAATTTGCAAGATATTAGACTTCCCATTGGATTCAGGGCTTCTCAAATATTGATGTCACTTTGCATTTTAAATTTCATGAGCAAGAGTTTGTACAGACCAGAATTTCAGTCCCAGCTCTGCCACCTCATAGTATTGTGAGTCTGGGAAAATTACTTCACTTCTCTCTTCCTCAATTTAACTTCACAGGGTTGATCTGAGGATTAAAGACACAACATAAGTAAGGAAGCTGGCACGTAGTAGATGCATATGTCAGATTTGCTCTCCTTATTGGTGGGATGGGTAGAGTAGGAGGGGGAGGATGACATTTTTCTATCTCCAGGTTCAGGAAAAATTTGAACCAAGATATAATATTCAATTCCAAAGTCAGAGTAAACATTTTTTCATTATAAAATGACACATTAATATATGTTTGTTGTAAAAAATGAAGATCATATATGTAGTAAAAAGTATGAAGACTGCCTTCCCCCATTTCCCATCCCACTTTCCTCCCCAGATTAAGGGTCATGTCAGAGCCTTTGCTCGGGGAGACTTCTCCACTCCCCTCCCACATCCTACAGGGCTACTGCTTATCTTCAGGTCTCAGTTTAAATGTCATTTGCTTGGAGAAATCCCCTTTGACCACTCTAAGGTGGTCTCCTTGCTTCCTTCTTTTATTTTCTATGAGTACACCCTATGCATATTCTTCACCATATTTATGTGAAATTGAACTTTTGCAGTAAGAGCTTTGTTTGTGTGCATCCCCTGTTAGACTATAAGCTCCATGAAGGCCAGATGTTGGCTGTTTTGTTCATCACTGTACACTAGTACCTGGCGTGGTCTGTGGTATATAGAAGGTACTCAATCAATATTTGTTGGATTGAATGAAAGATGCTTGTTTAATGTTTTACTTTATATTCAGTGTATAGATTTTTCTGGTGACTCTTATACTCATGTTTTTGCCAAAATTGTAATATATAGCCACACTGCAGAGATATTCTGGAGGAATCTGAAAATAGCATACAAATGTATGAAATTAATATAGTTTCTGAGTTTTTGAGAGCCAGGGAGTTTTGCTGATTTGTTAGTATTTGTCAGTCATTTAGTAAGTATTTATTGAGTGCTTTAGATAGTCAGTGATAAACAAAACGGATGTGTCCCATATGGAATTTTATTCTTAGTAGAGGAAATACATTAATTTTGTAAAAACAAATACATGGAATGGAATGTTATGGTTTGATTATGTTGCCTCAGTTTTGGCCCAGACCCCAAGATAAAGGTACTAACTAGTTCCAGTTCTAAAGTGAGATGGAAGATCATGAAGCAGATTTGAAAGGGAAGCTGGTTTTGTAATCTTTAGCTGACGAACTACTTCTAGCCTATAAAAGAAATTAGAGAAGCCCAGAGGTATTGTTAGGAATATCATGGGATTATCTGATGACGGATGTTGGGGTTGTGACTCCCCCCAGAAGGAGTGTGGGTGCTTTTCCCTCATTTAAAGGCTAGTGAGAGGAACTTTAATGGAATCACTCATGGAGCTTCATGTATGTGTCCTAGGGTTTGGGGTTCATGCAGCTGAATCATCCAGAGGATGACAGGCTGTGTCTGGAGCTGCCCTGTCAGGGCTTTTGATGAAGAGTGAGCTGGGTTTGGAAAATAGCAACATTCCCACCAATAGTGCTCAAGAAGCGTGCTACTGGTAGGCCAGATGAGGGCTTCTGGAGCAAGAGGAAGAGACAGATGGGATTGTCTTAAGAGTCTGCCTAAAAACATCATCTAGAGAGTTGAGAATACTTCAGTGGGAAGAAGAGGAGGTATACTCCCAGATTCCTAAGAGTAGAATGCTAGGAGAACATTCCAGAAGAGATATATTTGCATGTGTCACGGGAACTGCTGGTGTATGAACTTCAAAGAAAGACAAAAGTGTCCTCTAGAGGAAGTGTCAGCTTTAAACACTTGCCATGGTCAGAGAGCTTTAGAGGTAGATTTACAAAAGAGTATGAGTCAAATAAGACCTTTCTTTCACCTTGACTCTTATCAGCCTGGCCCTCCCTCAAGCTTTCAGTCTTAGGAAAGCCAAGTGTGAACTAGTAAGGGAGGAGGAATAGACAAGCTAAGCTGGAAACTAAAAAGACCAACCATGCTGCCTTTCTGGAGGAAAGGAGAAACTTTAAATGAAGTTAAGATATTTTAAAAATTCCCTGAACTGGACATATTATTAATTTCCGAATTCAGAATTCAGTGTCTGTATCTGTATCTATTTATCTTCTGGTTCCTAATAATACAAGGTATGTAATAGATGTGCCTCTGATGGGGAGATTTATTACTGGCCAAGTGTAACCCACATATCTCAGGAGGCTGCAAATTGCCTGAGATATTTCCACCCACCCTGTTCCATGCCTTGGTTTTAAAAATGAACTTCAGAGCAGCTTTGAGAAGAAAAGAACACTATTTTCTTATTCTGAATGTGTAAGAGTATGTGGTAGACAAAATCATGCTTGCCTTCCCACTCCCCAAAGATGTCCAGGTCTGAATCTTCAGGACCTGTCAAGATGTCAAGATGTTACCTTACATGGCAGAAAGGACTGTGTATATATTCCAGAGGAAGATTATTATTATATTCCTTCCCTTCCTCAGGAATATATGTATAGTCCCTACAAAATAGGGCTTAATAAATTGCATGCCAATCGTTAATAGTTTGCATACTATTTTTGCATAATTTTTTTATTCATTTACTCAGTATTTAATGAGTACCTTCTTGGTGCCCAGCACCTGAAGATATAAAAATGAGTAAGACAGATGCAGATGCAGATGAAGAAATTGAGGCTCTGAGAGGTTAAATGACTTGCCCAAGGTCCATATTTAGTGAGTGGTAGAGTCGGTTCTGGAATCCATGTGTTCTGATTCCAGATTCCATCCATTTTATCTTCCTCCTCATCAGTTAGTAAGAAGAGTTACCACTGCCGCATCAATATTAAATACTGATTGATCTAATGCATGTACCAAAATACTTTACACTCCATGAGGATACAAAAAGTCTGTCACTAACCTAAAATAAAATAGCAGACTAGACAAGGTAGAATGTCTAATCTCCCAGTTTTATTTTAGAATTTAAGATAGAATATGATAAATATTATAAAAGAATGGGAATAAAATGGCTTATTATCTGAAAGGCTAAAGAAAGAATATTTAGCTGGGATAGAAAATCAAGTAGAACCTCTTCCTTTATGGAGGGTGTGTCATTTGAACTGGTCTTGAAAGACGTCTTAGAGGAATTAACTTTCATATACTGGGACCGTTTTGGGTCTTTCTCATGGTCATATAATTTTGTGAGAGAGATTGTGGGTTCATTCTCAGCTTAGCATTCACCATGGCCTACTTTGCACCTGAAGTGTAGTTTTCATTTTCTTTCTTCAGAAGAAGATGGGGAGAAGTGGGAGCTGGGGTTGTTGAAGAAAATGGTTATGGGTGGGTAGGGAAGACAAGTAGAAAAAATGTTGTCTAATAATCTACAGGCATACCCTGAAGGTATTGTGGGTTCCATTCCAGACCCTTGCAATAAAGCAAATATAGCAATAAAATGAGTCACATACATTTTTTGGCTTTCCAGTACATATGAAAGGTAGGTTTACGCTATGCGATAGTCTGTTAACTGCACAATAGCATTATGTCTAAAAAACAATATGCATATCTTAATTTAAAAATACTTTATTGCTAAATAATATGAATGATCATATGAACCTACAGCAAGGTGTACTCTCTGCTGGTGTTGCCTTGATGTTGATGACTGCTGACTAATCAGGGTGGTGGTTGCAGAAGGCTGGGTTGGCTGTGGCAAGTACTTAAAAAAAACTTAGGCTGGGCACGGTGGCTCACACCTGTGTCCCCACCGAAATCTCATCTAGAATTGTAACACGCACAATTCCCATGTGTCATGGGAGGAACTCAGTGGGAGGTGATTGAATTACGGGGCTGGGTCCTTCCTGTGCTGTTCTCATGATAGTGAATGAGTCTCATGAGATCTGATGGTTTCAAAAAACATGAGTTTCCCTGCACAAACTCTGTCTGCCACCATCCATGTAAGATGTGACTTGCTCCTCCTTGCCTTTTACCTTCTGCCATGATTGTGAGGCCTCCCCAGCCATGTGGAACTGTAAGTCCAATAAACCTCTTTCTTTTGTAAATTGCCCAGTCTTGGGTATGCATTTATCAGCAGCATGAAAATGGACTAATACAATCTCTCATCTGTTGATGGACCCTTAGGTTGCTTCCAAATGGATCTTATGAATAGTGCTGCAATAACATGGGAGTGCAGATATCTCTTAGATTTACTTGTTTCCTTTCTTTTGGGTATATACCTAAGGAGTGGGATTGCTGGATCAAATGGTAGCTCTGTTTTTAGTTTTTTGAGGAACCTCCAAACTGTTCTCCATAGTGGTTGTACTAATTTACATTCCCACCAACAGTGTACAAGGGTTCCCTTTTCTCCACATCCTCTCCAGCATTTGTTATTGTCTAACTTTTGGATAGAAGCCATTTTAACTGGGGTGAGATAATAGCTCATTGTAGTTTTGATTTGCATTTCTCTGATGATCAGTGACGTTGAGCACCTTTTCAATACTCCTGTTTACCATTTGTATGTTTTCTTTGGAGAAATGTCTATTCAGATCTTTTGCCCATTTTAAATTGGATTATTAGATGTTTTTCCTATAGAGTTGTTTGAACTCATTATATATTCTGGCTCTGAATCCCTTGTCAAATGAGTAGTTTGCAAATATTTTCTCCCATTCTGTGGGTTGTCTCTTTGCTTTGTTGATTGTGTCCTTTGCTGTGCAGAAGCTTTTTAACTTGATGTGATCTCATTTGTCCATTTTTGCCTTGGTTGCCTGTGCCTGTGGGACATCACTTAATGTCCTAGAGAGTTTCTCTAATGTTTTCTCTTAGTAGTTTCATAGTTTGAGGTCTTAGATTTAAGTCCTGAGTTTATTTTGATTTGATTTTTGTGTATGGTAAGAAGTAGGAGTCTAGTTTCATTCTCTTGCATGTGGATATCCATTTCTCCAAGCACCATTTATTGAAGAGACTGCCTTTTCCCCAATGTATGTTCTTGGCACCTTTGTCAAAAATGAGTTCATTGTAGATGTATGAATTTATCTCTAGGTTCTCTCTTCTATTCCACTGGTCTACATGTCTCTTTTTATGCCAGTACCATGCCACTTTGGTTACTATAGCTCTGTAGTGTATAAGTCAGGTAATGTGATTCCTTCAGTTTTGTTTTTGCTTAGGATAGCTTTGGCTATTCTTTTATGGTTCCATATAAATTTTAGAATTGTTTTTTCTATTTCTGTGAAGACTATCATTGGTATTTTGATAGGGATTGCATTGAATCTGTAGATTGCATTGGGTAGTACAGACATTTTAACAATATTGATTCTTCCAATCCATAAACATGAAATCTCTTTCTATTTTTTGGTGTCTTCTTTAATTTTGTACATCACTGTTTTATAGTTTTCATTGTAGAGATCTTTCATTTCTTTCAAAAATTAATTCCTATTTTATCTTATTCATAGCTATTGTAAATAGGATTACTTTCTTGATTTCTTTTTCAGATTTTTCACTATTGACATATAAAAATGCTGCTGAGGCCAGGCACAGTGACTCACGCCTGTAATCCCAGCACTTTGGGAGGCCGAGGTGGGCGGATCACTTGAGGCCAGGCATTCGAGACCAGCCTGGCCAACATGGTGAAACCTCATCTCTACTAAAAATACAAAAATTAGCCAGGCGTGTTGGTGCACACCTGTAATCCCAGCTACTTGGTAGGCTGAGGCAGGAGAATTGCTTGAACCCAGGAGGTGGAGGTTGCAGTGAGCAGTGTTTGCACCACTGCACTCCAGCCTGGGTGATGGAGCAAGACTGTCCCCAAAAAAAAAAAAAAAAGATACTATTGATTTTTGTATGTTGATTTTGTATGCTGCAGCTTTACTGAATTTGTTTATCAGTCCTGATAACTTTTTGGTGGAGTCTTTAGGTTTTTCCAAATATAAGATCATATCATCTGCAAACAAGGATGATTTGACCTCTTCCTTTCCAACTTGGATGCCCTTTATTTCTTTCTCTTGTCTGATTGCTCTAACTATAACTTTTAGCACTTTGTTGAATAACAGTGATGACAGTGGGCATCCTTCTTGTTTTCAGATCTTAGGGGAAAGGCTTTCAGTTTTTCCCTATTCAGTGTGATACTAGCTGTGGGTCTATCATATATGGCTTTTATTATATTGAGATATGTTCCTTCTATACCCAGTTTTTTTGGGTTTTTATAACTAAGTGGTGTTGAATTTTATCAAATGTCTTTTAAGCATCAATTGAAATGATCATATTGTTTTTGTCCTTCATTCTGTTCATATGATGTATCATATTGATTGATTTGCATATGCTGAACCATGGTTGCATCCCTGGGTTAAATCCCACTTGGTCATGATGAATGATCTTTTTAATGTGCTGTTGAATTTGGTTTGCTAGCATTTTGTTGAGATTTTTGCATCAATATGTATCAGTGATACTGGCCTATTGTTTTCTATTTTTGATGTGTCTTTGTCTGGTTTTGATGTCAGTGTAATATTGGCCTCATAGAATACATTTGGAAGTAATCTCTCCTCTATTTTTCCACATAGTTTGAGTAGGATTGGTATTAGTTCTTCTTTAAATGTTTGTTAGAATTCAGCAGTGAAGCCTTTGGGTCCTGGCATTTTCTTTGATGGGAGACTATTATGGCTTCATTCTCATAACTTATTATTGGTATGTTCAGGTTTTGAATTTCTTCGTGGTTCAATCTTGATAGGTTGTATGTGTCTGGGAATTTATCCATTTCTTCCAGATTTTCCAATTTAATTCCTTTGGTATTAGTTACAGTGCCTCCTTTTTCATCTCCAATTTTATTTATTTGGGTCTTCTCTCTTTTTTTCTTAGTGTGGCTAAAGGTTTGTCACTCTTGTTTATCTTTTTAAAAAACCAAGTTTTTGTTTCATTGATCTTTTGTATTGTTTCATTCATTTCAATTTCATGTATTTCTGCTTTTTTTTTTTTTTTTTTTTTTTTTTTTTTTTGAGACGGAGTTTTGCTCTTCTTGCCCAGGCTGGAGTGCAATGGCATGATCTTGGTTCACTGCAACCTCCGCCTCTCAGGTACAATCGATTCTCCTGTCTCAGCCTCCCAAGTAGCTCAGATTACAGGCATGTGCCACCATGCCCAGCTAATTTTTTTGTATTTAGTAGAGACGGGGTTTCACCATGTTAGTCAGGCTGGTCGCAAACTCCTGACCTCAGGTGATCCACCCGCCTCGGCCTCCCAAAGTGCTGGGATTTTAGGCGTGTGCCACTGAGCCCAGCCTCTGCTCTGATCTTTATTGTTTCTTTCTTCTATTAATTTTTGGTTTGGTTTGTTGTTGCCTTTCTAGTTCTTTAAGGTGTATCATTAGGTGGTTTTTTTGAATTTTTTTTTCTTTTTCAATGTAAACATGTATAGTTATAAACTTCCTTCTTAGTTCTGCTTTTGCTGTATTTCTTAGGTTTTGGTATGCTATGTTGCCATTAGCATTTGTTTCATCAAATTTCTAAATTTTCTTCTTACTTTCTTCATTGACCCACTGGTCATTCAGTAGCATGTTGCTTAATTTCCATGTGTTTGAACAGTGTCCGAAGTTCCTCTCGTTATTCATTTGTAGTTTTATTTCATTGTGGTCAGAGAAGATGCTTGATATTATTTCAGTTTTTTGAATGTTTTAAGACTTATTTTGTGAACTAACACATGGTCCTTCCTTGAGAATGATCCATATGCTGAAGAAAAGAATGTCTATTCTGCAGTCGTTGCATGAAATGTTCTGTAAATCTCTATTAGCTCCATTTGTTCTATAGTGCAGATTAAGTACAATGTTTCTTTGTTGATTTCGTCTGGAAGATCTGTTCAGTACTTAAAATAGGATATTGAAGTCTCCAGCTATTATTGTATTGGAGTCTAACTCTTTAGCTCTGATATTTACTTTATATATCTGGGTGCCCCATTATTGGGTGCATATGTATTTACAATTGTTATATCCTCTTGCTGAATTGCCCCCTTTCTTATTACGTAGTGACCTTCTTTGTCTCTTCTGATAGTTTTTGTCTTGACATCTATTTTGTTTAAGTATAGCTACCTCGGTCTAGGATTATAGGCATGAGCCATGCACTGCACATGGCCAGCTCATTCTTTTCAAAAGTTAATATTCTTTTTTTTTTTTCGAGTTGGAGTCTTGCCCTGTCACCCAGGCCAGAGTGCAATGGTGCAATCTTGGCTCATTACAGCCTGGAACTCTTGGGCTCAAGCGATCCTTCTGGCTAAGCCTCCCTGGTAGGTGGGACTACAGGCACATACCACCACACCCGACTATAAAAGTTAATATTCTATAGCATGAATATACTACAATATATTCAGTCATTATTTTGATGGACATGCATACCCTTCCTTTCTTCTTTCCTTCCTTCCTCTCTTTCTCCCTTTCTTCCTTCAGACAAAGTTGAAAGAAACAGTGGTATATATATGTTTTTGGCACTGGTGCTTTTATTTGTAAAGAATAAATTTCTCAAAAATGTATTTTTGTATCCAAGATTTCTGCTAAATTGTATATGCACTTTTAATGTTAATAGATATTGCCTGATTAGTTTCCAGAAGAGGTTGCAGCAATTCATATTCCAACCAGTGATGCATGAGGGTGTCCATTACTCTGCATCTTCATCAATAATGAATAGCATTGCTTAACATTTTTTTTGTCAGTTTTATGAGTGAACACTTTCAAATAAAGACCACTTTCCTGGAGGAAGCAGTTTTTTCCTTTCCAGTCTTTTCAGGTCTGGATGGGGGCACTTCTTTTGTAAGATATTGAAGGAATATTAAACTTCTTTCTGAGGAGGAACCTTGATCTTCTTCCTTTTTCCTTTGTAGTGGAACAGTTGGAAGTAATATATATTTACATTTTAGGTTCAGAGAATAATTGATCAATCATTTTGTGTTCCAATGTATCCAGGTTGGCTTCTTCCAGTAAGATTCACCAGCTAATAGTCATGTTGTGTAAGGATTAATGGCTAATCTCTTTAGGAATTGATTGGAATGGACCAGTTTAACTTTTTATCCTTGTATCATGAATTTGGCTTCAGATTCTCAGGAGAGAGGGAGCATCTTCAGAATGTTTTGAGTTATGAGATTATTTCCTGGTCATGGAGGATGGGGACACTGATTAACAGTGACATTTAGACAACATAAAATGGGGGTTAGGATGGCTCCTCAAGGCAATATCAGAGTGCAGTAACCAACAAGGTGGGGAAATGATATTGGGGAGGCCAAAGCAAGTTGCTCAAACCTAAGATGACAGAAATAAAATTAAAAGTAAACTTCTACCTCTGACCATGACAGAGCTACAGGGTTATGGTTTTTCATCTCATGATTAAAAAACTAGAAATCTGGAAAGAAAAAACAATGAAAACCCTGCTTTGAGGCATTGTCCAACAGGCAGTCCCAGACTGTAATCCCTGTGAGAAGGAGAAAAAAACTAGGTGAATCCTACAGTTGTCCAGTTCCATTTTCCTGGAGGCAATTTTCATATAACATTGCAGAGCCTGGTGATTTTGCTGAATTGAGGAGACAGAGGTTGGAGTTCTTGGAGGTGGAAGGTGTTAGAACTTGTGGGGAAGATTATAAAAAATGGGAGGGCCTTACACAGAAGCACCAACCTAATACAAATTCTTCCAGAAAACAAGAAAAGTGGGAGCTTTTTTTTTTTTTTTTAAGATGGAGTCTCACTCTGCCGCCCAAGCTGGAGTGCAATGGCATGATCTTGGCTCACTGCAACCTCCGCCTCCTGGGTTCAAGCAATTTTCCTGCCTCAGCCTCCTGAGTAGCTGGGATTACAGGCACATGCCATCACATCTGGCTAATTTTGTGTATTTTTAGTAGAGATGGGGTTTTGCCATGTTGGCCAGGCTGGTCTTGAATTCCTGACCTCAGGTGATCTGCCCGCCTTGGCCTCCCAAAGTGCTAGGGTTACAGGCGTGAGCCCCCGTGCCCGGTGAGCACTTGTTTCATGAGGCTAGAATTCTCTTGAAACCAAAACTAGCCATAGATGTTATGAGAAAAGGAAACTATAGGTTAATCTCTCTCATGAACAAAGATAAAAAATTCTGAACAAAATACTGGCAAACTTCATCCAGTGACCTATGAGAAGATAATGTGTGAGAATTAAGTTGGATTTATTCCTGAAATGAAATATTTGTTTAACACTGGAAACAATCAATCAATGTAATGTACTACATTAAAAGATTAAAGCAGAAAAAATATCATATGATCATCTCAATAGATGTGGCAAACCATTTGATAAAAGTCAACATATATTCATGATAAAAACATTCAACAAATTAATAATATAAGAGAATATCCTCAACCTGATAAAAGGTTTCTACAGAAAAGCAATAGGAAAATCATTCTTAATTGGTGACATTTTGAAAGCTTTATCTTTGGAATTGGAAAAAGGACAAGGATGCCTACTCTAGTTTTCTTCAATGTTGCACTGGAAGTCCTAGCCAGTGCAAGATGGTAAGAAAAGAAATAAGAGAAATACAAATTGGAAATGAGTAAATAAACTGTCACTATTTGCTGGTAACTTGATTGTGTATATATAGAAAAATTTAAAAGAAGGTATAGATATATTATTAGCATTAATAAATTAGCAAGTTTGTAGGATACAAGGTCACTAAACAAAAAACAGATGTAGTTCTGTATGTCAGCCACATACAGTTGTAAAATGAAATATAAAAAGCAACCATTTACAGTGGCATCAAAAATTTTGAGTATTCTTGGAATAAATCTATGAAAAGATATACTATACTTCTATGGAGAACATTCTTGAAGGAAATTAAAGAAGCCCCAAATAAAGGGAGAAATTAGATTCATAGACTGCAAAACTTAATGTTGTAAAGATATCATTCTTTTCAAATTATCTCCTCAATTTATCTGTAGATTTAAAAAAATCCCAAACAAAATTCCATTTTTTCTGTGTTTCCTGCATTTGTTTAGAGTCTTAAGCTGATTCTAAACTTTATTTGAAAATTAAAAGATCAATAATAGCTAAAACACTTCTGAAGAAAAGCAGCAATATGGCAGGATTCCATATATCAAGACTTTTTCCTAAAGCTGCAGTAATTACAACAGTGGTATCAGCACAAAAATATATAACTGATTGACACAAAAAAATAGAGTCCAGAAAGAGAGCCAAGATATGAACACTTGATTAGACAAAGGTGCCATTGCACAGTAGCAGATTAAGGATAGTCTTTTCAATAAAATGTATGGGACAAGTGGATATACATATGATAAAAAGAAACAAAGAAAGAAAAGGAAAAAAAAAGGAAAAGAAACTTGACTTTTATCTCATATCACAGCCAGACATCAATTCCACGTGGGTTGTAGGCATGAAGGTGCATGGCAAACAGTGAAGCTTTATTAGATAAAATAGAAGCATATTATCCTGACTTTGGGTAGGGAAAGATTTTTTAAAGCAGAAATAAAAGGCACTAACTGTATAGAAAATGGTTGACAAATTTGACAATAAAATTAAGATCTTCTCTTCATCAAAAGACAAACTGAAGGGCGTACAAAGGTAGGCTACAGAATGGTAGAAAGTATTTGTAACATATGTAACTGACAAAAGCCTTGTATCTATAATTTCTTTTTTTGAGACAGAGTCTTGCTGTGTTGCCCAGGCTGGTCTTCAACTTCTGGCCTCAAGTAATCCTCCCACCTGGGCCTCCCAAATTGCTGAGATTACAGGTGTGAGTTACAGTGCCCTGCCAAGGCCTGTATCTAGATGACATGAAGTATTCCTTCATATTAATTAAAAAAAGACGATTTATATAAAATGATCAATGACTTAAGCAGGAACTTCACAAAGAGGATATCCAAATGTGCAATAAATGCATGAGAAATGCTCAACTCAGTAATCAGTGAATTGCAAACTAAAAGAAGCTGCTACACAATTAGCTGAATGGCTTATATTAAAGAGATGGCACTCTCACATATGAGCAAAGATGTAGAACAACTGGTAGAAGGGTAAATTGGCACAACAATTTGGAAAACAGTTTATCATGATACAGTAAAGTTGAAGATGAGGCAGTCCTGTGACCATCAGTTTCATTTCTAAGTATGTACTCGACTGAAATATATCCACATATGCAATGGGAGACATGAATCTTAATGTATATAGTAGCATTACATTTGGTAATTTCAAATTGAACTAACTCAAATGTGTGTCACCAAGAAGTGACAAAGAAGTCTTTGATATTTGTACAAAGGACTACTGTACAGTAATGAAATGTAACAAATGACAGCTTCATATAACAACATGATGAATTTCAGAAACAATGTTGAAGGACAGAAGCAAGACCAAAAGAACATATACCGTGTGCTTTTATTTATTTAATGTTAAAAAATAAGCAAAACTAAAGTGTAGTGTTTAGGGATACATACTTATGGGAAGGGTACAGGTGATTAAAAAAGAAATGAACACTTAAAAATTTATTACACATTAATTATATGTTATATATGGACATGTAGTTTGTATCAAATTACAGATTTCCCCTCATATTTCTCAATATTTATGCAATGACTCTTCAGTCCATTCTTTTTTATGGGGAACTTAGTGACAGGGGTCACATATTCAAACAAGCTAAAGAAGTGTTTTTTTTCTGCCCATAGCCAACAGGAGTTCTCAGATACATTTTCTACTTCATTTTCATCACATATCCCTTCAGTTCCTTAATCGGCATCTTCTCTGACACAGGACTGTTAATTCGGTTTGAAATATTGACTGTGGATGAGTGATTACCCAAATCTCTTGGGATGTCTTGATAACTCTGTGTTTATAACACCTAATATGTTCGTGAAGAAATGAAGGACTGCATTTGGACTGTCATTGGTGATAGGTTACAAAGGATTTGGGCTAAAGTAGACCTCAGGATTGATATATGCCTTGGGGATAGTATGGAACATTAGTAAAATTATAAAAATAATTGTGATAATTCCTTTAAAAATTGTTTGTTTGGGTCACCATTCTGAAGACTGGGAATTCCAAGATTGAGAGCACATCTGGTGAGAGCCTCTTGCTGCATCATAACATGGCAGAGGCATCTTGTGGTGAGAGAGTTGGTATGAGAGAGGGCAAGAGCCAGTGAGACAGAGAGGAAAATGGGGGATGAATAATTTATCCTTTTAGCAGGATCCCAGTTGTGTGATAAACTGACCCACTTACACAATAACAGCAATACTCTATTCTCTAATTGCTGCTCAAAGATCCTGCATGTCAACACTGTTTCATTAGCAGTTAAATTCCAACAAAAGTTTGGAGGGGACATTCAAATCATAGCAGTAGGATTCAGTAAATGGTTCTTGAATTAATCTAAGACTTAGTCATTAAAATAAGGCTCATTTCAGAAGCTGGTCCTTATATTTGATGACATCTATTAATATTTTATTGAGACTAAAGGTTACAGTTCTCCATAATTAATGTAGGAAATAGGATTCCCTTCTTTATGAAATTGAGCCAAATGACATAGGCTTATTTTCAAAATTTTTAGCTGTCAAGAGAAATTTAGAAATAAAGACATTAAAGTATTACATAAGTATTCTTGCCATTTTTCTAGGTGAAATTACACCTCAGAAACACAGTCAAGTGAACAATGAATATGCAAACTTTTCTAGGTAGACTGGATAGAATCTTTTATTTCAGCATTTTCCTTAGAATATTCTTTTTATAGGAACAATAAAATTGAAGCAATTTTTAAAAAGCCATACCATTATTAGAAATTCAAGTATTCTTTTCCTTCTGGCTGTGTGATTGGATATTTCCCACCCCCCTAGAAAGTATTTGCTAACTGGCTTTCTTCAATTCTTGATTTCTTTTAAATCTCAATCCTTGGTTCTCTGCTATTCTGTATGTATGCTATTTTATTTGGGGAGTTACTATTGTCCCCTAACCTCAAATATTACTCTTATGATTATAATTTCCAGGTTCTACCTCCCATTCAAACTCCATTCCAATTTTGTCAGGTTTTTTTTTTTAGGACATCTGTATCTTCCACCAAACATTCAAGCTCAGTGTCTTCTACACAGAATTCCTAGTACCCATGAATAACTACTTTCAAACTCCCAGTTTCTGCCAGTATTCTTGCTATGTTCTGAGGTGGAAATAAAAGCTATTTGTCTGCGACAGCTATTATCCCATTCATCATCAGGTTTCATTTGCCTTATTTAGCTAAGCATTTATGCCCACTGATGTTTCACACACATTGTAATAAAAAATAATGATACTTAACATTATTCAGTTTTTCATATGTGCCAGCATCTAAGAGCTGTACATTCTTAACTGATTTTATCCTTGCATCAACACAGGTTTTTAATTTTTGCTTCATGCAATTGTCTTTTATTTTATTTTATTTTATTTTATTTTATTTTATTTTATTTTATTTTATTTTATTTTATCTTATTTATTTTTTTTGAGACATAGTCCTGCTCTGTCACCCAGGCTAGAGTGCAGTGGTGCGATCTCGGCTCACTGCAACCTCCGCCTCCCAGGTTCAAGCGATTCTCCTGCCTCAGCCTCCTGAGTAGCTGGGATTACAGGCACCCGCCACTGCACCCAGCTAATTTTTGTATTTTTAGTAGAGATGGGATTTCACCATCTTGGCCATGCTGGCCTTGAGCTCCTGACCATGATCCACCCTCCTCAGCCTCCCAAAGTGCTGGGATTACAGGCGTGAGCCACTGCACCCGGCCATTTTATGTTTTTATTATTTTTAGAGATAGGGTCTCATTCTGTCACCCAGGCTGGAGTATAGTGGCATGATCATAGCTCACTGCAGTGTTGAACTCTTGAGCTCAAGCAATCCTTTCACCTCAGTATCCTGAGTAGCTTGGACTGCAGGCATGTGCCACCATGCCTGGCTAATTTTTAATTTTTTTTGTAGAGATAAGGTCTCACTGTTTTGCCTAGGTTGGTCTCCAACTCCTGGCCTCAAGCAACCCTTCTGTCTTGGCCTCCCAAAGCATTGGGCTTACAGACATGAGCCACTTCACCTGGCCTGTCTTTTAAATTATATAGAAAAGAAAGAGTTACAAACAAAAAACACATTTTTATTGTCTTTTATATTTATCTATGTAATTACCTTTTCTGTGCTTTTTATTTCTCCTTGTCGATTTCAGTTACTCTCTAGGGTTCTTTTATTTAATTCTGAAGGACACTCTTTAATATTTATTTTAGTATGGTCACTAGTAAGGAATTCTTTAGGTTTTTGTTTATCTGGAAATGTTTTATATTTGCCTTCATTTTTAAAGATAGTTGTATTAGTTTGTTCTCAGACTGCTATAAAAAACTATTGTAGACTAGGTAATTTATGAAGAAAAGAAGTTTAATTGACTCACAGTTCCATAAGCTGTACAGGAAGCATGGCTGGGAGGCCTCAGGAAACTCACAGTCATGACAAAAGGCAAAAGGGGAACAAGCACATCTTACCATGGTGGAGCAGGAGAGAGAGCAAAGAGGGAAATGTTACATGCCAGATCTAATGAGAACTCACTATCATGAGAAAAGCAAGGGGGAAATCCATCTCCATGATCCCATCACCATCCACCAGGTGATGGGGAGGGCCCCCAACATTAAGGATTGCAGTTCAACATGAGATTTGGGTGGGGACATGGAGCCAAACCATATCAATAGTTTTGCTGGCTATAGAATTTATTAGTGTTTTTTTTGTTTGTTTTTTGTTTTTTTCCTCTTAGTACTTTGAATATGTCATCCCACCATTTCTGGTCTCTACAATTTCTGATGAGAAATCAGCTGTTGATCTTATTGAGTATCATATATACATGGTGGTTTGTTTCTTTTTTTTGGGCTTTCAACCTTTTTTTCTTTGTTTTTTGACAGTTTGAATATCTAGGCATGGATATCTTTGAATTTATTCTACTTGGAGTTTGAGGATGTGAAGATTAATGTTTTGTCTCCATTTGGGGAAATTATTGGCAAATATTTCTTCAGATATTCTTTCTGTACCTTTCTCTTGCTCCTCTCCTTCTAGGACTCTTATTATGCATATGTTTGCATGCTTGATGTCTCATATGTCTGAGGCGCTGTTCATTTTTCTTCATTCTTTCTTTTTTTGTGTTACACAGACTAGACACTCTCAATCGACCTGTTTTCAAGTTCATTCATTTTTTTTTTCTGTCTGCTGAAATCTTCTGTTGAGATTGTCTTGTGGATTTTTCCTTTCAGTTTTTGTTATTTTCAACTCCAGAATTTTTCTCTTTGTTTTTTTTTTTAAAAGTCTATCTCTTTAAAATGTCTATTTCTAGAACCAATAAGTTGATATTTTCTATTTAGTGAGACATGATTCTCATACTTTCCTTTAATCCTTTAGATATGATTTAGTTCTTTGAATATATTTAAAATAGATTATTGAAGTCTTTGTATAGTGAGTCCAGTATCTGGGATTTCTTAGAGTCAGTTTCTGTTGATTGCTTGTTTTCCTTACGTATGGCCCATACTTTCTTATTTTTTTACTGTTCTTATAGTCTTTTTATTGTTCTTGTTGAAAGCTAGACATTTTAAGTAGTATAGTAGTTCTGGAAGTCAGATTTTCTTCCCCCACCTCAGGGTTTCTTGTTGCTACTGTTTGTTTTAGTGTGTTTGTTTAGTGACTCTTCTCAATTATTGCTGTAACATCTATATTCTATGTGGCTATTGAAGTCTCTGCTTGGTTAGCTTAGTGGTCAGCTAATTATTGGATGAAGACTTTCTTGATTGCCTAGAACCAATAAATCTCCCAGTCTTTGCAAAGGGCATGTGTGTGTATGTGTGTGTGTGTGTGTGTGTGTGTGTGTGTTGTGGCATGCTTTCAACTCTCAGCCAAGCAACTGACAGCTCTGTCTTGGCCCTCACTTTCTGCTTATGCAATTCCTCAAGCCAGATGTGAGAGCTTAGGGCCTTCTCAGATTTTCTTATCATGTTGTCAGTCACCACTGAGTATGGGCACAGGCATATATATGTGTGTGGTCATCTAGGTTCCTAGGAATATTTCAAAACATTTCAAAAAGCCTAGGACATCTTGTTTTCTATTGTTTCCCTTTAAGCTTTTTGCTTAGTCCATTGTTTGTCCTGTTTTCCACCTCATCAGGCAGTTATGAATTTATTTGTTTATTTTTTATTTTATTTTTAGAAGCCAGTCAAATTTAGCAGCAGGTGGTTATATACCAACTTTAGTGACACTAATGTTAATAAGTTCTGATAACCCACTACCATCCGACAAGCCAGGTATGAATTTAAACAGTTGACTTATTTGTTTTTGACAAATGCCCTGGGTAAAGCCCTTTTGAATTGTCACTTTGGAAAACTCCCTGTCAGGTAACATTCAGACAACTTATCTGAATTTCTGGAAGTGAGATCTTCCAGGGAACTACCAGACAGATTGAATAATGGCAATTCCTTTAGGAATAGGGCTTTAAAGAAACCCCAACTTGATCCTGTCCTCTCCAGTGGTTTCCAGCTTCTAATTTTCACTGCAAATGCAGTCTGTTAATTTCCAAGGCTGTAGTGTTTCTGGAGAGTGGGGGATGGGGCTAGGGAAAATTAAAATGCTACAACCTGGGCCCTATGGTTCCTGCCTGTAATCCTAGCTACTTGGGAGGCTGAGGCAAGAGGATTGCTTGAACCCAGGAGTTTGAGATGAGCCTGGGCAACATAGTGAGATTCTGTTTCAAAAAGGAAAAACAGATCCTTGATCATAGCTGAGAGTGTCCCCTAATTCCATTCTCATCCTTAGAACAATGGTTGGAGTCATTTTTTTTTTTTTTTGGCCAGGTATGGTGGTGTGCACCTGGAATTCCAGCTACTTGGGAGACTGAAGCAGAAGGATCACTTGAGGCCAGGAGTTTGAGACCAGCCTGGACAACATAGTGAGATTCCTGTCTCAAAATTTTAAAAAACCCACAAAATTTTGTTCTTAACAAGATGCAGCCATTTTTGTTGAGTGAATAAATGATGTCTGAATTGCTGCAAGCCCTTAGTCAATTTCAAGTTCTGACATGTTGATTTTGACAAATTTTGCCAGTTTTCTCTTTCCTTTTATGGAGAATTTCAGAGGTCCCTACTCCACCATTTTCAATGATGTCTTCTCCATAATTATTAAGAGCTTGGTTGTGTAGTAGTACTTCACTAGAAAAAAAGTCTGGCTGTTCTGTTTTACAAGATATAGGTATATTGAAGCATAAGAGTTTATGTGTGTGTGCCACAAGGGTCTTGTGATTTGGTAATACCTACAGGATAGGGATAAGCCAGCCAGGTGGGATGTTGCCCTGGGCACAAGACTGAGTGTGACTAGGAGGATAATAAGCCAAGGAAAGTTGAAGTAAGGCATTCAGGATAGAGAAGAGGCAACATTATAGAGAAGAAACAAGTTTGGAGCTTTGATTATAATATTGTGCTAAATTTGGAAGGGCACAATGTAGGCAGAAACAGAAGACTATATAGAGGAATTGAGAGAGCACAATCACATTAACAGGCCCAGGCAATTGGTTCAGGACAGACTATGAGGAGCACACTGGTCCAGAGAACTCTGTTTATCTGATGTCCATTGCATTTTCCTGGGACAGTGTGGGGCAGGCATTGCAGCTTATCAGAGTTGCTTCAGGCTAGCCATTTGTATTTTGATTGTCAAGGCAAACCCCATGATGAAGGATTAAATAATGCCAAGACAGTTTAGGATTTTCCTGAATGTTGTAATCTACAAACACAGAAGGGTTTTAGAGAAGAAGAAAGTCTGTAACAGCTGCAGTATCCAGGAAGGTCTTTATGTAGGAGGAAAAACTGCTCTTTGAATAATATGTAGGGTTTAGCTAGGCAAGAGGTTAAAGGACTGTGGCATGTACCCACAGACAGGAGGGAAGAAATGAGTATGAAATGGAATGGTGTGTGTTGGGGTAAACATGGTGTATTAGTCCATTCTCATGCTGCTATAAAGATACTACCTGAGACTGTGTAATTTATAAACAAAGGAGGTTTAATTGACTCACAGTTCTGCATGGCTGGGGAGGCCTCAGGAAACTTACAATCACAGCAGAAGGGGAAGCAAACACCTTCTTCACAAGGTGGCAGGAGGGAGTGTGAGCATGTGAAGGAGGAACTGTCAAACACTTATAAAATCATCAGATCTTGTGAGAACTCACTCACTATAATGAGTAAGTACAGCATGAGGAAGACTGCCCCCATGACCCAAACACCTCCCTCCCTCTACATGTGGGGATTACAGGCCCCTCCCTCAACCCGTGGGGATTACAATTTGAGATGAGATTTGGGTGGGGACACAGCCAAACCATATCACATGGGAACTCATTTTGGTCACATCAAATTTCTTGTTGAAATATAATTTGGGAATAAGAAAATTTTTAAATAGGAATTCCGCCGAGCACAATTATGTAAGACTACCAGGGAATCAAAAAGACATAACTGAAATGATTGCTGGGCACTATTGAAGATACACAGCATTAATTAATGGTAGGTCAGTTCTTACAGTCATTCTTTTTTTCCACCCATTTTTCTTCTATTCTTCCCATACTATTTTTGAGGAGAAAAGAGGCTTAATTTTATTAGATCCTTAATATGTGCCAGGCACTGTGCCAAGCACTTTATATGTGGATTTCATTTAATCCTCTCATCTGACCTTTGGAGGTTGCCATCAATAATCCAATTTGATAGATACAGAGATTTGGTATTTTATTAATAGCTGGTCCCTTTCCTTGTCATGGAACCAAAATTCACCACAAGTAGTAGAGGGTTTATTGTGAGGGAAGTTCAGATGTTAGTTGGGGCTCTTCCTTTGCATTGCCAATCTCCTATGTGCAGATTTCCTGCATATATACATGTGTGTGTATAGAAAACAGGATATTCATTAAGCAGCTATCCTTAATGGTTATCTGGGAAAAGCTTAATTACTAGGCCACAGGATTAATGGGACCCATGACCGCCTGAGATAGAACCTGGAACGGAAAGGTCTTTCATAGTCCTGGGAGTTTTAGGGACTTTAGAAGCAGAGTCAATGGATCTGCATGTTATCCATCATTGACCCAACTCAGGTATCCCTATTTGCCATTGATATATCTGTGTTCTCCTCTTCCTATGACCAACTGGCTGATTCTTCTACTTTTTTGTTTATATTTGTGAGAGAGAATGTTTTTGGGAGAAATATTTTATGCTCCTTTAGCGGGGGCTGTTTTGGGATGGTTTACCTGAGAAGAAACTAAGGGAGTATCATGCATGGTATTTGAGAGGTTTAATACTTAGAAAAATTTAACATGTCCCAAGTCAATCAATGGCAGAGTCAAGAAATGAATAACAGTTTATCTCAAAGGTTCTATTCTTTTTACTCTTCTTGTGGGCATGACTTTGTTTTAAGGTTGATGTGGGTTATGTAGTTGACCCCCATCCCCGAAGAGCTGACAGTAGTAGTTAAATATGGTATAAATTAGCAGATAAGTGCCACATGAATGGTTCAGGAAAGCATCCTGGGAGTTCAGATGAAGGGGAAAATTCCTCTGAGTGAATTAATTAGAGAAGAATTCATGGATAAAGTAGTAATTGAGCAGAATAAAGACAGCCTTTTAAGGCAGAAATGTAGGGAAGGGATGACGTGAATAAAGGCTTAATGACGAGGAAGGCACAAGGATAAGTTTGATTACAGCACAGGGCACTGGGGTCTACGGTGCATATCGCTTTAGGGTGCTTACTCTAAATCATGCTGGGAGCAGAATGAAGAAAAGCTGAGAGTGGAGTGAGAGCAGTACCCAGGAAACCATCATGGAAGGGATTTCAATGATTCGGATGTGAGATCAAGAAGAAATGAATTAGTGTTATGGCAAAAAATATGGAAAGAAAGAAATGAATTCAGGGATGATTCTGAAAGAGACAAGACAGGACTTGAAGCCTGATTAGATGATACGGATGAAGCAGATGGGAGAATAAGACAACATTGAGAATTCAAGTCTGGATAACAGTGATAGTGAGAATGATACCTTCATTATGAGAAATAAAATCAGGAAGAGGTGTTGATGGGGATAGGAAAATAGTGCATGGTTTATGTATGCTGAGTTTAAGGTATTAGTGGGGCATCCAGATATAGACATCTATTAAACAGTTAAAAATGTGAGCTTGAATCTTGGCAGAGTGGTTGGGACAAAAATTTTTTTAAAAAGTTGATAATCTTCAACATGTAAATTGTTGTCGAAGCACAGGAGTAGATAAAATTTCCAAAGAGAGACAGATCTTAGAAAAAAGATGAAAATTCCAAGGGCAAAGCTTTGATAAACAACTCACAGTTTTTGAGGGGTAGGATACAAAAGATGAAGAACTAGGCAGATACTACTTGCCCAAGGTGGCAGCATGTACATGTTTTGAGCCTTTAACTCACAGTAATGATAGATAAATCATCACTGAGCTCAAAACAAGGTAAATATCAATTTGTACCAGAAACTGAACAGAAATGCAAATTTATGAGTAGGGTTGATGCCACAAGCCTCTGGACTCCAGGCTGAAAGCAGACAACGCATTTCAGGTTTGAGTAGTGCTCTTTGTAAGACAGGAACTAGAGCCACATTTACTGCTTGAAGTCTCCTGCTAGCCCCAGCCCCACTCCACCTCAAGAAAAGAGTCTGAAGAAAATTGTTGTTGGCTCCTTCTTGGGATACCTACAGCTTAGAACATGCTGTCAGCCTAGAGATTCAGATAGCTATAGGTACAGCCTTGAGACTCAGACTGAATCAAATTGCCCAATGTCTTGTGACTGGATTAGTGATATCTCTATTTGACATCCTTATCTGCTAGTATATAAGGTCTAGTTCTGGACTGGTTGTCCAGAGAGTTAGGTAGAAACAAACAGACAAACCACAAACTGTTAGAAAGGGAAGAGTGAGCATAAGGGAATAGAAGAGAGAGAAAATGAAATAAGAACAAAAGCCTCTCACACAGGACGTATCCAATTCAAGATTCCACAATGTAATGTAATGGTAAGAAATACAGCATAGGCCGGGTATGGTGGCTCATGCCTGTAATCCCAGCACTTTGGGAGGCCAACGTGGGCGGATCACCAGAGGTCAGGAGTTTGAGATCAGCCTAGCCAGCATGGTGAAACCCCATCTCCACTAAAAATACAAAAATTAGCTGGGTGTGGTAGTGGATGCCTGTATCCCAGCTACTTGGGAGGCTGAGGCAGGAGAATTGCTTGAACCCAAGATGCGGAGATTGCACTGAGCTGAGATTGCACCACTGCATTCCAGCCTGAGTGACAGAGTGAGACTCTGTCTCAAAAAAAAAAAAAAAAAAGAAAAGAAAAGAAAAAAAAAACCAGCTTAAAAAAATTATGAGACTGTGAATGCACTGTAAATAAAATTATTTTTATGAAACAAACTGTCAAAAACCCTAAAACTAAAGTATATTTGGTATTGAATGAAGGAATAAAATGCATAAGGAGGAAAAAATTATAAACAAAAAAGCAGATATGAACTGAGAAGAGGTAGATATGAAAAAATATAATTAAATATATGAAAATGAAATATATACACCATTGAAATGAAACATTAATTGGGATACACACGGGATTGGACACAAAGACAATCAGTGAATTGAGAGCTAGTTCTGAGGAATTCACTCAGAATGTGTCATGAGAGGTGAGGAGATAAGAAATATGAACAAGCAAGTAAGAGATATAGATAGAATTAGAGGTTCTGAAATATTAATATCAAATAGAAGTTCCAGAAGAAAAGGGAGGAGACAGTAGAGAAGAAATATGTGAGAGTGTGAACCAAAAGTAGACTCGTATACTTGTGGTTCCCACTGGCAGATATTTCTTCTCTGCTGTCTCTGCTGAGCAATTTACAAAGTTTGTTTTGCCAAGGTTAAGGACATACCCATGACACAGCCTCAAGAGGTCCTGATGACGTGTGTCCAAGGTGGTTGAGGCACAGCTTGGTTTTATATATGTTAGGTAGACATGAGACATCAATTAATATGTGTAAGATGTACATTGGTTCTGTCTAGAAAGTCACGACAACTCAAAATGGCAGGTGGGAGTGGGGCTTCCAGGTCATAAATAGGTAGGAGACAAATGGTTGCATTCTCTTGAGTCTTTGGTCAGCCTTTCACTGAGTAGTCAATTTACATGTGAGAGGGGGGTAGAGGAATAGTCACTTATGCCTTAGTCTGGCTCAGCGAATCTGCATTTTTACATAAACAATAGGACAGAGGAAGCAATCAGATATGCATTTTTCTCGTGTAAGCAGAGGGATGACTTTGAGTTCTGTCCTTTGTCCTGCAGCTGTGAAGATAAGCTATGAATTTACATTGCCAAGGTGAAATTCAGCAGGACTGTTTTAGGGTAAAGATCTTTAGGTCCACAAGGAATTTCTCTGTGGGAAAATTGCGAGGGAAGTAGACAGCTTTTTTATCTTTGCAGCCATCTCATTTAGGAATAAAATGGGAGGCAGGTTTGCCTGATGCAGTTCCCTGCTTAACTTTCCCTTTAGCTTAGTGATTTTGGGGTCCTGAGATTTATTTTCTTTTCACAAGAGATATTGACAGTTTTTCAGCATTACAAAAGCCATGAGTCCTCAGATAGAAAGTGCGTTTCCAACAGCAAACAGCATAAAATAAATCTACATGAGGACACATCATAGTGGATTTGCAGAACACTGATGATCAATACAGTGTTCTAATGCTACAGAGAGGGAAAAAGCGGATTAAAAAAATTTTTTTTTATCAACCACAAGAAGAAGCACCAAAAAATTAGATTATTTTATAAAAAGGCAATTGGAGTGACAGGTAACTTTTCACCAATAAAGGATCCCAGAAAACAATGATATCATCTTGAAAGTGTTGAAGTGAAAAAGACTTTGAGCTAGACTCTTTTTTTTTTTTTTTGAGATGGAGTGAGCTAGACTCTTATATCCACTTAAATATCACCTAACAGTGTGGGCAAAAAACATTTGCAGATACATAAAGAAAGAGTAGGACTGTTTTCTAGCTGTATAACTTTTTGGAAACAAATAATCAAGGATATACTTCAGTAAGAAAGAAAAGTAAACCCAGGAGAAGGGATGGTGTGCAAGAAATAATTGTGAGCACAGAAATTGATAAAATGCATTGGTAAATTTAATTAGCTGTTGACCAAGAGAATGGTGAGTTTTATTTTTAAAGGCAAACTGAAACTCTAAGTAACAGTAACAAAATGGGGAGTCGTATTCAGTTGGGAAGAGGATTGAAATATTGAATGGTTTTAGAATTTGTTAAAAAATTCACAAACATTTCATTTAAAAAATGTGACCCTGGGCAACATAGTGAGACCCTGTTTCTACAAAAATAAAAAAAAAAAAATTAGCCAGGCATGATGGCATGTACCTGTAGTCCCAGCTACTTGGGAGGCTGAGGAAGGAAGATTGCTTGAACCCAGGAGTTCAAGGCCACAGTGAGCTATGATCACACCACTGCATTTCAGGCTGAATGACAGAGTGAGACCTTCTAAAAAAAATATATATATATATATATATAAATATATACATATTATATATTATTGTAATATAATATATATGTAATCAGTAAAACATAGAAACACAATCCATATTTTTCAAATGAGCAGGGGGAAAAGGAGAGATTACAGAAAAATTTATATTAAAAGTAAGATGGGAGAAAAGGAGAAAAAAGGGCAGTAAAAACTATATAAAATAAGATATGAAATATAAGCTTAAGTATATCAGAATAAACATAAAAAGATTCAACTCCTCTCTTAATGAAAGAGAGCAGATTGAGTAAAAAATAAAATTTGGCTATTTGCGTCTTAAAGGAGACAAGCTTAAAACCACATAGGCTAGACAAACATAAAGGGATGGAAAATTATTATATACGAAGCCAACTCTAATGAAAACACTAATTTTAAGAAGCTTATATAGATATGTATTGGAAATTAGAATTTAGGGCAAAATCATTTGAAAGAATAAATGAGGCTGCAATATATTAATTTTAAAAATCCACAAGAAGAGTCGGGAGGGGTGGTTCATGCCTGTAATGCCAACACTTTGGGAGGCCGAGGCGGATGGATCACCTGAGGTCGGTAGTTCGAGACCCGCCTGGCCAACGTGGTGAAACCCCTTCTCTACTAAAAGCACAAAAATTAGCTGCGTGTGGTGGCGGGCACCTGTAATCCCAGCTACTCGGGAGGCTGAGGTAGGAAAATCGCTTGAACCTGGGAGGCGGAGTTTGCAGTGAGCCAAGATCACACCATTGCACTCCAGCCTGGGTGACAAGAGCAAAACTCCATCTCAAAAAAAAAAAAATCCACAAGAAGATGTAACAATTATGTTTACCCTAAATAACATAACCTTTAAATATTATATATGATATTGTGAATGTTATATCAATAACTAAAAACTGACAGAATTACAAGGAGAAATGAATAAAAACCACAAAGTGAGAGAAACTAAGTCAAGCATATAAAAAATTAACAAAATATAAAAAATTTCTATCCAAAGTTAACAAAAGTAACCCTCTTTTCCAACAAACAAAGAATATAAATGCTTCAAGTAATCTGAGAACATTACAAACATTGATCACCTTTCCATGTTATAAAAGAAGTCTCAAAATTCAAAGAACTAATGTTATTAAGGTCATATTTGCTGGCTACAGTTTAGAAATCCACAAGAAAAAGATGGTAAGAAAATTCTGTATGTTTGATTTAAAGAGGAATTCACAATGCCAATTACAAAAATATTCAGAATCAAATGACAATAAATGTAATTTGAAATGCATACAGCTAAGGTGACACTGGAAAGTAAATGCACTTGTTAAGAACATTTAAAAATAGTTAAATGTTTAACTCAAGAAACTAGAAATAGAAGAGCAGGAGAGTAATCTCTCCACTACTTTCCCCAATATCAGAAGATACCAGCGGAGTTTCATCTACTAAGGTGACCAACTATCCTGGTTGGTCCAGGACTTGTGATTCCTGGGACATTGATCTTTAATGCTGAGCTGGGACAGTCCTGGGTAGACAGGATGGCTGATCACCATTCACCTAAACTACCAAGGAATAGTTAATCCCTATTTTATATAAACTGAGATTAGACAAAGAAGGAGATCCATTCAGTTCATTTACAGGCTACTATAGCTTTGATACTATAATTGGATGAGAAAATTGTTAAACAATGTCACTTTCCATCATAGGTGCAAAAATTCTAGAAAAAAAATTAACACAGCAAATTCAGCAGTGTTAAGAAAAAATAGTATATTAGGATCAAGTTTATTTCTGGGATGTGAGGATTCTTTAGAAAATCTATTAATGAGCTGGGCATGGTGGCTCACGCCTGTTATTCCAGCACTTTGGGGGTCTTAGGCAGGAGGATCTCTGGAGTCCAGAGGTTTGAGACCAGCCTAGGCAACATAGTGAGACCCCATATCTTTAAAAAAAAGAAAAAGAAAATTAGTCAGGCATGGTAACATGTGCCTGTAGTCCCAGCTACTTGGGAGGGTGAGGTGCGAGGATCACTTGAGCCCAGAAGCTTGAGGCCACAGTGAACTATAATCATGCCTTGGCACTCCAGCCTGGCCAACAAGGTGAGATCCTGTCTCTAAAAAGAAAACAAGGAAACAAGAAAATCTAATAATATAATACATCTTACTAACAGACAGAAAACCTTATGATCATCCTAAAAGATGATTTATTAAAACTCAGTACAAACTTTTGGGTTCTGCTCTAACACACAAAGAGCTTGGAAGTTATCACTCATCTCATAATAAGGGAGAAACTGAAACTCTGCAACTTTTCTTAGATCTATTAGATAATAGGGATCAGAAGGTGAACTGCATATATTAGTTTCCTAGGCGGCTATAACAAAGTACTATAAACTAGGTGGCTTAAAACAACAAAAATTTATTCTGTTCTAGTTCTGGAGGCTAGAAGTCTAAAGAAAATCAAGGCGTCAGCAGATGGAAGCCCTAGATAGTCTAGGGAGGAATTCTTCATTTTTTCCTTGCTTCTGGTGGCTCCCAGCAATCTTGGTATTCCTTGGTTTGTAGCTGCATCACTCCAATTTTTGCCTTCATCTTTCCATGAACTTATTTCCTGTGTGTGTCTCTGCATCTCCTCTCTTTTTATGGGGTGCCAGTTATTAGATTTAAGGCCCACTCTAACCCAGTATGAGCTCATCTTAACTTGATTACATCTGCAAAGACCTTATCTCCAAATAAGGTCACCTTCTGAGGTTCTTGGTAGACATACATTTTGGGGGGATACTATTCAACTCATTACACCACAACTCCCCAAACTAGAGAGATAGGCAAATACAGAGAATCACAGGTTACAGGGAGCAGAAGCCTCTAAATGCAATACCTGATAGAAACACTTAAACAATAATTGACACATTGCTGGAGGCTGAGTGTGGACTAACTTGAGACATAAAAACTCTTGAGGGCCTAGACTTGTGGGGAGGACACCCACTTTCATAAGTTTTATCTCTAGGAGCCCCACCAGGTTCTCATGATAAAGTGCTGAGAAAAATCTCATGCCTCTGGCAGGGGAGAGGAAAATACATCTGTTCTCTCTAACAAAGGTCTGTCCTTAAAGGAAACTACCAGGCCTTATCTGTGTTAGGAGAAGGGCAATCAGATCATTGGAGTGCACTCTAGTTTTTCCGTCTCACAGAAATGCAGGGGAAAAAAAGGTAAGAAACTATTTGGAAGGTCTCAGTCCAGAAAATTTGGCCCATTAAAAAAACTGGAGATTTAATTATAAGATTATAGAATGCTTCTCCTCCCCAGTACCTTACTACCACATCAACAGGGCTCTAGCATAATAACATAAGATCACAAGGAAGAGAGATGAAAGACGCAGACGATTTAAGAAGGCATTTTTAGGGAAACTCAAATTGAACAAGGGAGACAAAACAAGAGCACTAGAGGAAATTGAAGGCTCTGACACCTACAGTTATAGCCAACATTAAGCACAGACTAACTCTCAGCCAAATAAACACAAAACTGCACAATAAAGGCCTGTATACCTACAGTTACTATTACTCAATGCATTATGTCCGGTCTTCAACAAAAAATTACAAGGCATAATTAATGGCAAGAAAAAACACAGTCTGAAAAGACAAAGCAAGCATCAGTACCAGACTCGAATAGGGTAGAAACTTTGGAATGATGAGACTGGACATTTAAAATAACTATGATTAATATGCTAAGGGCTCTAATAGAGAAAGTGGACAGCAAAGAAGAACACACGAGTAATATAAGTAGAGAGATGGAAGCTCTAAAAGAATCTAAAGGAAATGCTAGAAGTAGAAAACACTAAGAAAGATGAAGAATACCTTTGACTGGCTTATCTCTAAAATTGTACTGATGAAAGAGTGAAGCCTAAAGTAAACTATGGACTTTAGTTAATAATACCATAATAAGAACAGGTGCAGTGGCTCATGCCTGTGATTCCAGTACTTTGGGAGGCCACGGTGGGAAGCTCACCTGAGCACAGGAGTTCAAGACTAACCTAGGCAACATAAAAAGACCCTGTCTCTGCAAAAAATAAAAAACCAGCTGGGCATGGTGGTGCACGCCTGTGGTCCCAGCTATTCAGGAGGCTGAGGCGGGAAGATTGCTTGAGCCCAGAAGGCCAAGGCCACACTGAGCTATGTTTGCACCGCTGCATTCTAGCCTAGGCAACAGAGTGAGATCTTGTCTTAAAAAAAACCCACAAAGTGTAAAAATAAAAATACCATATCAATACTGGTTCATCAATTATAACAAATGTACCACATTAAAGCAAGATGTTAGTAATGGGAAAAACTTGGTGTATGTGATGTGGGAGGGGAAGACAGGGTATATGGGAACTCTGTACTATCTGCCTAATAAAACCTTTATTTTAAAATGCAATAAAACTTTATCACTAAAAACTCTTAGCTAAATATGATAGAAGGAAACTTCCTCAACCACATCTATAAAAATGTCCTACAATAAGCATAACAAATTTAGTGATGAATTTTAAACACTTTGTCAATAAAATTAGGAATAAAGAAAGGATTCACTATACTGCTTTTATTCAGCATTGTTCTGGAGATCTTATCCAATGTAGTAAGATTGAATAATAATTATAATAATTGTAAGTGCAAGTCAAAACTCTCATTATTTGTAGATGCTAAGTTTGTTTATGTAGAACATTTTGGAGAATCTACAAAGTATTAGAACTGATAAGAGAGATTAGCAAGGTTGTTAGATATAAGATCAACCTAAAATCAATATTCTTTCTGTATCTCAATAATAATTAATTTGAAATATAATATGAAATAATATTCCATTCAAAATAGCAATAAAATTATAAGGTACTTATAAATAAATTTGACAAAAGGTGTTCAAGACTCTTATGAAGAAAACTACAGCATATTATTGAAAAGCTAGGTATAGCCAGGTGCAGTGGCTCATACCTATAATTCCAGTGCTTTGGGAAGCCAAGGCAGGAGAATCACTTGAGGCCAGGAATTTGAGACCAGCCTGGACAACATAGTGAGACCTCCGTCTCTACAAAAAATAAAAATAAATTAGCCAGGTCTGATGGCATGCTCCTGTAGTCCCAGTTACTTTTGAGGTAGAAGGATTGCATGAGGCTAGGAGTTTGAGGCTGCACTGAAGTATGATAGCACCACTGCACTACAGCCTGGGTGACAGAGCAAGACCCTGTCTGTAAAATAAATAAATAAATGGAAACATATATAAAAAATAAAATATCTAGATACATGGAAAGAGACATCATTCCTATGAATAAAAACAGTCAAGATATAAATTATCTCAAAATTACTTCATACATTCAATGCAATTCCAGTCAAAATTTCAAAAGGTTTTAAAATATAATTTGATAAATTGATTCTAAAATTTACATGAGTAGAAGGGGTGGAGTAAGATGGCTGAATAGAGGCTTCACCAATCAGTCCCCCAATAAAGACACCAATTTAACAACTATTTGTCCACAAAAAGCACCTGCATAGGAACCAAAAATTAGGTGATCACTCACAATATATGGTTTTAACTTCATATCACTGAAAGGGGCATTGAAGAGGCTAGAAAAGAGTTTTGAATCACTGACACCACCCTTCCTCCCTCACCTAGCAGTGGCTATGTGGCAGGGAGAGAGAATCTGGACACTTGGGAGTGGGTGAGTGCAGCAACTGTGAAACATTACATGAAACTTAGTTCTGCCCTGTCATAGCAAAAAGCAATACCAGGCTGAACTCAGCTGACGTCTGCCCACAGAGGGAGTATTTAAACCAGCCCTAGCCAGAGGGGAATCACCTATCCCAGCGGTCTGAACTTTAGTTCTGGCAAGTCTTGCCACCTAGGGATGGAGTGCTCTGGGACCCTCATTAAACTTGAAAGGCACCTTAGGCTACAAGGAACTCCTGGGTGAGTCCTAGTGCTGAACTGGTATCAGAGCCAGTGGACTTGGGGGACATGCCACTTACTGAGACACCAGCTGGGGCAGCTAGGGGAGTGCTTGTGCCACCCCTCCCACAACCCCAGCCTGCACAGCTCATGGCTTCAAAAGAGGTCCCTTCCTTCCACGTGAGGAGAGAGGAGAGAGAAGAGTAAAGAGGACTTTGTCTTGCATATTGGATACCAGCTCAGCCACAGTAGAATAGGACAATGGTCAAAGTAATGAGGCCCCCTTTCTAGGCTCCTGGATTATATTTCTAGCACACCTTGGGCCAGAAGGGAACCTGCTTCCTTGAAGGGAAAGACCCAGTCCTGGCAGTACCCATTGTCTGCTAACTAAAGAGCCTTTGATCCTTGAATAACCAACAGTGATGCCCAGGAAATACACTGTGGGCCGTAGGTGAAACTGAGATTTTCTGACTTCAGGTGAGACTCAGCACATTCTTAGCTGTGGTGGCTATGGGGAGAGACTCCTTCTGCTTGAGGAAAGTGGAGGAAAAAGAAAAGCAGACTTTGGCTTGCTCCATATGTACCAGCTCAGCCACAGGGGAATAGAGCACCAAGCAGGCTCTTGGGGTCCCCAGTTCAAGGTCTTGACTCCTGGATGGCATTTTTGGGTCTACCCTGAGTCAGAGGGGAGCGCATTGCCCCGAAGGGTGAGTCCCAGGCTAGGCAGCATTCACCACAAGCTGACTAAAGAGCTCTTGGGCCTTAAGGGAGTATTGGTGGTAGCTTCGCAGTACTCCCCATCCTGGCCACAGGATGAGGCCCCTCTGCCTCTAGAAAGGTGAGAGAAGAGTGGAAAGGACTGTGTCTTCTGATTTGAGTGCCATCTTAGCTGCAGTACAATAGAACACCAGCTAGATTTCTAAGGTTTTTGACCGTAGTCTCTGGCTCCTGGATGTCACCTCTGGACCCACCCAGGACCTGGGGGAACTTGCTGCCCTGAAGGGAAGGACAGAAGCCTAGCTGGCTTCCCTGCCTGCTGATTGTAGAGCCCCAGGGCCTTGAGGGAACAAAGGTGATAGCCAGGTAGTGGTTATAGTTAGCCTTGGGTTGAGGCCCAGTGCTGTGCTGACCCAGTGCAGTCCTGGTAGTGGTGACCACAGTGGGGGCTTGTGTCACTCCACCTCCAGCCCCAGGCAGCTGAGAACAGAGAAAGAGAGACTCCATTTTTTTGACAGAGAGTAAGGGAAGAAAACAAGAGTCTCAGCTTTGTGATCCACAGAATTCTTCCAGATCTCTTCCAAGACAATCAAGGTGGTACCTGTATGAGTCTGTGAGAACCACAGCATTACTGGGCCTGGGGTGCCCTTTAATGCAGATACAGCTTAGATCACAACACTCAAGTCCTCTTGAATATCTGGAAAGCCTTCCCAAGAAGGATGGATACAAACAAGACCAGACCAGGAAACTGAGAAATATCTAACTCTTCAATGCCCAGACGCAGACAAACATCTGTAAGTACCAAGACCATCCAGAAAAACATGACCTTATCAAATGAGCTAAATAAGGCACCAGGGACCAGTCCTGGAGAAGCAAAGATATGTTGCCTTTCAGACAGATAATTCAAAATAGCTGTTTTGAGGAAACTCAAAGAAATTGAAGATAACACAGACAAGGAATTCAGAATTTTGTCAGATAAATTTAGCAAAAATATTGAAATAAAAAGAAGCAGAAATTCTGGAGTTGAAAAATGCAATTGACATACTGAAGAATGCATCAGAGTCTTTTAATAGCAGAATTGATCAAGGAGGAGAAAGAATTAGTGGGCTTGAAGGCAGCCTATGTGAAAATACATGGAGGAGATAAAAGAAAAAAATAGAAAACAGTGAAGCATGCCTACAGGATATAGAAAATAGCCTTAAAAGGTCAAATCTAACAGTTATTGGCCTTAAAGAGGAGGTGGAGAAAGAGATAGGGGTAGAAAGTTTATTGAAAGGGATAATAACGAGAACTTCCCAAACTAAGGGAGAGATATCTATATCCAAGTTCAAGAAGGCTATAGAACACCAAGCAGATTTAACCCAAAGAAGACTACCTCAAGGCATTTAATATCAAACTACCAAAGGTCAAGGATAAAGAAAAGATCCTAAAAGCAGCAAGAGAAAATAAAGAAATAACATAAAATGGAGACCTCCAATACTGACTGTTGGGAGTTTGATTATAAAATGCCTTGAGGCAGTCTTCTTTGGGTTAAATCTTCTTGGTGTCTTACAACCTTCTTGTACTTGGATGTTGATATCTTTCTCTATGTTTGCAAAGTTCAATGTTACCTTACAGGCCAGGAGAGAGTGGCATGACATATTTAAAGGGCTGAAGGAAAAATACATATATCCTAGAATAGTATATCCAGTGAAAATATCCTTCAAACATGAAGGAGAAATACCTTCCCAGACAAACAAAAGCTGAGGGATTTCATCAACACCAGACCTGTCCTACAAAAAGTGCTAAAGGGAGTACTTCAATCAGAAAAAAATGGATGTTAATGAGCAAAAAGAAATCGTCTTAAGGTATAAAACTCACTGCTGATAGTTAAGTACACAAAAAAACACAGAGTATTATACCAGTGTAACTGTGGTGTGTAGACAACTCTTATTTTTTTTATTATTATTATACTTTAAGTTTTACGGTACATGTGCACAATGTGCAGGTTAGTTACATATGTATACATGTGCCATGCTGGTGTGCTGCACCCGTTAACTCATCATTTAGCATTAGGTATATCTCCTAAAGCTATCCCTCCCCCCACCCCACAACAGTCCCCAGAGTGTGATGTTCCCCTTCCTGTGTCCATGTGTTCTCATCGTTCAATTCCCACCTATGAGTGAGAATATGCGGTGTTTGGTTTTTTGTCCTTGCGGTTGTTTACTGAGAATGATGATTTCCAATTTCATCCATGTCCCTACAAAGGACATGAACTCATCATGTTTTATGGCTGCATAGTATTCCATGGTGTATATGTGCCACATTTTCTTAATCCAGTCTATCATTGTTGGCCATTTGGGTTGGTTCCAAGTCTTTGCTATTGTGAATAGTGCTGCAATAAACATACGTGTGCATGTGTCTTTATAGCAGCATGATTTATAGTCCTTTGGGTATATACCCAGTAATGGGATGGCTGGGTCAAATGGTATTTCTAGTTCTAGATCCCTGAGGAATCGCCACACTGACTTCCACAATGGTTGAACTAGTTTACAGTCCCACCAACAGTGTAAAAGTGTTCCTATTTCTCCACATCCTCTCCAGCACCTGTTGTTTCCTGACTTTTTAATGATTGCCATTCTAACTGGTGGGAGATGGTATCTCATTGTGGTTTTGATTTGCATTTCTCTGATAGCCAGTGATGGTGAGCATTTTTTCATGTGTTTTTTGGCTGCATAAATGTCTTCTTTTGAGAAGTGTCTGTTCATGTCCTTCACCCACTTTTTGATGGGGTTGTTTGTTTTTTTCTTGTAAATTTGTTTGAATTCATTGTAGATTCTGGATATTAGCCCTTTGTCAGATGAGTAGGTTGTGAAAATTTTCTCCCATTTTGTAGGTTGCCTCTTCACTCTGATGGTAGTTTCTTTTGCTGTGCAGAAGCTCTCTAGTTTAATTAGATCCCATTTGTCAATTTTGGCTTTTGTTGCCATTGCTTTTGGTGTTTTAGACACGAAGTCCTTGCCCATGCCTATGTCCTGAATGGTAATGCCTAGGTTTTCTTCTAGGGTTTTTATGGTTTTAGGTCTAACGTTTAAGTCTTTAATCCATCTTGAATTAATTTTTGTATAAGGTGTAAGGAAGGGATCCAGTTTCAGCTTTCTACACATGGCTAGCCAGTTTTCCCAGTGCCATTATTAAATAGGGAATCCTTTCCCCATTTCTTGTTTTTCTCAGGTTTGTCAAAGATCAGATAGTTGTAGATATGTGGCGTTATTTCTGAGGGCTCTGTTCTGTTCCATTGATCTATATTTCTGTTTTGGTACCAGTACCATACTGTTTTGGTTACTGTAGCCTTGTAGTATAGTTTGAAGTCAGGTAGCATGATGCCTCCAGCTTTGTTCTTTTGGCTTAGGATTGACTTGGCAATGCGGGCTCTTTTTTGGTGCCATATGAACTTTAAAGTGGTTTTTTTCCAATTCTGTGAAGAAAGTCATTGGTAGCTTGATGGGGATGGCATTGAATCTATAAATTACCTTGGGCAGTATGGCCATTTTCACAATATTGATTCTTCCTACTCATGAGCATGGAATGTTCTTCCATTTGTTTGTATCCTCTTTTATTTCATTGAGCAGTGGTTTGTAGTTCTCCTTGAAGAGGTCCTTCACATCCCTTGTAAGTTGGATCCCTAGGTATTTTATTCTCTTTGAAGCAATTGTGAATGGGAGTTCACTCATGATTTGGCTCTCTGTCATTGGTGTATAAGAATGCTTGTGATTTTTGTACATTGATTTTGTATCCTGAGACTTTGCTGAAGTTGCTTATCAGCTTAAGGAGATTTTGGGCTGAGACGTTGGGGTTTTCTAGATACACAGTCATGTCATCTGCAAACAGGGACAATTTGACTTCCTCTTTTCCTAACTGAATACCCTCTATTTCCTTCTCCTGCCTGATTGCCCTGGCCAGAACTTCCAACACTATGTTGAATAGGAGTGGTGAGAAAGGGCATCCCTGTCTTGTGCCAGTTTTCAAAGGGAATGCTTCCAGTTTTTGCCCATTCAGTATGATATTGGCTGTGGGTTTGTCATAGTTAGCTCTTATTATTTTGAGATACGTCCCATCAATACCTAATTTATTGAGTTTTTAGCATGAAGGGTTGTTGAATTTTGTCAAAGGCCTTTTCTTCATCTATTGAGATAATCATGTGGTTTTTGTCTTTGGTTCTGTTTATATGCTGGATTACATGTATTGATTTGTGTATATTGAACCAGCCTTGCATCCCAGGGATGAAGCCCACTTGATCATGGTGGATAAGCTTTTTGATGTGCTGCTGGATTCAGTTTGCCAGTATTTTATTGAGGATTTTTTGCATCAATGTTCATCAAGGATATTGGTCTAAAATTCTCTTTTTTGGTTGTGTCTCTGCCCGGCTTTGGTATCAGGATGATGCTGGCCTCATAAAATGAGTTAGGGAGGATTCCCTCTTTTTCTATTGATTGGAATAGTTTCAGAAGGAATGGTAACAGTTCCTCCTTGTACCTCTGGTAGAATTCGGCTGTGAATCCATCTGGTCCTGGACTCTTTTTGGTTGGTAAGCTATTGATTATTGCCACAATTTCAGAGCCTGTTATTGGTCTATTCAGAGATTCAACTTCTTCCTGGTTTAGTCTTGGGAGGGTGTATGTGTCGAGGAATTTATCCATTTCTTCTAGATTTTCTAGTTTATTTGCATAGAGGTGTTTGTAGTATTCTCTGATGGTAGTTTGTATTTCTGTGGGATCAGTGGTGATATCCCCTTTATCATTTTTTATTGCATCTATTTGATTCTTCTATCTTTTCTTCTTTATTAGTCTTGCTAGCAGTCTATCAATTTTGTTGATCCTTTCAAAAAGCCAGCTCCTGGACTCATTAATTTTTTGGAGGGTTTTTTGTGTCTCTATTTCCTTCAGTTCTGCTCTGATTTTAGTTATTTCTTGCCTTCTGCTAGCTTTTGAATGTGTTTGCTCTTGCTTTTCTAGTTCTTTTAATTGTGATGTTAGGGTGTCAATTTTGGATCTTTCCTGCTTTCTCTTGTGGGCATTTAGTGCTATAAATTTCTCTCTACACACTGCTTTGAATGTGTCCCAGAGATTCTGGTATGTTGTGTCTTTGTTCTCGTTGGTTTCAAAGAACATCTTTATTTCTGCCTTCATTTCGTTATGTACCCAGTAGTCATTCAGGAGCAGGTTGTTCAGTTTCCATGTAGTTGAGCAGTTTTGAGTGAGTTTCTTAATCCTGAGTTCTAGTTTGATTGCACTGTGGTCTGAGAGACAGTTTGTTATAATGTCTGATCTTTTACATTTGCTGAGGAGTGCTTTACTTCCAACTATGTGGTCAATTTTGGAATAGGTGTGGTGTGGTGCTGAAAAAAATGTATATTCTGTTGATTTGGGGTGCAGAGTTCTGTAGATGTCTATTAGGTCTGCTTGGTGCAGAGCTGAGTTCAATTCCTAGGTATCCTTGTTAACTTTCTGTCTCATTGATCTGTCTAATGTTGACAGTGGGGTGTTAAAGTCTCCCATTATTATTGTGTGGGAGTCTAAGTCTCTTTGTAGGTCACTCAGGACTTGCTTTATGAATCTGGGTGCTCCCGTATTGGGTGCATATATATTTAGGATAGTTAGCTCTTCTTGTTGAATTGATCCCTTTACCATTATGTAATGGCCTTCTTTGTCTCTTTTGATCTTTGTTGGTTTAAAGTCTGTTTTATCAGAGACTAGGATTACAACCCCTGCCTTTTTTTGTTTTCCATTGGCTTGGTAGATCTTCCTCCATCCTTTTATTTTGAGCCTATGTGTGTCTCTGCACGTGAGATGGATTTCCTGAATACAGCACACTGATGGGTCTTGACCCTTTATCCAATTTGCTAGTCTGTGTCTTTTAATTGGAGCATTTAGTCCATTTACATTTAAAGTTAATATTGTTATGTGTGAATTTGATCCTGTCATTATGATGTTAGCTGGTTATTTTGCTCGTTAGTTGATCCAGTTTCTTCCTAGCCTCGATGGTCTTTACAATTTGGCATGATTTTGCAGTGGCTGGTACCGGTTGTTCCTTTCCATGTTTAGTGCTTCCTTCAGGAGCTCTTTTAGGGCAGGCCTGGTGGTGACAAAATCTCTCAGCATTTGCTTGTCTGTAAAGTATTTTATTTCTCCTTCACTTATGAAGCTTAGTTTGGCTGGATATGAAATTCTGGGTTGAAAATTCTTTTCTTTAAGAATGTTGAATATTGGCCCCAACTCTCTTCTGGCTTGTAGAGTTTCTGCCGAGAGATCCGCTGTTAGTCTGATGGGCTTCCCTTTGTGGGTAACCCGACCTTTCTCTCTGGCTGCCCTTAACATTTTTTCCTTCATTTCAACTTTGGTAAATCTGACAATTATGTGTCTTGGAGTTGCTCTTCTCGAGGAGTGTCTTTGTGGCGTTCTCTGTATTTCCTGAATCTGAATGTTGGCCTGCCTTGCCAGATTGGGGAAGTTCTCCTGGATAATATCCTGCAGAGTGTTTTCCAACTTGGTTCCATTCTCCCCGTCACTTTCAGGTACACCAATCAGATGTAGATGTGGTCTTTTCACATAGTCCCATATTTCTTGGAGGCTTTGTTCATTTCTTTTTATTCTTTTTTCTCTAAACTTCCCTTCTCGCTTCATTTCATTCATTTCATCTTCCATCACTGATACCCTTTCTTCCAGTTGATTGCATCGACTCCTGAGGCTTCTCCATTCTTCACGTAGTTCTCGAGCCTTGGCTTTCAGCTCCATGAGCTCCTTTAAGCACTTGTCTGTATTGGTTATTCTAGTTATACATTCGTCTAAATTTTTTTCAAAGTTTTCGACTTCTTTGACTTTGGTTTGAATTTCCTCCTGTAGCTTGGAGTAGTTTGATCGTCTGAAGCCTTCTCTCAACTCGTCAAAGTCATTCTCTGTCCAGCTTTGTTCCGTTGCTGGTGAGGAGCTGCGTTCCTTTGGAGGAGGAGAGGTGCTCTGCTTTTTAGAGTTTCCAGTTTTTCTGCTCTGTTTTTTCCCCATCTTTGTGGTTTTATCTACTTTTGGTCTTTGATGATGGTGATGTACAGATGGGTTTTTGGTGTGGATGCCCTTTCTGTTTGTTAGTTTTCCTTCTAACAGACAGGACCCTCAGCTGCAGGTCTGTTGGAGTTTGCTAGAGGTCCACTCCAGACCCTGTTTGCCTGGGTACCAGCAGCGGTGGCTGCAGAACAGCAGATTTTCGTGAACCGTGAATGCTGCTGTCTGATCATTCCTCTGGAAGTTTTGTCTCAGAGGAGTACCCGGCCATGTGAGGTGTCAGTCTGCCCCTACTGGGGGGTGCCTCCCAGTTAGGCTGCTCGGGGGTCAGGAGTCAGGGACCCACTTGAGGAGGCAGTCTGCCCGTTCTCAGATCTCCAGCTGCATGCTGGGAGAACCACTGCTCTCTTCAAAGCTGTCAGACAGGGACATTTAAGTCTGCAGAGGTTACTGCTGTCTTTTTGTTTGTCTGTGCCCTGCCCCCAGAGGTGGAGCCTACAGAGGAAGGCAGGCCTCCTTGAGCTGTGGTGGGCTCCACCCAGTTCGAGCTTCCCGCCTGCTTTGTTTACCTAAGCAAGCCTGGGCAATGGTGGGCGCCCCTCCCCCAGCCTCGCTGCCGCCTTGCAGTTTGATCTCAGACTGCTGTGCTAGCAATCAGTGAGACTCCGTGGGCGTAGGATCCTCCAAGCCAGGTGCGCAATATAATCTCCTGGTGCGCCATTTTTTAAGCCCGTTGGAAAAGCACAGTATTAGGGTGGGAGTGACCCGATTTTCCAGGTGCCATCTGTCACCTCTTTCTTTGACTAGGAAAGGGAACTCCCTGACCCCTTGCGTTTCCCGAGTGAGGCAATGCATCGCCCTGTTTCGGCTCATGCACGGTGCGCTGCACCCACTGTCCTGTGCCCACTGTCTGGCACTCCCTAGTGAGATGAACCCGGTACCTCAGATGGAAATGCAGAAATCACCCGTCTTCTGTGTCACGCTGGGAGCTGTAGACCGGAGCTGTTCCTATTTGGCCATCTTGGCTCCACACCTTTTTTTTTTTTTTTTGAGATGGAGTCTCATTCTGTCACCCAGGCTGGAGTGCAGTGGTGCAATCTTTGCTCTCTGCAACCTCCACTTCCCAGGTTCAAGCAGTTGTTCTGACTCAGCCTCCTGAGTAGCTGGGATTACAGCCACCTGCCACTGCACCTGGCTAATTTTTGTATTTTTAGTAGAGTCGGGGTTTCACCATCTTGGCCAGGCTCATCTTGAACTCCTGACCTCGTGATCCACCTGCCTCAGCCTCCCAAAGTGCTGGGATTACAGGCCAGCACCACTGTACCCAGCCCGTAAACCACTCTTAATTAGAAAGACTAAATGATGAACTCATCCAAGATAATAACTACAACTTTTCAAGAAACAGGCAGTATGATAAGATAGAAACAGCAAAAAGTTAAAAAGCAGGGGGATGAAGTTAAGGTGTAGAGTTTTATTGGTTTTCTTTTTGCTTATTTGTTTACTTACGCACACAGTGTTAAGTTGTTATCAGCTTAAAATAATGGGTTATAAGATAGTATTTGTAGGCCTCATGGTAACCCTTAAATAAAAAACATACAAAGGATACACAAAAAATTAAAAGCAAGAAATTAAATCATGCTATCATGGCCAGGTGTGGTGGCTGACCCCTGTAATACTAGCACTTTAGGAGGCCAAGGTAAGACGATTGCTTGAGGCCAGAAGTTCCAGACCAGCTTGGGCAACATAGTGAGACCCTGTCTTTATAAAAGAATAAAAAATAATTAAAAATAACTAAATAAAATAAAATAACCTAATCACTCTCTATTATTCATCCCTTAAAAACTAAAATAAGTAAATCGTACCACCAGAGAAAATTATCTTCCCTAAAAGGAAGACAGGAATGAAGAAAAGAAGCGAAGACCACAAAACAACCAGAAAGCAAATAACAAAATGGTAGGAGTAAGTCCTTACTTATCAATAATAACATTGAATGTAAATTAACTAGACTTTCCAATCAAAAGACATGGAATGGCTGAACAGATAAAAAAAAAAAAAAGACCCAATGATCTGTTGTCTACAAGAAACACACTTTACCTATAAAGACACACATCGACTGAAAACAAAGGGATAGAAAACAATACTCCATGCCAATGGAAACCAAAAAGAGCAGGAGTGGCTATATTTATATCCAACAAAATAGATTTCAAGACAAAAACTATAAGAGACAAAGAAGGCCAGTATATAATGATAAAGGGGTCAATTCAGCAAGAGGATATAGTAAATATATATGTACTCAATAGGGGAGTACCCAGATATATGAAGAAAATATTATTAGAGCTAAAGAGAGAAATAGAACTCAATGCAATAATAGCTTAAGACTTCAACACCCCACTTTCAGCATTGGACAGATCTTCCAGACAGAAAATTAACAAAGAAACACTGGACTTAATCTGCACTATAGAACAAACAGAACTAGTAGATATTTACAGAACATTTTATGCAACAGCTGCAGAATACACATTCTTTTCCTTGGCACATAGATAATTCTCATGGATAGACCATATATTAGGTCACAAAACAAGTCTTAAAACATCAAAAAAATTAAAATAATATCAAGCACTTTCTCTGAACACAATGGAATAAAACTAGAAATCAATAACAAGAGGAACTTTGGAAACTCTACAAACGTGGAAATTAAGCAATATACTTCTAAATGACCAGTGAGTCAATAAAGATGTTAAGAAGGAAATGGAAAATTTTCTTGAAACAAATGACAATGGCAACACAACATACCAAAACCTATGGGATATAGCAAAAGCAGTATGAAGATGGAAGTTCCCAGCTATAAGTGCCTACATTGTGGAATAAGAAAGCTTCAAATAAACAACCTAATAATACATCATAAAGAACCAGAAAATCAAGATCAAACCAAACCCAAAATTTTTAGAAGAAAGAAATAATAAAGATCAAAGCAAAAATAAATGAATTTAATATGAAGAAAACAACATAAAAATCAATGAAACAAAAATTTGGCTTTTTGAAAAGATAAACAAAATTGATAAATCTATAGCCAGACTAAGAAAAAAAGAGGGAAGACTCAAATAAATAAAATAGGAGATGAAAATGGAGACATTACAACTTATACTGCAGAAATTCAAAGGCTCATTTAGTGGCTACTATGAGGAACTATTAATATATGCCAATAAATTGGAAACACTAGAAGAAATGGATAAATTCCTAGACACATGCAACCTACTAAAATTGAACCATGAATAAATCCAAAACCTGAACAGACCAATAACAAGTAGTGAGATTGAAGCCATAATAAAGTCTCCAGGCAAAGAAAAGCCTGGGACCTGATGGCTTCACTGATGAATTCTGCCAGACATTTAAAGAATAGTACCAGTCCTCTTCAAACATATTGGAAAAGTAGAGGAGGGGATAATATTTCCAAATACATCCTATGAGGCCAATATTACCCTGATACTAAACCAGACAAAGAAACATCAAAAAGAAAAAAAGACACTATAGGCCAATATCACTGATGAATATTGATGCAAAAATCCTCAACAAAATACTAGCAAACCAAATTTAACAACACATCTTAAACAAAGATTATCCTTCATGTAGGAGATAGCTTAAAAAAAAAAAAAGAAAACAAGAACATTTATCATGGCCAAATGTGATTTATCCCAGGGATGCAATGTTAGTTCAACATACACACAAATCAATCATGTGAGACATCATATCAACAGAATGAGGGATAAAAACCATATGATCATTTCAATTCATGCTGAAAAAGCATTTGATAAAATTCAACACCTCTTCATGATAAAAACTCTTATAAAACTGGGTATAGAAGTGTGAACCCAAAAGTATCTGAGACAGGTCTTAATCAATTTAGGAAGTTTATTTTGCCAAGGTTAAGAACACACCCATGACACACCCTCAGGAGGTCCTGATGATATGGGCCCAAGGTAGTTATGGTATGGCCTGCTTTTATACCTTTTAGGGAGACATAATACATCAGTAAACACTTGTAAGATTTACATTGGTTTGGTCTGGAAAGGTGGGATAGCTTGAAGCACAGGCTACCAGGTTGTAGGAAGATTTAAAAATTTTCTGATTGGCAATTGATTGAAAGAGTTGTTATTATCTAAAGACCGGGAATCAATAGAAAGGAATATCTTGTTTACAATGATAAGAGGTTGTGGAGACCAAAGCTTATCATGCAGATGAAGCCTCCAGGTAGCTGGCTTCAGAGATAATAGATTATAAGTGTTTCTTATCAGACTTAAGGTCTGTGTTGATGTGAATGCTGGTTGGCCTTTCCTGAATTCCAAAAGGAAGGAGGGCATAATGAGGCATGTCTGACCCCTCCATTCCCATCACGTTCTGAACCAGTTTTTCAGGTTAACTTTGAAATGCCCTTGGCCAAAAGGAGGGGTTCATTCAGATGGTTGGGGGGGCCTTAGAATTGTATTTTTAGTTTACAGAAGGAACATACCTCGATATAAACAATGTTATATTAAAAACATGAATGGATAAGTAAATTCAGTAAAGTTGCTGGATATAAAATCAACATACAAAAATCAGTAGTGTTTCTATATGCCAACAGCAAACAATCTTAAAAAGAAATCAAGGCCAGGCTTGGTGGCTTATGCCTGTAATCCCAGCACTTTGGGAGGCCGAGACAGGTGGATCATGAGGTCAGGAGACTGAGACCATCCTGGCTAACACGGTGAAACCCTGTCTCTACTAAAAAAAATACAAAAAATTAGCCAGGTGTGATGGTGGGCACCTGTAGTCCCAGCTACTCAGGAGGTTGAGGCAGGAGAATGGCGTGCACCTGGGAGGTGGAGCTTGCAGTGAGTTGAGATCGCACCACTGCACTCCAGCCTGGGGGACAGAGCGAGACTCTGTCTCAAAAAAAAAAAAAAAAAAAAAAAAAAAAAGAAAAGAAGTCAAGAAAGTAATGCCATTTACAATAGTTACAATATAAGATAAAATACCTACAAATTAACTTAACCAAAGAAGTGAAAGATCTCTACACTGAAACTATAAAACATTGATGTAAGAAATTGAAGAAGGAAATATATTCCATGTTCATGTACTGGAAGAATTAATATTGTTAAAATGACCATACCACCTAAAGCAATCTATAGATTCAATTCAAGCCCTATCAAAATACCAATGACATTCTTCACAAAAATAGAAAAAAGCAATTATAAAATTTATGTGGAACCACAAAAGACCCAGAATAACCAAAGCTATCTTAAGCAAAAGGAACAAAACTGGAAAAAATCACATTACCTGACTTCAACTTACACTACAGAGCTATAGTAACCAAAATGGCATGGTACTGGCATAAAAACAGACACATAGACCAATGGAACAGAACAGAGAACCTGGAGATAAATCCATACATCTACAGTGAATTCATTTTTGACAAAACTACCAAGAACATATATTCGGGAAAGAACAGTCTCTTCAATAAATGGTGCTTGGAAAACTGGATGTCCATATGTGAAAGAATGAAACTAGACTCCTATTTCTCACCATATACAAAAATCAAATCAAAATGGATTAAAGACTTAAATTTAAGACTTCCAACAATGAAACTACTAAAAGAAAACTTTGGGGAAAATTTCTAGGACACTTAACTGGCAAAGATTTCCTGAGTAATACTCCACAGGCACAGGCAACTGAAGCAAAAATGGACAAATGGGATCACATCAAGTTAAAAGGCTTCTGCACAGCAAAAGAAACAATCAACATAGTGAAGGGCTAACCCACAGAATGGGAGAAAATATTTCAAACTACCTATTTGACAAGGGATTAATAACGAGAATATATAAGGAGTTCAAACAACTCTGTAGGAAAAAAATCTAATAATCCAATTCAAAAGTGGGCAAAAGATTTAAATAGACATTTCTCAAAAAATGTCATACAAATGGCAAACGGGCATATGAAAAGTTGCTCTACATCATTGATCATTAGATAAATGCAAATCAAAACTACAATGAGATATCATCTCACCCCAGTTAAAATGGCTTTTATTCAAAAGTCAGGCAAAAACAAATGCTGGAGAGGATGTGGAGAAAAGGGAACCCTCATACACTCTTGGTGGAAATGTAAATTAGTATAACCACTATGGAGGACAGTTGGAGGTTCCTCAAAAACCTAAAAATAGAGCTTAAGATCCAGCAATCCTCCTTCTAGGTATATACCCAAAGTAATGGAAAGCATTACATTGAAGAGAGATCTGCACTCTCATGTTTATTGCAGCACTGTTCACAATAGCCAGACTTGAAAGCAACCTAAGTGTCTATAAACAGATAAACATGTAAAGAAAATGTGGTACATATACACAAGAGAGTACTATTCAGCCATAAAAAAGAATGAGATCCTGCCATTTGCAATGACATGGATGGAACTAGAAGTCATTATGCTAAGTGAAATAGCCAGGCACAGAAAGAACAACTTCACATGTTCTCATTTATTTGTGGCACCTAAAAATTAAAACAATTGAACTCATAGAGATAGAGAGTAGAAGGATGGTTAACAGAGTCAGGGAAGAATAGTGGGGGTGGAGGGGCAATGGGGGAGGGTTAATGGGTACAAAAAATAGTTAGAAATAATGAATAAGATCTAGTATTTGCTAGCTCAGTAGAGCGACTGTAGTCAAACATAATTTAATTGCACATTTAAAAATAACAAGGAATATAATTGGATTGCGTATAACACAAAAGAGAAATGCTTGAGGTGATGAATACACCATTTACCCTGATGTGCGTATTACACATTGCATGCCTATATCAAAACATCTCATCCATAAATATATACACTTACTATGTATCTTCAAAAATTAAAAATTGAAACTAAAAAAATTCACATGGCAGGTGTATTAGTCCATTTTCATGCTGCTATAAAGGACTGCCTGAGACTGGGTAATTTATAAAGGAAAGAGGTTTAATTGACTCACAGCTCCACATGGCTGGGGAGGCCTCAGGAAACTTAACAATCATGGTGGAAGGGGAAGCAAACACATCCTTCATCACATGGTGACAGGAAGGAGAAGTGCTGAGCAAAAGGGGGAAAAGCCCCTTATAAAACCATCAGATCTTGTGAGAACTCACTCACTATCACAAGAACAGCAGCATGGGAGTAACCGCCCCCATGACTGAATTACCTCCCACTGGATCCATACCATGACACATGGGGATTTTGGGAATTACAATTCAAGATTAGATTTGGGTGGGGATGCAGTAGGCAAAATGGTCAAATATAGCCAAGATAAATTTGAAGAACAAGCACTGGTGGGAGGACTTGCCTTATAAAGACTTATTATAAAGCTATCATTATTAAAACAGTATGGTTAAACAGGCAAGTACAAACATACCTGTGGTCCAGAATACAAATCTGGCAAATAGCCTCATATATACATAAAAAAGTTGATTTATGATCAAGTTGGCATGGAATTAGAACCTTTTGGGGAAGAGTTTAATAAATGGGTAAGATGCTACTTATTCATAGGGGAAGAAGCAGACCCCACTTCACACATAAACATAAACATAAATTTAAGTTGAAACAAACACTTAAATGTGAAAAGTAAAACTTTAAAACTTTTAGAATGAAATATAAGAATCTGTTTACAACCTTGGGCATAGGAAAGCACAAACTATAGAGAAAAAGATTGGTAGGCTGGTTAAACTTGGCTATGTTTACATTTTAAAACTCTTCAGTAAAAGACTCCATAAACAAAGTGAAAAACAAGCTGTAGACTGGGAGAAAATCTGCATTTTCATCTGGTATCATTTTCCTTCAGCCTGAAGAACTTCCATTACTATTTCCTATAGTGCAAGTCTGCTGGTGGCAAATTCTCTCAGTTCTCTTCCATCTGAAAATATTTTTATTTTATTTTCATTATGAAGGACTTTTTTGTGTGTGCCAAATATGCCACTGCATTAACAGTTTTCTTTTTCTTTTTAGTATGGTAAAGATGTTAGTTTATTATCTTCTGATATCCATTGTTTCTGATTGGAAGTCAGTGTTAATTTGCATTGATGTTCCCTGTATGTAATGTGTGTCATTGTATATCATTCTCTGGTTGGTTCCAAGGTTTTCCCTTGTCTTTGTTTTTCAGCATTTTGAATCTGATGTGCTTAAGGCTTGACTTTCATGGTATTTTTCCTGCTTGGGGGTTTGTACTTCTTTTTATATCTGTAAATTTTTTTTGTCACCAAATTTTGGAAAATTTTCAGCCATTATTTCCTTAAATATTTGTTCTTAAATATTTTAAAATAATATATTAATATATTATTAGTATTTTTATCCTCTTCTTCTGTGAGTATAATTATATGTTATAACTTTTGTTATTGTCTCACAGGCCCCAGGCTATGTTCCTTTTCCTCTAATTATTTTTTTCGATCTGTTTTTCAGATTGGATAATTTACAGTGATTTATCTTTAAGCTTACTTCATATTTCATCTATTTTCTACACCCTGCCATTAATATCATCTAGTGAATTTTTTATTTCACATATTGTACTTTTGAGTTCTAAAATTTCCAATGGTTTTTTAAAAATATAGTCTCAATTTCTCTACTGACATCTTTACAATCATTATAAGCATTTTTTTTTCACTGCACTGAGCAGACTTACATGATTTAAAATCTTTGTTAATGATAACATCTGGATCATCTTGGGTTCATTTTCTATTGTCTTTTTTCTTCACCATTGGTCAAGTGGGTCACATTTCCTTGTTTCTTTGTGTGTCATGTAAATTTGGATTGTATCCTGGACATTGTGATTTTAGTGTTGTGGAGACTCTGTATTCTGTTATTTTCCTCTGAAGAGTGTTGACTTTTTTAGCAGGTAACTAACTTAATGGGATATAAACTATAAACTATCAGTTTATTGAATATCAGTTTAGTTCTTGAATCCCTAGTTGGGTTTTTGTTGTTTGCATGCAGGCTTTCACATGTGTGGTTCAGAGATCAGCTAGATATTTGGGCAGAGGTAAATAGGTGATATCTCCTTTACTGTGGCTCTCTCTTTCTCACAGTTCTCCCTTCACTTTCTAGCAGCTATAATTGCTTTTAACTAGGTATTTTGGCATTTTGGGTCAATCAAGCTGTGAGTATGCTATTGGAGTCTTTAATCACTAATTGTATGGGGTGTTCCTCACACATAGTGTTTAATAAACATAATTAAACCAAAATGGAATGTTGAGCATAAAGTGTTAAGTTTTAAAAAGATATGTATAGTGTGGTATTAATTATAGAAAATTAAAAAACATGTAAAATAATATATGTTGCTTATGGAAATAGACATATATGGTGTGTATGTAATTACCCTATCTAAAATTTTATCTCATTCAAAATTTCAAACCCTTCAATACAAACTTTCTCCTTCCCTTTGTGTAATATTTTTCTTTTTAGTACTTGTCAGCACTGAATATATTATGTTTTACTTACTTATTTTTTGTCTTTCCACTAGAATATTAGTTTTAAGAAGCAGATTTTTTTTTTTGTCTTCTCTGTTTGCTACATTATAACAAGTTCCTAGAGCAGTGTTTGACATACATAGGCACTCAATAAGTAGTTGCTGAACAAATAAATAAATAATATAAAATATAAGGACATAACCACAAATTTAGAATAATTTTTTATGGGGGCTTCTAATGTCTCTAAAATGTTTTTTTCTGAAAAGTAAAACAATGCAACATGACAAAATATTAAGATTTGATGAGACTGGGTAGTGGTAACATTAGTGTTCATGATTTTTAAAATATTTCTATGTTTGAATTACTTCATTAAACAATAGAATGGGCAAAAAGTTTGGAGAAGACTTTGAAGAGCATTATGTTATAGAAGTCAAGGGAAGAGGGAATTTCAAAAAGAAATAGGGAGAAATTTCAAATGCTGGCATTAGTCACCAAGAGATAAAGCAATTATAATTTACTATTAGGAAATTATTAGTGACTATTGAAGTAACCTGTTTCAGCCACAATTTGATAGCAGGTAGGGTAGTGAGGAAATGGAGAAATGGAGGCCACTTATTCAGTAAGATGATAGGCACAGCTTTTTGAGGATGAAAAATTTATGCATGTTTGCAAGCAGGATGGGAAAATCCATTGAAAAGATGAGACTTAAAATGCTGGGAAAAAGAAGATAATTAAAATAGCAAATTCTAGAATAAGTAGAAATGTTTATAATTAGAGGCATAGGTTTGGAAAAAAAGGCATTGCATCTGGCAATGAGAAGAGGCACTACCTCTGCAATAGAAGAAAACTAAGCAGGAAGGATTGAGATAGGTGGAGACAGAAGGAAAGGTGAGGGAGTTCATTGAAGTAGTAAGGCCATATGTCGGAATGGTGAAACTGAGTAATGGATATGGCCCAGGTTAGTGAGTTAATGGGCATGTCAGAAGGCTCAAGCTGTGAGTGCCTAGGTTGATGATTAGAGTCTCAATTATATGGGTGCTATCAGGCTTTGGAGGCTCCGAAGCATCAGAACTAACCTGAATGGATTGGGTGCATTTGAGGAGTTTCAGCAGTAATGCTAATAGCAGCCATCACTCATATGTGTCATTGTTCTAGATTCTCATATATATACTTATTTATTCCTGACAACCTTTAATGTGACTATGATATGACCATTTTTCAGGTAAGGCAGTCGAGGCATGGAGAAGTTAAGTAACTTGCACCAGGTTACACAGATCATGAGAGGCAAAGCTGGAATTCAAACCCAGGCTGTCTAACTCCTCAGTCCATGACTTAACACCATTATACTCTCCCTTAACTCAGTAACGGGAGGGTTAATTGATGACAAATGAAAGATTGTTAAGCAGATAAAGGGATAATAGGTTTCCAACACATACTTTGTCCTTTGTTTCTGTATTATCCAAGACACCTCTTTTTCATGTGTGTTAATTTCCAATTACTGTTTTCTTTATCAAAGCCTCAGGCTTCCAAGAATTTTCTGAATAACCCATTGAGCTTTCTTTTAGTCATACAAAGTGTTTGTCATCTTCTCAGGAATGTTCATTATATTCATATTTTCTTTAGAATGATTCCAATTTCTTTTTACTCAGAACGAACTCTTTGGCATCATGCTTCACATAATCATTTATCTTTTACTAATAAATGGAACTTCTCTTTGGGATGTGGTTTTGGGAATGAACAATGACATGGAATGATAGCTGATTAGCCAGAGCAACCTGCCAATCAGCAGGATGTCAGAGTCCAATCACATATGCAACCCAAAGAGCCAATTCACTAACCCTTTATGAACATTTTTGCAAATACCATGAAACTTGAGTGCTGTGTGTGCATCATTATGGGCAGTTTCCCTGTTATTTGTAGATTTTTTTATTTGCTACTCAGAAGCATCTTTCCTTGATGTTTGTTCATAATATTTTTCTTAATTGTCCAAGATTTCACCTGAATAGTTTGATATATTACACAGAATTTAAAATTCTTTCCCTAAATAGGATCTTTTATTCTCTGAGGTGGAAAACATTGATTTATCAGCATTAAAAGTCATTGTCAACACTTACCGTTTTGTTCCTGTAACTTTTACTAAATTAACCTGCTATGACCATGCCCCTCAGCTTTAACAAATTAAACTATTTGAATGAAGAATGGACATAATGGTTGGGGATTGTGCCGTACTTTTAGTTTACAAGGACTTGCGCATCCATTCGATCTGCCCAGTAACTCTTCAGGTGACAGGGCAAGGTTTTAATGTTCCCATTTTACAGATAAAGAACCGGAGGTGTAGGGAGATTAGAAGATGGTCCTTGAGTGAGTAAGTGGTAAAAGTGGGTCTTGAATCTGGTTCTTCCCGACTCCAAGTGTCTCTCCATTCTGTAGTGGATTCTTTGGATATCTTCCTATTAATATGCACGATGCCCTCGTCTATTGCCTTCCTTTCCCGCTGCCTTCGGTTTTCCAGTCGAGGGGCTTCCTAATGTGTCCCTGTCCAGCTGGGATGGCTGCAAGGGAGCACACCTGGGGTCTTCCTGTCTTCAGTCTTTCATCTTCCTTTTCTGTGGCCCTTCCAGCTTCACCATCCGTGGACATCTCCTCCTTCCTTCAGCCCCAACTTCTAAAGTCTTGTCACAGCCCCCTGGCAGTGGGACCTCCCATCCCCAATCATCAGCAGGAGAGCCCATCGCAGAGGGGAGGCGAGGGCAGGGACCGCAGCGCACAGGGAAGCCATGCTGAGGGTTCCTCCTGCATTTTCTTCCTCGCGGTCCTCAGGAACATCCTCGCGCCCTCCGGCCCCGGCGCTCCAGCCCGCCCCGGATCCGCCTCCCTCTCCTTCCTCCCCGAGGTTGAGACGAAGCGTGGGACGCACCTGGGTCCCTCTCTGGTCACCCTGCTGAGGCTCCGGGGGCTGCTCCGGGAGCAGGATTTACAGGCCCGGAGAACGCCAATGGGAGATCCAAATGGTCGGGGACTCCGGCGCTTTAAGAGGCTTTTCTCTGGGAAACACCCGTCCCCTCCGTGCGCCTTATGAATGGAAATACTCCTCCCCCGGTCGAGCCCATTTTCCCATTTCACCAGGAGCCGCAGCCTGCTCTCTCCTTTCGGTCTCCCCGCCCACATCAACGCGGGCAGCTCCAGGAGGGGACGGACAGGAAGCCTTTGGCCGCCTATTAAATCCCACCCATTTCTCCGGGGGCGATTTCCTAACCTTCCGGGACCGAATTCTGCAATTTGATGTGCGTTTTGTCCGAATGGTAGCGACACGGGCCTAAGGGAGGGGGAAAGCGAGGGGGTGGGGGGTGGGGGGTATGCACTCTTTTCCTCGCAACATCGCTGGCGGAGCGAGGGAGCTCACACGACACAGATTTTGGGGCAAAGCCTTTCCAACTGGACAGCACCATGTCCACCAAAGCGGAGCAGTGTAAGTAGCAGCCGGCCCGGCATTCCGGCCCGGCCTCGGCTGGGAGCTATTGCAGCTGCGGCGTTTGCGGCTGCTGGGAGACCTTGGCATTGTGCTGGTGCGGGGGTGGGGGCTGAGGTTGGGGCGGGTGGGGGGTGGCGGAGAGAGAAGGTGGGGGAGGGTGGACGTTAATGGCAGCGCGGCGCTGTCCCCGGTGCTGAAAAATAATACGGTCTTCCTCGGGCTCCAGCGGGGGTTTCTCAAGACTCAGAGACCCTGCGAAATGAAATTAAAATGGGGTCATTCTCGGGAAAAAGAGGCCTCGTATCTTTCAGATAAACATTTCAGTATCTCTTGTTGGAGTGGGGGAAGGGGGGTAGCGGCAAATCAGGGGCGGGGAACTGTCAGTTGCAACCAAAGCCTGCCTGGCCTTCTGAGCATGCCCAGTTCTTGGTGCTGGAGCCATAGGGGAGTTTGAGTCTGCAGTTTCCACTTCGGGTGGAAGAGGCAAGAAGGGAGAGAAGGGGGAGGGAGCAGGGAGCCAGGCAAGAGGAAAATTAACTCACTAATGCCAACACCAATGTCAAAACCAACCACAACCATGCGGTGCTTACAAGAAAGTGAAAGGAGCTCTGGGAAAATGACCTAATTGATCTAATTATTGTTCCAAAGAGCAGGCTTCCTTTGTAGGGCAGCCCATAGCACCGGAGGATTTTGGTTGTCCCAGTAATGACTGACTGTGTGCGTGGTTGGAAGCAACCTGCTAACTCCTTGTGGATGGAGTAAGTTTCTAATATGGTTCCCATAGTCTGTCTTATTGCAGTGCGCACTAGTAGGCCTTCGGTGTGTGCTTGGTAGGTTGATCAATGTGAAGCCTTTTTCCGAGTACACTTGAGGGCTTGAGGGATTCAGGAGCTTAAACTTCAGATTGTAAATAAAAGACGTTTTTATTAAGCAGTAAGTTTGAATTTTTAACAATATACCAGAACTTATTCACCTAGATTGACTCCTTTCTTCCAAAGCAGTACACGTTATATGGATAATGCTGTCACTACTTAAAAGTCTTTGTAATTCTTCTTTGGAATGGCTACTAAAGCCGGTTTTTGAGACACACAAAACAGTAGTCTCATTATTTGAGGGCAATATCTTATATATGATAAAATGCAGTATGTCATTTATTCACCAGATAAATTAAATAAACTGAAGGCTTATAGAATTCTCAGATTGATGGTTCATTAGAAATTGTGCATGCCCACCTACCACCCAGTGCTTTTACTTCTTTATGTTTTTTTGGAATCCGGAAGATCTGAGTTTCAATCTTAGTTTTGCTACTGTTTGACCTTGGGCAAGATAATTGACCTCTCTGAACTTTATTTCCTCATCTGTAAACCTGGGCTAATCATGCTGATGGGGTTGTTGTGGGGAATGAGAGAATACATATAAAAGGTTTAGTAATGAGCCTAGCACATAGAATGTACTCAATAAATGATGGCTATGATAATGACAAGCATTGCCCACTTTTAAATAGTCCATCTCCTCTAAATAGTTAGGAAGCTCTCTTGTGATTTTTTTTGCATGTTTCTGAAAGTTAAATCTACATTCAAAATTAAGTTTTGCTTTTACAGAGGTTTTTGAAAAAAATTGGGTGCATTCTGTTTTGAGGAATGGTAACATAGTTTGAGTCCATGTAGAACCTCCCACTTGAGAATATCACATCCTGATATTATAATAAAGCCAAGTGGTTTTATTATAGTATGGTTTTTAAAGGAAAAAACACCACCTGTCATTTGATTGTGTAGTTACATATTACGTAAGTAATTTCAGGCTAAAGCCAGTGAGTATTACTGTCCTCTTCCTGTGTTTTCTCTTCCTTGTTACATTTTGAAATGGACTGGATGCTTTGTCTTGTCTCTTTCCTGGGCAATGAATAAAATCTATCTATGGACTTGATTCTGTAGAGCAATTAGTGGACTTAAGTAGCTATTTTAGACGTGTTAGTGAAACAGATTTTTTTCATCTGTAGAGGATGAAAAGGACACCATATCTGGAGCTAGAACATGTGGACTTGAGCTTTGTATGTCCTTCTGATTAATTGTGAGACACGGGGCAATTAACTTAATAGTTTTGTGCCTCAGAGTTTCCATCTTTAAAGTAAGGAATTGTAGTAGGAGCTATCTTTGCTTTAGTCTTAAGGGTTTGGAGGGCAAAGGAGGTAAATGGGAGTAGGCTGTGGAAAGGTTAAGGATGCTATGGATGTTTTTAGATATCTGTATTTAGAATGAAGGTAATTAAGGAATCTCTTTTCTTTTTCTGTTAATATGCACTAACATGAGTGGATTGACATTTTCGTGTATGTTATGTACCTGAAAATAAAGCAAAAACACAATAGGCTGCATAGTTGATGTTCATGAAGGACAAATACTTTTTATAAAAAGAACGCAGATTGGCAGCATTTTATCCTTGGACTTGGTAGAAGTTTAGCTACGTGTAAGGAGCAAGAGAAGGAAAGGTCAGGGAATTTTTTTTTTTCTTCTACTGGGTGTGAAGACTACTGGATAAGGAGAGAATGGGAGAGCTCGTTTCTCCTCTGCATTCAGGATGCACATTACCACTTTCCTAAGGACTGAGGAGGGAGAATTAGGCTTAATATAATGTCAAAATATTATTTCTATTACTCTTCTTCTTGGAGCTTCTTGATGTTGATAAAGGTTTCACTGGTTTGACAAGTAGACATAGTTTTGTTGGACCAGCAAGAGAAAGTACTTGCATTTCAACCCAAACCAGCTTACTCGATTTACCTTTGAAATGTAATGTATCACAGAGATATGAAAAATGATTTCTGTTTTATGTAGTGGCATTTTCTTTTGTGAGATAAGTAATAGTGATGAAGGAGAAGCTAGTGGCCGGGCGCAGTGGCTCACGCCTGTAATCCCAGCACTTTGGGAGGCCGAGGCAGGTGGATCACCTGGGGTCGGGAGTTCGAGACCAGCCTGACCAACATGGAGAAACCCCATCTCTACTAAAAATACAAAATTAGCCTGGCATGGTGGTGCATGTCTGTAATCCCAGCTACTCAGGAGGCTGAGGCAGGAGAATCACCTGAACCTGGGAGGCGGAGATTGCTATGAGTAGAGATTGTGCCATTGCACTCCAGCCTGGGAAACCAGAGCAAAACTCCGTCTCAAAAAGAAAAAAAAAAAGAAAAGAAAAAAAAGAAGCAGCAGCAGCTAGTTTTTGGAGCCTTTAAAAAATATTCAATCTGTTTCCTGTGCTATCTGCAGAGCCTCAAAACAGGAGGTGAAAGCTTCCTAGCACTTTCTCAGGTGATTGCAGAAGAGTTAAATTTTTTTTTTCTCCAAATGCTTCTTTTTCTTACAAAGTTCACTGTAGTGAAAATGTTTGCATAGCTGATATAGAATTTGGAATGATAAAAATGAAATTTATTTGGAATTCTAAAGAGGAGTCCCACTCCCTCCACCCCAAACTTTTTCTGTCTTCTAAGAATCAAAATTGACCAATCGGGATCACCTTGGGTATGCTCTTTCAAAAGAAGCTCTGCTTTTGGTAACAGCAGACATTCAGAGTTGGGGTTCTAGAATCAGACTGCTGCCTGGGTTTGAATCCTGGCTTTGCTCCCTGTAAACTCTGTGACCTTAGATAAGTTAATGTCTCTAAGCCCTGACTACATCCTCTATAAAATGGGGATAGTTATAGTTGTTGTGAAGATTAAATGAGGTGATTCATGAACAGTGCTTAGCAGAGAATCCTGGCACATAATGAGGACTTAATAAATGTTAACAATTATTATCATCATCATCATCATCAAATATAAAACCTTATGCTTGCTGCCAAAATGGAGATAATTGTGAAGTTTGGATCTAGCCTCCCAGTAACCAAAAATATTTTTGATTACATCAAAGATAAACAATTTTAAGAGTGTAGCTGATTAGCACTATGACTTGAAGTTGAACTTGCCCCTCTCCCATGTATATGTAAGGGCCATGCATGGAGAAATCAATAGATAGTTTTCTTTATTTTTTGCACATTATATGGTAATATCACTAAAATAGAAAAGTACTTCTCCTTTCAATAGCACTGCAGTTGTAGTCATTTAGAAATCTTTTCACAAGAATATTGCAAACTTCTTATAGAGGAAACTCTATTACAGTTTTATTCATATTATGCAAAAATTAGAATGTGCCTATTATAACCATTTTTGTGGTTGCAAAAAGAAGAATAGCTTTTAGCTCTCGTCTTACATGACTTCTCTGTATCATTTGACACTAGTTGCTGCATTCCTGATTTAAACTCCTTTTCTTCTTTCTTTTCTGGCTGTTCCCACTCAGATTTTTTCTTAGGGCTGTCTTCTTCCTGCCTTTTGAAAATTAGCTTCGCACAGGAATCTGTCATTAGTCCTCTCTCTCACTCTTTTTTAAAATCCCACAGACTCTTGACCACATTCACTTGCATGGTATCATCTACGAGGATGCCTCCCACATACAATTTTCTAGTCCACAAACGTTTTTGGAAGTACAGTCCTCTATCTCTACCCAAGCATCTTATACATACCACCCAAATTCATTGTCCTTTGTTCCAACCTTGTACTTCTTTTTAGATCAGTCATTTTGGTAAATGACACTTCCTTGCTCATTTATCCAAGTCAAAAAATCAGTCTTCCTAAACTTTTTACTCTCTGCCATAACTATTCAACACATTCCCAAGCCTTGTTGATTCTAGCTCGTCAACAATCTCTGCTTTACCTCTTCAATGCAGTTACAATGAACTATTTTTTCAGTTCCTCCAATGCATCATGTTCTTTTTGCCTGAAATGTTTTCTTCCCCCTCATCGTCTTGGCCTGTCTAATGCCTACTTACTGCTCAATACTTAGCTTTGAAACCTTGCCTGATTGCCACTTTCTCCCTATATGCCCTATTTGTGTGGTCACACTATATTTCAATTAGTTTCTTGTTAGTTGCCTTAATTTACTTTGTGTGTAGATTGTATTATGTTCCTCTCTGTGTCTCCAGTGTGCAATCCCTTGTCCAGTGCATAGTGTTTGCACAAAAATCATTTCTTGAAAAAGTAAAAATGACTGAGGGTGGATGAAATGCCTTTTATAAGGAAGGATTACATAACCAAGTGTTTGGATATCATTAATTTGAAGATTTTACATTTTTGTTAATATGAAGTTCTGCATTCTATGCAATGTGAACATTGCACAAAATGCATGCTTTTCAAATGGATTTACAGGTAAATAAAACTACAGTTGTCAAAAGTACTTAAAATATATTTGCTAAATCAAATGTTACAGTATTTATACAACATGTTACACATTTCTTAAACATTCATTGTGGTTTTGATTCTGTCCGATTAGCTAAATTTTCCTTTTACTATATTCAAAATAATAATTATGATTCTTAAAGTGGTAGGCAGTTTTAGCACACAGCCAACTGTTTTTTTTTTAAGATAAAGTGGCAATATATCTAAAGTCAGGGCCTCTTCAGACCAGTTTTACTTGGATGCTGTTCAAGTTTTATGTATTGATTACTCAACCAATAAATAAGCTTTAAGTTGGGATTCTTGTTTTGCAGTAGTATTATGTTGGAAATTCATATGCATTTGTTTCTTACATTTTGAAAATATATGGATAGCTCTGCATAAATAAACATATATATTGGCTTAGAAATGAAATATTTCCTGTATCAAAAAGTGCATTAAGCAAAAAATATATTCTTATCAATACTCTTGCTTTCTGTAATGTGAAAAGCTCAACAATTTCATTTAGAACTTTTAGCTTCTTTCAGTCCATTTATTCTATTTGTGTCTTGTTTTTCTCTCCTTCTGGACTTTTCAAGACCAATGTTACCAACAGCATACAGCTTATCATGTGAGTCTCATTTGATATTTGATGTGGGATTAAAACTGGAGTGGTGTTCAGCATTTCAGGGTATCTTTCATTTTCATTGGTCTCAGGAACTTGGTCTTCCAATAGAATAAAATTAAAAGGATATGTGTGTGTGTATACATATATATTTATGTATATATACATGCACAAATGCATGTGTATATACATATACATTTATGTATATGTTATTTTATTTTAAGAATAAATCAGCTTGCCTCAGAAGTAGAAATAGATAATAACTCACAAACAGTTTAGCATGTCAGGATTATATGTGCTTGAATCTTAAGCTCTCCAGGAAAGACAGTTTAGATATTTATTGCTTGTGCCTACTAGGTACTAGGCACTTTGGTATATATTGGCTTAATTCATTTTCATAACAGCTTTGAGAGATGTGTTATTATACTTTGGTTTTATTTCTTCAATGTTCCTCAAGTACCTTAATTCCTATTTCTTCTTTTTATTTTTTTATACAGAACTTTTCACAGATTTATGTGTCATCCTTGCGCAAGGGTCATGCGAGTCTTTTGCATATCATTCTAATATTTTCAGTGAGCACTTACCCTCTATCTGTGCAGCTGAAAGTCTTAGGGCTTTGTTTAACGCTGTATTAGTTTTCTAGAGCTGCTGTAATGAATTAGCACAGACTAGGTGGTGTAAAACAACTGAAGATTATTCTCTTACAGTTCTGGAAGCCAGAAGTCTGAAATCAAAGCGTTGGCAGGGCTGTGCTCTCTCTGCAGGCTCTAGGGAAAAATCTCCCTTCCTTGTGTCCTAGCTTCTGGGGGTTTCTGGCAATCTTTGGCATTCCTTGGTTGTAGCAGCATCACGCCAATCTCTGCCTCCATCTTTACACAGCCTGTGTCTCTGTATCCAAACCTCTCTCTCCTTCCTCTTATAAACACACGTCATTTGATTTAGAGCCCACCTTAATCCAGTATGACCTTATCTTAACTTGATTATATCTGCAAAGACCCTATTTCCAAATGAGGTCACATTCACAGTACCAGGATTAAGACTTGAACATATCTTTTGGGGGATACAATTCAAACCACTACAAACCTTATTACATTTTGTCTTATTAATGTTATTTCATTGTTATGTCTGATTCTGTAATCCAACATATTAGCTATTCTTCCATTGGTTTTGTGTCAACTACCAAAACAATATGCATTCCTATATGAAGTATCCAAAATAAAAATGTTGACAAAAAGAAAGAAGCACCAAAGCCCTGTGAGTGTCATGCTATTAAATAACTTTTTTCAAGTTGGCTTTGAGCCTCTAATCAATATATTTTAAATGTGAGTTTCACTAGATACAAATCTATCCTGTCATGGTACCACTCAATCTATATATTTCATCAACTTGTCTATTCACTTATTCAACCAATATTTATTGGGTGTCTACTATGTATCAAGCACTGTGCTAGGCTCTAGAGGAGCTTACAGTTGACTCTCCAAGTGCATCCTACTTTGCTGAGATGTATACACTCTCTACAACTTTTCTTTGATGCCCTGTCTAGATCTCTAAAAAAATAGGAAGTTGAAATGAACTTGGGATGACTTATTCACAGGGAGCCAACAATTGCTCCTGTGGTCATTACTACTCTTTATTTTAACTGGAGGCTAAAATTTTTGTGGGGAATTTTCTAAGAATCTCCACTCTCCCATTCAACATTGTTCTTAAAAAATAATGTTTCAAGCAGGTTTCACTGGCTTTCTTTTACGTTCTTTTTTTTTTTTTCACGTAACCCTCATTGCGTTAGATCTTTTTCATTCTTCCAAAATAATTTTATAAACAAGTTGAATAACTCCAGGAAAAAGCCTCATAGTATTTTTGTGAGTATCATATTACTTTTATAGAATAACTTACTTTAGGAAGAATTGACATCTTTCTGATATTGAATCTTACTCTTTCTAAGAACATGGTATGTCTTTCCATTTGTTCAAGTCTGTGCCTTTCTTGGGGTGCTTTTTTCTCATATAGATTTTGGAATTTCTTATAGAGCTCTTGCTTAGTATTTTCTTTCGTCATTTTTTGCCATCATAATTGAGATGTATCATTTCTTCTATTTTAAAATTTTGAATACATGAAGGCTATTGAGTTTTTGTATGCTGATTTTATAACTTTATTTTACTAAATTATTTTCTTTTTGTAGTCATTTTTCCATCTATTCTTTTGGGTTTTCAAGATATACAATTGTATGCTCTGCAAATAGAAAATAGTTTTGTCCTTTCTTTTCTACTCAATTTTTATGCCTCTAATTGCTTTCTTGTTTTCTGATTGCATTGGTCAGTATCTCCAATACAGTGTGAAATATAGCAGAGAGAGTGGGTGTTCTTGGCTTGTATTTTACTTTAGTAGGAAAATCTCTTGTATTTCTAAGTAAGATATTATTTTGGGCTGAGGTAATATACTAGGCAGTATCTGTCAATTCTTATTTTGTTAAGTTTTTTTTTTAAACCGAAATGGGTGTTGAGTCAAGTTTATTTTCTGCATCTATGGAGACCATATTGCTTCCTCTCTTAACTTTATTAATATGCTTGGTTGAATTTCATCATATTTTAAGAATTTTTGCATTGATATTAATAAGTTAGATTGTTTCATAGGTGTTTTTCTGGGGGGTAGAGTGGGAAGTAATTTTATTCAGGACCTGGGAACAATGTGATACTCACTACATAAAGTGAGCCTGGAAATTTTGCTTCCTTTCTAAACTTTGGAATAATATAATAGCATTGGTGTTATCTGATCTTTAAAAGTTTTTTAGAGTTCCCCTGTAAAACAATCTGGCCTGTGCTTTTTTTGTAGTGGAACTCTTTAACTTCTTTCTCTATTTGTTGTATGACACTTGTTCTATTTAGACTTTCTGTTTCTACTGGGGTCAATTTTGGTAAGTTTTATTTCTCTAAAAAATTATGCATTTCATCTAAGTTTTCAAATTTGTTTGCATAGAATTATGCAAATGACTATCTTAGAAATTTTAAAAATTCCTCTGTTTTGATGTTTATTTTCTGCTTGTCATTTCTAATGCATACAGTTGGCCCTCTGTATCTGGTGGTTTTTGCATCCATGGATTCAACCAACAGTAGATCAAAAATATTTGGGAAAAAAACAATAAAAAATAGTACAATAAAAAAATACAGTGGGGTATGACAACTATTCCTATAGGATGATATTTTATTCGGTATTATAAAACAGAGATGATTTAAAGTATACAGGAGGATGTGCATAGGTTATATGCAAATACTATATAATTTTATAAAAAGGACTTGAACATCCAAGGATTTTGGTACCTGCAGAAGGTTAGGGGTGGGGGTGGGTCCAGGAACCAATCCCTGGTGGATACTGAGGGATGACTGTATTTAATGTTGTGTATTTGTGCTGTCTCTCCTGCCCCCTTTAAAAAATTGGGTTAGTGGTTTGTCTATTTTGTCGATTTCTTTTTCAAGAAACCAGTTATTTTTATTTATTTATTACTTCTAGTTTTTGGCATTTCTAAATTAATTTCAGTTTTTATTATTAATTTCTGATTATTTTTTCCTTGATTTCTTTGTTTTATTTTGTATTCCTCTAGCTTTTTGAGTTGGCTGTTAATTTTTTTTTTTTTTTAAATTTTTATTGAGATAGGCATTTCATGCAATATATTTTTCTTTGACACTTCCTTTAGTTGTAGCCTACAGATTCTGGTAATGTCAGGCTTTATTATAACTATTTTCAAGAAATTCTGCAATTGAATTTTGTATATTTGCCTTTGACCTAAGAGTGGTTTAAAAGTGCATAAATTTCCATGTGGAAGGGCATTTTTGTTTCTCTGTTGTGTTGTTGATTTCTAATTTTATTGCCTTATGGTCTGAGGATACTATTTACATTATTTCTATTCTGTAGCACATTGAGGTTTTTGCTGTGTCATAAGATTTAGTCAGTTTTTGTGAATACCACATATGTACTTAAAAAGAAGTTGTAATCTCTATTATTATTGATACAATAATATGAGTTTGATGTATATCTATAAGATCTACCTTGTAATGTTGTTTAGGTCTTTTATACCTTTTATTAATTTTTAGTCCACTTGATCTTGGATTGTGAGAGGTATGTTAAAGTCTCCTATTATTAGTGTGTTTCTGTCTATTTCTTCTTGCATCTTCTGTAGGTTGCTGCTTAATCGAAGTTATTACTGTGTTACTGGGTGCATAAATACTAATAACTAATATCTTCATTGTGAATTGTAGCCTTAAACATTATAAAGGGCACTTCTTTATCTATTTTAATGCTTTCTGGTCTGAATTCCACCTTGTCAGATATTAAGATTATGACCCCGTTTTCTTTTTATTTGTGTTTGCCTGATATATCTTTTGCCATCCTTTTATTTTTAACTCTTTTGAATCTCTTTGTTTTAGATGTGTCTCTTGTATTCTGCATAGTGTTGGATTTTGCTTTGTTAGCCAATCTGAAAATCCTTTTCTTTTAATAGGTGAGTTAAGCCCTTTTACATCTATTGATATGATTAATATGTTTGGCCTCAGTTCTATCATATTATTTTATTTTTATGTATTTTATATCTAAACTCTTTCATTATGCAGTGGGTTTTATTTGCTCATTTTTTTCTTTTGGTTAACTTTATACTAAGACTTCTACATAATACTGCTAGTCCTCTTGTTTTTGGACTAACTAGTTCCCTACATTGAATAATATTGCAATTAGCTTCTAACCTCTTCTCTCTACCCTCCTTCTAACCCAGTATCTGATATACAATAGTGTCATTTTGTTTACAATTAATACCCATTAGACAATCATATCCATATGCCCTCCATGCCTCCTGATTTTTGATAATTGTATTTTAGCTGCTATATTTTCTTTCTTATAATCATGGTTTAGCTTTGTTTCTCAGATAAATTTATATTTAATACTCATCACTCATTCTTATACTGCTGTCTTTCAGTCTTTTTGGTTGTCTTAATCGCCATTTCTAATAGATCCTTTAGGAAGGGCTTACAGAATCAATTATTGCCTGAGTTTTGGCAAGTTTATAATAGTTTGCAACTTTGTACTTGGAGGTCAGCTTGGGTGGACATAAAATCTTTGACTTATATTTCGCCAACTTGAGTATTTTAAATTTGTCACATCATTTTTTTTGGCATTAAGGATTGGTGAAAAGTCCAGTGACAATCTTGTTTTCTTAGTGGCTTAGTCTTTTTTTTTAATCTCCTTTTAAGTAGCCTTAACTATAATATGATTCATTGTTGGGTCATGCTGAAATGATTGCAGTATGTCCTTTCAATAAGTTCAAGATGTTTTTTTAATTTTAGGAAATACAGTTTCTGGAGATACAGTTTTAATACTTGTTTTGTTCCATTGTTTGGCATTTTCTCTTGAGATCCCTATCGTACACATGTTGGGTGTTTTTTGCTTATCTTCTGTAGGATCATTTTCTACTGTACGTTTTAAAAATCTCTTCCTTTATTTCTTTTAGAGTTTTTTTAGAATTACCCACACAATATACCTTTATTAGTCTACATGTGAACTAGCTTATTCTTGGTGATTCTGCATGTATATAGAACTATGTATTTATTTAGGCCTTATTTTGAAATGTTAAATATAAAGTTGATAACATTCAGTTGAATATTATCTTATTTTGCATAAATTCAACTTATTCATTATAAGTACAAGCATTTGACTACTATCACCATGTCTTCTAATGTAGACACGCCCAAATACATACATATTAAGATACGTCATTTTATCCTCTTTTTGTTTACGTGGAAATAGTGACAAATAATAAAATTCACCAATTTGCAAAGCACAGATTGATGAATTTTGCTAAGAATATACAGTCATGTAACCACTACCACAATAAAGATAAAGACCCATATCCTGGCCGGACATGGTGCCTTATGCCTGTAATCTCAGCACTTTGGGAGGCCAAAGTGGGCGGATCACTTTAGGTCAGGAGTTTGAAACCAGCCTGGCCAACATGGCAAAACCCTATATCTACTAAAAGTACAAAAATTAGCAGGGCATAGTGGTGCATGCCTGTAATCCCAGCACTTTAGGAGGCTGAGGTGGGCATATCACTTTAGGTCAGGAGTCTGAGACCAGCCTGGCCAACATGGCAAAACCCTATCTCTACTAAAAATATAAAAATTAGCCAGGCGTGGTAGTGCATGCCTGTAGTCCCAGCTACTCAGGAGGTTGAGGCAGGAGAATCGCTTGAGCCTAGGAAGCCGAGGTTGCAGGAAGCTGAGATTGCGCCACTGCACTCCAGCCTGGGCAACAGAGAGGGAGTCAGTCTCTAAATAAATAAATAAATAAATAAATAAATAAATACCCTTATCCTTATCTTAGAAAGATTCCTTGTGTCCTTTGCTCTTGATCCCTTCCTTCAACTCCCAGTTCCAGGAAGACATTGCTTTTCTTTTTATTATTAGTGTTGCCTTTTATAGAATTTCATGTAAATGGAATCATTCAGTGCATACTCTTTTCTGTCTGACTTCTTTTTTTTTTTTTTCTCAAGACGGACTCTTGCTCTGTCGCCCAGGCTAGAGTGCAATGGCACAATCTCAGCTCGCTGCAACCTCCGCCTCTTAGGTTCAAGCGATTCTCCTGCCTCAGCCTCCCGAGTAGTTGGGATTACAGGTGCACACCACCATGCCCGGCTAATTTTTTGTATTTTTAGTAGAGACAGGGTTTCACCATGTTGGGCAGGCTGGTCTCGAACTCCTGACCTCGTGATCCACCTGCCTTGGCCTCCCAAAGTGCTGGGATTACAGGCATGAGCCACGGCACCTGGCTTCTGTCTAACTTCTTTTATTTATCATAATGTTTTGGAGAGTCACTCATGTTGTTGGGTTAATTAATATTTTGTTTGTTTTTATTGCTCTATATAGTCCATGGCATGTGTATATTACAATTTGTTTATCCATTCACCAGTTGATAGAAATTTGGGTTGTTTTCAGTTTTGGGCCATTATGAATATTTGCATACCTGGTTTCATGTGGACATATGTTTTTATTTCTCTAGGTTGAATACCTAGGAATGGAATTGCTTGGTAGTATGGTTAATGAATGTTTACCGTTATAAGGTATTTCTATACTATTTTGCAAAGTGGCTGTAAGGTTTTATGTTCCCACCAGCAATGTAGGAGAGAGTTTCAGTTGATCTGCATCTTCATCAACACTTGGTATTCACAGTCTATTTAACTTTAGTCTTTCTAGTTGGTGTGCAGTGGTATCTTGTGGTTTTAATTAGCATTTCTCTGAGGATTAGTGATGTTGAACATCTTTTTATGTGCCAATTGACTATTTGTATATCTTCTTTTGGGAAATTTCTGTTCCAATCTTTGGTCTATTTTTATTGGTTTTTTTGATCTTTTGATTGAGTCTTAAGGGTTCTTTATATATTCTGAATACAAGTTCATTGTTTTGAAACATTTTGCTTCCAATCTGTGGCTTACCTTTGTGTTTTCTTAACAATGACTTTCGAGAAGCAAGACTTTTAAATTATACAGCCCATTTTCAATTTTTTTTCTTTTATCATTTGCACTTTTGGTATCCTGTTTATGGAATCTTTGCCTAAACCAATGTCACAAAGATTTTCTTCAGTATTTTCTTCTAGAAGTTTAATGGTTTTATCTCTAACATTTAGGTTTATAAACATTTTTGAGTTAATTTTATGTATAATGTGAGGTAAAGTTTGAGGTTCATTATTTCCATGTACGATATCCAGTTGTTTCTTATCTCTGTTGGATTATCCTGGTACCTTTGTTGATAGTCAATCACTCATATATATGTGGGTCTATCTCTGGACTCTATTTTGTTTCTTCATCTATTCTTATGTCAATGGCATATGATCTTTAGTACTATCAGTCTTCCAACTTTGTTCTTATTTTTCAAAACTGTTTCAACTATTTAAAGTCCTTTGCTTTCTATGTAAATTTTAAAATCAACTTGTAATTTGCTTCCAAGGAAGCTTATTTGGATTTTGGTCTATAGATCCATTTGGAGAGGATTACTTTCTTAACAATCCTTGGAATGACACATATGTAAACTTATTTATGTCTTGTTTAATTCTCTTTTGCAATATTTGGTAGTTGTCACATCTTTCATTAAATTTATTCCTAAGTATTTTTGTGAGTGGATTTGTTTTTCAAGTTTTATTTCCTAATTATTTGCTGTTAGTATAGATAAATACAATAGCTTTGCTGTGTTGGTCTTATATCCTGTACCCCTACCACACTCATGTATTTGGTGAGTAGTTTAAAAAAAGAAAAAAATATATGTATAATTGAAGGTTTTCAGTATGCACTGTTACGCCATTTGTGAATAAAGATAATTTTACATCTGCCTTTCCAATCTGTATGCCTTTTATTTCTTTTTATTGCCTACTGCACTGGCTAGGACCTTCAGAACAATGCTAAATAAAAGTGATGTGAGTGAGTGTTCTTGCCTTGTTCTTGACCTTAGGTGGAAAGCTTTGAGCCTTTCAGAATGTTAGACCAACCTTGCATTCCTTTATTCCTGAATTAAACCCTATTTGGTCGTAATGTATTCTTCTAAAAATATTGTTGGATTCAGTTTTCTAATGTTTAGTTAGGGAGTTTTGTATCTGTGTTTTCATGAGATATACTGGTCTGTAGTTTTGTTTTCTTGTGATATTTTTGTCTGGTTTTGAAATCAGGATAAAATTGGCTTCATAAAATGAGTTGGGAAGTGTTTCCTTTTCTATAGTTTCTGAAAGGGTTTGTGTAGAATTGATAACGATTCCTTGATTTTTTGATAAATTCACCATTGAAGCCATTAGAGCCTGGAGGTTCTTTTTTTGGGGGAAGGTTTCAAATTTTAAATTCAGTTTCTTCAGTTCATAAAGATTTCACAATTTTTGTTTGCTTTAAATTCTTCTTAAGTCAGTTATGGTTATTTGTGTCTTTTAAGGAATTTGTCCATTTTGTCCATTTGACAAATTTGTCTAGTTGCCATTTACTGGTATAAAGTTATTTGTAATAATCCCTTATAATTCTTTTTATATCTATAGAATTTGTTGCTATGTTCCTCTTTTATTTCTGATATTGGCAATTTATGTCTCTTTTTTTCCTGACCTGTCTGGTTAGAGGTTTATACATTTTACTGATGAACCAACTTTTGGTTTCAATGATTTTCTCTATTGTTTCTCTGTTTCCTATTTTATTGATTTTTGTACATAATTATTTATACCATTTCCTTCCTTTGGTTTGTTTGGGTTTTAATTAGCTCTTCTTTTTTCTAGCTTCTGAAAGTGAAAACTATATTATTAATTTGAAATCTTTCTTCTTTTCTAATACAGGCACTTGAAAGCCGTGCATTGCTTCATAAGTCCTGCTTTAGGCGCATTCCACCAGTTTTGTATTTTCATTATTCAGTTTAAAATATTCTCTAATTTATCTTGCAATTTTTTTCTTTGACCCAAAATTTCTTTAGACATGTGTGTGGTTTTTTTTTTTTTTGGTGGGGGATGGAGTTTTGCTCTGTTGCCCAGGCTGGAGTGCAGTGGCACGATCTTAGCTCACTGCAAACTCCACCTCCCAGGTTTAAGCGATTCTCTTGCCTCAGCCTCCTGAATAGCTGGGATTACAGGCACCCGCCACCATGCTTGGCCAATTTGCATTTTTAGTAGAGAAGGGGATTCATCACGTTGGCCAGTCTGGTCTCAGATTCCTGACCTCAAATGATCCTCCTGCCTTGGTCTCCCAAAGTTCTGGGATTACAGGTGTGAGCCACCGTGCCCAGCCTAGAAGTGTGTTGTTTAATTTCCAAATATTTGGGATTTTCCTGGTTATCTTGTTTTTGATTTCTAACTTAATTCTATTTTTGTTAGAGAATATATTCTGTATGCTTTCAATCTTTTGACATTTATTAAGACTTGTTTTATGGCCTCAAATATAGTCTATACTGGTAAACATTCTATGTGCCAATTGAAAACAAAATGTATTTTTAAATTGTTGGGTAATGTGTTGAAATCTTCTACGCATTTGCGGATTTTTGTCTAATTTTTCTAATAGTTGCTGTTAAAGCATATTGCAGTCTTTAGATTATGGAATTCCTTTTCCCTTTAAATCTGTCATTTTTTGCTTCATGTGTTTGGAAGCTCTGTTACTGGGTTCATATACATTTATGATTGTTATGTTTTCCTGTTGAATACCCCTTTTATTTTTATGAAGTGTCTTTTTTATCCTTGTTAATATATTTTGCTTTGAAATGTATTTTATCTGATATTAATATTGCTACTCCAGACTACCTTCACATGCTGTTTATCTGGCTTATGTTTCCCATTCATTTCCTTTCACCCTTTAAAGTTTTCCTACTGTCTTTTTAAATATTCTTTTTTGCATTTTTAAACTACTGGTTGACTGAGCAATTATTATGTACTTCCTTAATTTTTCACAGTTAATAACGTACTACCTTATTTAAAATATAGAAATCTTGCAACTTTATAGGCCCATATCCCTCTTTATTTTATACTTATTTTATGTAATACATCTACATATGTTATAAACCCCACAAGATAATGCTGTAACTTTAATTTTAAAATTACATGGTTAATAAAGAAATTAACAGAAAAAAGAAAGTATAGTCTTTTGCATTTACCAAGATATTTACCATTTCTGGTGCTCTTTGTTTTTTTTTTCTGAGGACTCAAGTTTCTATCTGAAATTTATTTCTCTTTAGCCTGAAAAACTTTCCTTCGCATATTTTGTAGTGTAGCTCTACTTGTGACCAAATGTTTTAGATTTCTTTTGTCTGAAAAAGTCTTTATTTTGCTTTTATTCTTGAATAATATTTTTGCTGAATACAGGATTTTGCTTCGACAGTTTTTTTTTTCCTTTGAGTACTTTAAAAATGTTATTCCCTCTGGCCTTCTTGGTTTCAGAGGTGAATTCAGCCATTACTTGTCATATATCCATAAAATTATGTAAATTATGGTTTTCTCTTACTGGTTTTAAGATCTGCTCTTTATTTTTGGCTTTCAACAGTCTGAGTGTCACGTGGGCTTCTATTGGCATGGGCCTCTGGGTGTTCATTCTGCTTTGTGTTTGTCATTTCAAGTCTGAAAATTTCTGCCTGTTACCAAATCTGAGGACTCTTTGGCCATTATTTCTCAAATATTTTCTCAGCCCCGTTCTTTTTGTCCTCTCCTTTTGGTATTCCCATCACACATATGTACCTCTTACTGTTTGATACTACCTAACCCACCTCTGAGACTCGGTTCTTTTTTTTTTTTTTTTTAAATCGTTTCTCTCCTCTGTTCTTCATGTTTGATACTTTCTATTGGTCTGTTTTCAAGTTCACTTATTCTTTCCTCTGTCATGACCATTTCTAACGGCTGTAAGTTCATTCAGTTAATTTTTATTTCTGAAATTGTTTTTCAGTTCTAGAATTTCCATCTTGTTCTTCTTGCATGATTTTTTTATTTCTGCTGAGACTTCCCATTTCTCTGATGAGAGTTTCATGCATTGAAAACATATTTTGTTTTACTTAATTGAGGATAGTTTTAGCAATTCATTAAAATCCTTGTCTGTTAGTTCCAGCATCTATTTCCTTTCAGGATCAGAATATACTGACTTTTCTTGTGGGAATGTGTTGTATTTTCTTGGTTCTTCTTATGTTGGGTCATTTTGAGTTGTATCCTGGATATAATGAATGTTAAGTTTTGGAGACTTTGGGGTCTACTATTTCCCACCGATGAGGTGTTGTTTCCTTTGCTTTATGGGTAATTTTCCTGGCTGGGATGGAATTGCAAACTCTGTTCTCATGCAGCAGTTCCTTACTTTGTTCAGATCTTTTGTCTTTAGCTGGGCTGATTTGGGTCTATTTTGCACTTGTGTGGTTCAGGGGTCAGTCAAAGATGTCAGAGTTTGGGGATCCAGAGTTTATGGTTTTTTCCCTTGTGGGATTCCCTCACTTGCTTCAGGAAAGTAGTTTTTGGTTTGTTCGTTTTTAGAATCTGCTCCATCACTTTCAGATCTTATCACTTGAGGAACTCCCTCCTTGCTTTGACTCCTGTTTTCAGACTGGGCCCCACAGTACCTGTTGATGACTTGAGAGTTCTGTTCTGAAGACCCAACTGCCTTCCTTTCGTGTCTTCCTGCATGGATGCTGATGCCACATGGCTGTGTGGCTATAAGCAGTCTGTCCCCATCCTTTCATATTTAGTCCACGGTGATACTTTGTCTCCTAATTTTGTTGTAGATTGTCAGTGGGTCTTTGGTTTTGTTATCCTCATTGATCTGTCTATTTTTAACAGAGGGCCCTGGGTTGACTCAAAAACTATGCTGTTGCCACTGTCCTCTTTCCAGAATCCTCCTCTTTTACCATATTTAAGCTGATTATTTTTGAGTGCTTAAACTCTAGTCTCTGGTTTTTAGATTCGTTTCTTAAATAAATGGCTGCTGCCTTTAGAACCAGGCTTGTGGCTGTTCATCTACTCTCTGTTTCTGGGTCAAAATGAAGTCACAGAAGCTCTTTATTCTTTAATACAGAAATGATTATCAAAAGTCATAAATACAGGGCACAGGTGTGATGGTGCATGCCTTTAATCCCAGCTACTTGGGAAGATGAAGCCAGAGGATCCCTTGAGGCCAGGAGTTTGAGGTTGCAGTGACCAGTGACTGCACCACTGCGCTCCAGCCTGGGCAACAGAGCAAGACCTTGTCTCTAAAAAAAAAAAAAGAAAAAGAAAAAAACCAACTTGTAAATATGGGAGCCTTCTCAACAATGACAATATGCATATTGTGTTTTTCTCATGCGACTGGGTTCATGCTTGCTCTTCAGTTTTTTTGAATTAAATAATTTAGTGTTTGGGTAATAACATCATCAGGGGATGAAACTGAAAAGCAAGGGAATGATAAATGAAAATGTTAGAAAGGGACTTGTATCTAGGGCGAGTGAGGGGGATTAAATCAGCGGTGGGTATAGATAAGATACAGGAAATGTTCTATCTTTTAATCTGGTGGTGGGTAAATGGGTGTACGTTATTATTACTTTTGAAAGTGTGTACATAATTGTACGCCCTCTTTCATATCATGAAGATGTGCGAAACAGTCTCTGGGACACAATCTAAATTCAACTTCCTTGAGAGCTCCTCTTCAGGAGGTCACTGAGCAAAGTCAGAAGTGAGTCCTGGGAAAGAAGGAGTTCATCCCAGTTGAGGCTTTGCAGTGCTGTTGTGTAGGCCGGGGGACCTCTGACCAAAAATGTGGTCAGGGAGTGGGTTACTCTATGTTTTCTGCTTAAGCTCAACATGACCTGCCTCTAGCTCTTAGAAGTAGGTCAAAGCAGAAACTTTCTGTGGGGGTAAAATGAGTGTCCTTAGCTGTTTGAGGCCACTGTGGAGGAGAGTAGGAACTTTATTGGCTCAAGAACAAATATCTGGGCCACACTTGCCAAGGCATTCTGCATTGGGTTAAAAGCATGGTCTGGGGTTCTTGGTGATGGCAACTTTCAGGAATTTGTCTCTGGAACCACATTGCTCTGACCTTGACTGATTGCCCTCTATGCCTGATACACAACTGGGTGTTCTTTCTCCCAGGAGAAAGGATGCATCTATGAATGTCTAAATACGCCTTTATTTTTGATTTGTAGTTTGTCTGAATGTAGAATTCTACTTTGGGAACATTGTTTTTCAGGGTTTTGAAGGCATTGCTTCATCGTTATCTTGTTTCCAGTGTTGCTTTGGAGAATTTCAAAGCCATTTTGATTCTTGATCTTTCCTAAGTACTAAAAAAATTTAAAAATCTCTAGAAGTATGTAGAGTCTTTTCTTTGTCCCTAGTTTCTGACATTTCATAACAAAGTGCATTGCTATGTGTCTATTTTTACTCATTGTGGTGGGCTCTTTTAATCCGCCATTATCTAAAAAGTTCTTAACTGATTTTGTTAATGGTTTTAACTCTTTTGGTTTTGCTATTGCCTTTTTCTGAAACTCCTTATATCCTGATATTGGATATCCTGAATTTGTCATTTCTCTTTTATTTTGTCTTTTGCTGTATTTTGGGGAAATTTTCTCAATTGTATCTTCTAAACCTTCTATTGATTATTCCTGGGATTATGTTTTTTATCTACAAAAACTTTTTTCTTCACTGTATCTTGTTTTTCTAACAGCACAACAGCGTTCATTTATAGGTAGAGTATCTTATCTTTCTGATATTAATAACAGGTTTTTTTTTTTTAAGATAAAGTTTTCCTCTTCCTTACAGACTCTTTCTCTCCAAGTTGATTTTCTCTCCTTCTGGTCTTACAGTTAGAGGCTTTCTTTAGATGGTTGGCCTTCCTTCCCTGTCTACTCATAATTAAGGGCTAGAACTAAGAAGCTGACCTGAGCAGGTTAGAGGGCCATTTACTGGGGGCACCCCTGGTGTCACTGTCTTCAGACCTTTCCTCTTTGACTTAGTCAGATTCACAGAAGGAAGGAGAAAAAAAAAGAGGCTTCTAGTCTCCAGCCTGAAGGGTAAGGGTCTAGCTGCCAGGGGTTGGAGGGCAGGGTTTGGTTCCGCTCTGCATTAGCATTTACACTTCATATAGCCAGCAAATCCCCTTGGTTAGGTAGATTATCCTGGCTTTCCATTCTGTTTGGTCTCTGCCATTCCGGAGACCCTCTGATGTGTCTCTCTTCCGGCAATGAACTTCAGATATTCTGAGTTGAGGAGAGGTGCTCTCTCAGGGCATGTGAAGTGGGGGAGAAAATTTAGGGTTCTAATTGCTCTTAAACAGTTTTCAGCCAATCCCCCACATTTTTTTTAGCACCCTCTTCTGCCCCTTACCTCCTGTTCCAAAGCTATCTGTTGCTGCCGTTTCTGTGCCTTTTGAGAAGCCTGAAATGCACACTAGTTGGTTCTTGGCTTTGGAATCAGTTGGTTCTTAGCACTGCTGCTGGCCTGGGATTTGACTTTCTCTGGTCTGCCAAGTCAACTGCTACTTGTCTATTAGCTTTCAAGCTTCCAAAAATGATCTTGCTTTGTGTTTTCTTGCCTTGTCTCCTTTTCTTCTTGTCTTTGAAAAATCCTTTTACTGTAATTTGGTGACATTTTAGTTGTGTATGTTTTAGATGATTGTCTTCACTTTGCAGTCCTGACCCAGAACCTTTCTCTTACTTTTCCACGCCTAGCATCTTCTCATCCTTCATGTCTTACTTAAATATTATCTCTTCTGAAAAGTCTTCCCGGACTATCCTATGTCAAGAAGGCGTTGCCCAACCTCTTCTTTAGTCTGTATTTGAGTCTCTTGTAATATTTTTATAGACCTTTAAAAAGTATTTACTGTCTTTTCGTTCTTTTTTCACACTTTCTTATATGCTGCATGACATCAGGGACTGTGGCTGTCTTGTGCACTGTTACATCCCCAGCAACTGGCACATAGTTAACTACAATGAACATTTACTGAATGTGTGAAAGAACAGATTACACCTGGACTGCATGATTTTTTTTTTTTTTTTTTTTTTGAGACGGAGTTTTGCTCTTGTCACCCAGGCTGGAGGGCTGGAGTGCAATGGCGCGATCTCGGCTCACAGCAACCTCCGCCTCCCAGGTTCAAGCGATTCTCCTTCCTCAACCTCCAGAGTAACTGGGATTACAGGTGCTCACCACCATGCCCAGCTAATTTTTGTATTTTTAGTAGAGACAGGGTTTCGCCATGTTGGACAGACTGGTCTCGACCCCTGACCTCAGATGACCCACCCGCCTCGGCTTCCCAAAGTGCTGGGATTGCAGGAATGAGCCACTGCACCTGGCCGAATTTTTTAAATTGATAACAATTTTCTCAGTTTTCTCATCTGTAAAAAAATAAGAGCAGGGAAATGCAATAGCACCTACCTCATAGAATTGTTGTGAGGCTTAGAGAGTTGAAAGGATAAAGTGCTTAGAACAGTGCCTGGCACATGGGAAACACTATAACAATGCTATTATAGTTATAGTTTTAAGAGTCTTAAAAGCAGTCTTTAGAGAGTTGTACTTTTATATTTAATTGTTGTTCAATTTTGTTCAAGTTAAAGAAAATTTTGCTGTGTGATGGACTGAATTATTCTTCTGAATTCTGTAGTATGTTCTGAATCAAAGTACATCTGAATTTTGACTCCAGGTTGATCATGAATGGCAACTTGAATTTTAGCACTGTCATGGAAGAGAATTGTGCTTCCACAGGAAAGTGGATCCCAAATAATTCCCAGAGGTTTTCCACATAGCCAGACATTTAAGGACGGTGCTGGCTATGATGCATCTTCTTGTTTAGGCAATTCTGGGCTATCTGTGTCTTCTTATGGAGTAGAATTTATTTTCAGTGCAATCATTTTGTTTTGAAATTGAGCCACATTGATTGGATAGGTGGTTGATAATTCAGATATGTCTTGAGTATTGCACTTAGCTGTAGAAACTTAAAGAATGATTCATAGTTATCAGCCTTCGTATATCCCCGAAATTATTTGATTTTCACCAAATAATTCCTCAGTTCTTCAAAAACCTATGATTTTTTAAGTAGAGAGCTCAGTGAAATTTAGTAATGAGAGATTAAATAATTTTCTAGTTTTCATTTGCTAAATCCATATATCTGAATTTATACTTTCTTGAAAAGATCACTAATGCTCTTGTTTCTCTCCCCCACTTGCAGTTTCAAGTACAATAAGCACAGTATTCAGATATCTTATCTCATTAATTAGAAAGTGCAAGCTCATAAGTCGCTCTTTCAGTGGGATAGGAAGTACTTAAAATTTGGCCTCAGATTCTCTGATTTCAAAATCTTGATCTGAGGAAGCTGCTTAGTAAACTTTGAAAAATAAGTCTTTATAACCTAACCCAGTTGCATCAAAATAGAATAGATTTTCATATTCTGTTTCAAATTGTTACATATCCAACATTCAACTTGAAGAAAATTCACTGCCTGTATTAATTTCTTCATCACATCATGAAATGAATCTGACTTTCAAAGTTTCTAGTACAAGTTCTCTTGACCAATAGTGCAATAGAAACTGGAACAGAAACCTCCTTTTTTGAGGAGGAATAGATTGTTTGAGGGGAATAAATTGTTTTTCCCTTTTCTTTATTGCAAGTGTCCCATCTCTGGGACATGTGAAGCATTTCCATGTTTAGACTTTTTAAATCTTTTTTTTTTTTTTTGAGTCAGGGTCTCGCTGTGTCACCCAAGCTGGAGTGCAATGGTGCCATCATGGCTCACAGCATCAATCTTCTGGGCTCAAACCACCCTCCCACCTCAGTCTCCCAAGTAGCTGGGACTACAGGTATCACCATGACACTTGGTTATTAAAAAAATTTTATTTTGTTGAGATGGGGTCTCACTGTGTTGCCCAGGCTAGTCTTGAACTCCTGAGCTCAAGCAATCCACTTGTCTCAGCCTCCCAAAGTGCTGGGATTACAGGCATGAGCCATCACATCTGGCCTAGACTTTTTTCCATTGACAGGTGTTAGGTCTTACTAATTCATGTATGAAAGCTAACTAGATGATTTTATGTATGTATGTATAGATGTGTGTATGTGTATACATAATTAGTGTGCTAAAATGTGCAGTGGGGGTCACAGCTAGTTCAAGTGTTTCTCTTTATAGTTGACATATCAGAAAATGGCTCTATCATTTACCTCCTATGTGATCTTGGGCAAGTTACTTAACCTCTCTCAGCCTCAGTTTTTTCGTTGGTAATGTGGAAATAATAGCAATACAACTATTATTTTTCTGTTTACCAGCATATAGTAAACATTCAGAATTTAGAATTATTATTGTGATTATTGTGACCTTCTAGAGGTGAGGATTTTGTCTTATTTATGTTGATATATCAAAGTACCTCATTAATCAATATCTGATGAATGAATAAGAACACTGATATCTTTCCTTTCACTTTTGCTGCCTAACTTGTTGCTAATGTCTAAAATTCTCTAGACTGGACATTTTGCTTTTCACATGTTAAATGCTAAGAAATGTAATTGAATAATGTATGTGGAATACTTTGAAAAATGTAAATGGCCATACAAATGTAATGGATGATGATGATGATGATGATGTTGATGATGCTAATGATGATGATAGTGTTGGAGTCACTTGCCAAAGAACAGGAATGTTCTTTGCTGACTTCCCCTGTCTGCTGAAAGTGCCAGGTAAAATTTGCTACCTGGAACCAAAACTGGCTGAAGACTATGTATGTAAGTATGCAAATATTTGGAAGAGCTTAACAATGCCATTTGTGACATTTGACATCCTTTGGACTGTTCAGCCTCTCTACCTGTGTATCCTCTTCCACAACCCTTCATTTATGTCTTTTATGAGGTTTTGCTTTCAGTTAAAGAAGATGACCTTCCTCAAAAGAGAAGATCGTTCTTTGATTAAGGATTTGCAAAGAACTCTGCTTGTCTGCTACAGTTGTCAAACAGTGCATTGTTGCCTTGTTCTCTCCACATCTCCATTTCTGAATATATCTTTTTTATTTGCTGCATTTGTCTTTTATTCTTTACAAGATAAGTCTCTGAATATAGAACTAAATTTTAGTACCACATGCAGCAATAGAGTGTGTGTGTGCGTGCATCTGCATGCGTGCGTGTGTCTGTGTGTGTGTAGGGGGCTATTCTTGATTATATTGATGACACAAGATTACTAGTATGTCTTATATCTTCTTTACTCCACAGGTTACACTATTTTAAGGGACAGAGTTTTGAACTGGGAAAGGAGAAGAAGAGAAACTCACCTGTAATAGCTAATTACAGTAGTAATTTATTATCTACTATGTGCTAGTCATTGTGCTAGGTAGTTTATATATGCAATATTTTAAAGTACTTATAGCAACTCTGTGAGATAGATATGATTACCCCCACTTTATAAATTAGGAAATTGAGACTCAGAGAAGTTCATGACTTTATCCACGTTCTCATAGTAAATAGAAGAGCCAGAATTCAAATAAACCCTGGATTTGGACTCTTGGTGCCTCTGTTTTGTTTTGTTTTTCCCATCAGTACAATGGATTGTGTGTGTGTGTGTGTGTGTGTGTGTGTGTGTATGTGTGTGAAAAGCTCTCATTGTTGAGATGAGGCAAGGAGGAGGGTTCAGGTGACTCTTGTAGGAGCTGCAGAGAATTACAGATGTATGATGAGGTGAATGATGAAATACTTGGAAAAGCTGGAACATGTGGCTAGAAATGGAAACTAAGAAACCCCAGGGCCCATATTCTCAGTGTTTGTGTGGTTTTCCTTAGGAGCCTGTTGAGTGCAGGTGATAGTTGCTAATCTGGGAATGAGGGAAGGGAGCATATGGAATTTGGAAAATACCCCTCAAATCTTGTTTGGCTTCTGATATTAAAGGACTTATTTGTTAATGTTGAGTATGATAATAGTATGTGATTATATTCTTCATGTCTTTATTAGTGAGAAATTATATGAAAATATTGATAAGTAAAATAATGTGATGAATAGGATATGCTTTAAATACTTAAGCAAGAAAAAAAAAGAGAAAGAGTGGAAGGGGACAGATGGTGACTATTGAAGGTAGATCATGAGTGTCTGCCAGTGGGGTAGCTTGGACACCTTCTACCCTCAGGGCCTCTTCTCTGTGGCTCTAATCCAACAGAGGAAGGGAATCTGACTCATTCTGAATAGAATAGGGCCAATGTTAGCTGTGCTAAGCTCTGTATTTTTTCTACTGCCCCTCCTAAGATTATTTTTCCCAAAAGGTCCTTCTTAGGGATGTTCCTCTATGAAGGGTGTTTCACTTTCCTGCACCCAGAGGTACATAGCTCTAATCTCAGTCAAGACTGACTCAGAGAATGAAAAATATTTATATGCCTCTGCTCTGAGTGTTCTCTGAGCTGGTCAGGGTGAAAGTGGGGCACATATCATCCTATAACCATGAGGCCATGCCTGGCTTCTCACACAGTTAGTTCCTTAGAGTGGGGCTGTCTGTTTGGCCTTCTGACTCTGGAATGGGTATTCTTTGATCTCACTCCATCCTTGAAGATATGATCCCATCCTTATTCCATTCTTAAGCTTTCAGCCAGACCAGCTCCATACCCCAAAATGGATGGTGGTGGAATTGGGGGATTCTGGAGGAAAGTGATACAAGTAGTTCTTGTGATACAAATTGTTCTTCCTATGAGTAGTAGGAAGAGGAGGTAGTGGAAACTTTAGTGTTATAGCCAAGATTCAAAACTAGCCCATGAAAGGAAAATAAATTCTAAACTGCTCCATTGTACCAAGAGTCATGTGGCAATTTATTCATTCATTTCTTCATTTCTTCATTCAGTCATTCAACAAACATTTAGGACCAGACACTTATTAAATGCTGGATGTGCTAAAATTAAAGAGACTTTTTCTGATCTGAAGGTTCTAGTAGCCTAGTGGAGGAGACAGCCATTGAGTTAATAATTATAGCATGCATTGATAAATGCCATCCATGATAGAAGGAAGTCCCGTGTGCTATGAAAGTGCCGAGGAGATGCATGTAATGCAGTTTGTGGGAAGGTTAGTTACCTACTGGGGAAATGGGTACAGCTAAGCTTTAAAGAACTCTTAGGAGTTAGCCAGGCAAAGAAGTGTGGATTGCATTCCTGTAGTAGAGAATGTGTCTAGAAACATGGAGGAGTAACAGGATCATGAGTTAGAGTTTTTGCAAGTCAGTATGACTGAAGTGTGGGACACAAGGAAAAGAGGCCGAAGGTGAAACCCAACAGGTGAGCAGGGAACTCTTCATGCTGGGCTCGATATGCTAAGTTAATTGTTTGGATTTCAATCAGCAGAAAATGAGGAAGATTTGAATTTGAGAAACATCACACTGGGTGTCATGTGGAAAAAGGATCGAAAGGGAATCAGTCTGGACATCACAGCAATTAATCTAGGGAAAAGATTACACAAGCTTGAATTAAGGTGATGTCAATGTGGCTGGAGAAGAGGGTAGACCCTGGAGTTGATTTCTAGACAGAACCAATAGGGCCAATAAGTAGATCACTAGTCTACATGAAGGATGTAAAAATAGTGAGTAAAGACAGATATGCAGTGGCAGGTAATTGAGGAGGATGTCTGATTCCTTATTGATCCACCAATCAAGAGAAAAAAATAAAAAGGTTTCAGGCATAATTTTTACTTAAACCATTGTGGTGAATATAACAACGCACATTTGTGAAATATGTCCAAATCCTCTTTATGTATGTCTAACATTTTTTGATGACAGCTTAGAATGAAAAGAAGATGAATACCTTAAAAGGGGGCAATGACAGAAAATCATCTATAAAATCTTAGGCTTTATGTCGTGCAAGAAGAAACCAATAAAAAATTAAGATGGAATTAGGACATATACTATCAAATCGACAATATTAATAACTAGCACTGGCAAAGAATGGGGAAAATGTTACTTTAATTTCTCATTTGGCAAAAACAGAACAGAACAAACAAATAAGAACTCCTGAGGCTTATACATATTAAATGATTTGCTTGAAGTCACACATAGCTGTAGGTGGGAACTCACATTCCCTCCCAGGGATCTCTGCAGGGTGTTGTGATAACACCATGACTCAACATGTTTGGGGTCTAAGTAATTAAAACTAAAGTTGGAGTAGCCAATTTGCAGGAAAAAAATGAGTACTGCAAATGATAATGAAGAACCTATAAAATTTTGGGGGGCTCCATAGGAATGAGAGATGGAAGGAAATAAATCAAGAAAAAGACTACTGCATTATTTGCATGTTATACAAGCAAATTTCATCTTGAAATTACTTATTAGTGTAAATGATATTAGAAATTTAAAGCAGTTATTTAGGGAATATTAATAGGACTAAAGATAATTGACATTTAAACTTTCAATTCATTTCAACCACCGTGCTACTGTTGACCATCTGCTATGTACCTAGCATTGTGATAAGTCCTAAGGGAGTACAAATGTAATATAAGATGGTTTTGTCTCCAAGGATCTTAAAGTGTTGTTAGGGAAACTAGATTTGCACACATGAAACTAATTTAGAACCATCTAGAACAGTTTATAATCAGTGAAATATTTATATAATGAAGTGCAAAAATTTTGGAAGCAGATATAACATGCTCTGGGTAGTCAGAAAAGGGAGCTATTGATAATGTCCAGAGTCAATTAGAAGGCTTCACTCAAGGCTGCAGTGCCGTGGCGTGATCTCAGCTCACTGCAACCTCTGCCTCCTGGGTTCAAGCAATTCTCCTGCCTCAGCCTCCGGAGGAGCTGAGATTACAGGTGGGTGCCACCAAAACTGGCTAATTTTTGTATTTTTAGTAGAGACAGGGTTTCACCATGTTGGCCAGGCTGGTCTCAAACTCCTGACCTTGGCCTCCCAAAGTGCTGGGATTACAGGCATGAGCCACTGCATCCGGCCAATGTAACTCTTAAGATGAGCCTTGAAGGGTGAAAGGGGTCTGATTTTTCAAGAAAGTAAAGGGCAGGACTAGTGAAGTAAATGTTTTGTTTTGTATTTTCTAAGAAATAAATAACTAGTCTAATATTCTAAATAGTCTAATATTTTGTCTGCTTACTGCAGTTTTACTTAGTGAAATATTGGAAACAACCTAAATGCTGAACAATAGAATAGGGGAAGTGTCCATATTTCATGCTAAATCTGTATCACTGAATATTATTAAACCAGTAAAAATAATTAAAGAACAATGTAGTCTGGCAGAAAAGCATGGCTTGCAGCCTGTTAAACTATCAGTTTTATACTTATTAGCTTTGTGCCTTTGGGCAAGTCACTTACTGTTTTTGAACTTTGGTTTATTCAACTTTTTTTTTTTTTTGAGACGGAGTCTCACTCTTTCGCCCAAGCTGGACTGCAGTGGCGCTATCCCGGCTCACTGCAAGCTCCGCCTCTTGGGTTCATGCCATTCTCCTGCCTCAGCCTCCCGAGTAGCTGGGATTACAGGCGCCCACCACCACGCCCGGCTAATTTTTTGTATTTTTAGTAGAGACGGGGTTTCACCGTGTTAGCCAGGATGGTCTCAATCTCCTAACCTTGTGATCCGCCCGCCTTGGCCTCCCAAAGTGCTGGGATTATAGGCATGAGCCACCGCGCCCGGCCCTATATATTTATTTTTAACCCTCACAATAACTTTGCAAGGTGGTCACTACCATTACCATTAAAAGTTGAATAAACCAGGCCGGGCGCGGTGGCTCACGCCTGTAATCCCAGCACTTTGGGAGGCCAAGGCGGGCGGATCACAAGGTTAGGAGATTGAGACCATCCTGGCTAACACGGTGAAACCCCGTCTCGCCACTGTACTCCAGCCTGGGAGACAGACCAAGATTCCGTCTCAAAAAAAAAAAAAAAAAAAAAAAAGGCCGAGTGCAGTGGCTTACGCCTGTAATCCCAGCACTTTGGGAGGCTAAGGCGGGCAGATCATGAGGTCAGGAGTTCGAGGCCAGCCTGACCAACATGGTGAAACCCTGTCTCTACTAAAAATACAAAAAAATTAGTCGGGTGTGGTGGCGTGCACCTGTGATCCCAGCTACTCAGGAGGCTGAGGCAGGAGAATCGCTTGAACCTGGGAGGTGGAGGTTGCAGTGAGCCAAGATCGTGCCACTGCACTTCAGCCTGGGCAACAGAGCAAGACTTCTCAAAAAAAAAAAAAAAAAAAAGTATATAGAGCACCTGGTGCATAGTGGATGCTCAAGAGATGTTATTCACACTTAATGATGTATATACTCTGCTGGTATGTAAACAGTTACTGTCTTTCTGAAGGACGATTTCTTAATTCTTACCGAGAGCTTTAAAAATGAGTGTTTTCTGTATGACTCAGCAATCCCATAACTAAAAATTTATTCTAAGGAAATAATTAAAGATGTGTGCACATCTGGTCACACGTGGCACCTCACTCCTGTAATCCTAGCACTTGGGAGGCCGAGGCAGGAAGATCCCTTCAGCCCAGGTGTTCGAGACCAGCCTGAGCAGTATAGTGAGACTCTGTCTCTACAAAAAATAAAATTAGTAAGAGAAAAGAAAAGAATATTCTTTGCAGCATTGAATAGAATACTGGAAAACACCCCAAAATCTCACAAATAGATTATTGGTAAAGTAAATTACGATTCTCTTACATAAAGGAAATTATAAAACCATTAAAATGATGATATAGAAGTGCATAGAAAGTGAGGAAAACAGATTCTAAAACTATACACAGTTTAATCCTATTCTGGTAAATGTATATTTATGCAGAGAAAATTTTCTAGAAGGATAACATGCCAAAATGTTAACTACAGTTGTTTCTGAGTAGTGGGCCCTTTAGGTGATTTTTATCTTCTTCATGTTGCTTACCTGAATTTTTTCCTTTTATGATAATGAGGATTGCTAATTAAATTTTTCAAAAATAGGGATGGATCTCTGTTAAAAATTTTTAGTGACATAGGAAAATGCTTAAGACTTAAAAAGGAAAGATTTAAAACTTACGTTTTATACAATCCCAATTTTGTTAAGTGTTTTTTAGTCTATGACTGAATTTTGCTTTTATGGCTTTTGCTCTCAAAAAGTAGCAAAGCTCCCAAGAAACGGTGAGGATAGAAGGGGCCGTAAAATATCAAACAGAGATTAAATTTGTGTATGCACAGACCTCTTTTGTTTTTTTTTCTTCATTTTCATCACAGTTTTAACAGTTGGCCTTCTGGGCTATTTTTATAGACAAAGTTGAACTGCTGTAAAAAGCCATTCTTTCCCTTCCTGCCTTGTCTACTTTCATCCTTACTAGGAACTCAGCAAATTCAGTACTTAATAGGCACCGAGGGTATACAATGGTGAACAAAAAGCTCACTGTTCACTTAGAAAAGACAGTCAACGGTCACCTAAATAAATACATCATTACAAATTGTGCTCACTACTCTGGACAAAACTGCAGAGTGTTACACAGAAAGAAATGAAGGTGGAGATCAGGGAATCATTTTGGACAAGGAAGTTTGCAAAGACCTCCATAATGAGGAAGGGACACTTAAAGTCAGTTTTGAAGTATGAGTAGGAGTTAGTCTCACAAAGTGTGGAGGGAAAGCACTCTATGAAGAGGGACAAGGACATAGAAAGGTTTTCAAGCAAAAAAAAAAAAAGAAAGAAAAGAAACACAAAAAAACAAAAACCGGTGTTAAGGAAAAAATGGGCTAGGTGTGGTGGCTCTTGCCTGTAATCCCAGCACTTTGGGAGGCCGAGGCGGTCAGATCACTTGAGGCCAGGAGTTCGAGAACAGCCTGGCCAACATGGTGAAACCCCGGCTCTACTAAAAATACAAAATTAGCCAGATGTGGTGACCGGCACCTGTAATCCCAGCTACTGGCAGGGCTCAGGCAGGAGAATCACGTGAGCCTGGGAGGTGGAGGTTGCAGTGAGCGGAGATCGGGCCACTGCATCCCAGGCTGGGTGACAGAGCAAGACTCTGTCTCAAAAAACAAAACAAAACAAAACACACACACAACAGTGTCTGGCTTTTGTGTCACGACGTTAGGTTGGAAGGTAGGCAGGGACTTTGACCACACTAAGGAGGATTTGGGATTTTGTCCTGAAGACAGTGGGCAGCCCCTGAAGGACTTTGAGCAGTGGTTACTGTTTATGACTGTATGAAGCAGTTTATAATTTAAAAAGATCTGTTTGGCTGCTCTGAGGAGAAGGAGTGGAGAGAGGCAAGAAGAAATCTGAAAAATGAGTTAGGAGGCTGTTAGACTTGATCAGGAAATGCTGCTGCTGAGTAATGACAGTGACGATAAGGAACAGAAGACAGTTGGGAGATGTATTTGATAGGATTTAGTGATAAGACTTAGTGATTAATAGGACTTAGTAATGGATTGGATTAGAGGAGTGAGGTACGGCGGGGAATAGGGTCTGTCAAGGATGAGCTTTAGAATGCTTTGCTTGAGTGACTTGGTGGGTTACACAGATGGTGGAGTAGGTTTCTTTCTTGGGGGAAGGGAGACCTAAGAGTCAATGTCAGACATGTTTTCTTTGAGATATTTATAAGATTCCCAAGTGGAGAAATTGAATCGATGAGGCCTGTTATTCACAACAGCTACCCACCTGGGATGGAGACAGACCTTTCAGAGCAGTTGGCCCCTGGATGCTCCTGACAGTCCTGTGGATGGATGGGATTGCCTATGGGGAGAATATTGAGAGAGAGGAACAGAGTCTAGGACTGAGCCCTGATGAATTCCAACACTTAGATATCAACTAATAGGGGGAAGTGGCAAAGCACTTGAAGAAGGATACGTTCCAGGGGGAGGAAGAGCAGGGGAATGTGGGGTCTGGGACGCCAAGGGGAGAGAGTTTCAAGAAGGAGGGAGGGAGGGATTGACTGTACAGAATGCTCTGAAAAGCCTAGGAAAATGGTGATCGGAAAGTGCCTGATGGATTGGCAATCTGGAGGCTCTAGATGATTGTGGGAAATGGATTCAGTGCAGTGGTGGATGTGGGAGCCAAACTGGAGTGAGTGGAAGGAGGAATAGAAAGTGACAGAGAGAGGAGAATGTGTGCAAGACTCTTCATCATCTTGGCTCTGAAGGCAGAGGACTGTCGCTGGAGGGGAATGGAAAGGCAGGAGAGAGGTTTTTTCTTTCCCTTCGACAAGAGAGATTCTACAGTTTGTTTGAATCCTGGTAGGAATGATTTAGCAAAGGAGGAGAGATTAATTTCATAGGAGACACACTGATGGATGGAGAGCCCCAGTGAATGCTGGGATTGGTGTTTGACAGGACAAGGAAAGGAGCTGCTAGTAGGTTTTTGACATCTACTATTTAATATATGTGGAGTGTATACCAGGCACTGTGCAAAGTATCCACTCGCACCATAATCACAATAGCACAGTAATCACAGTAGCCCTGTGAAGTTGATGTAATTATCCCCATTTTACAGATGAGGAAATTGGGCTTAAGTGGAGATAGATCCAAGGCCTTAAGTCAGAACTGTTTGATTTCAGAGTTCATATTCTTAACTCTTACTAATAAGATTTCCTCGGGGCCGGGCGCTGTGGTTCATGCTTGTAATCCCAGCACTTTGGGAGGCGGAGGCGGGCGGATCACGAGGTCAGGAGATTGAGACCATACTGGCTAACACGGTGAAACCCCATCTCTACTAAAATTACAAAAAATTAGCCGGGCGTGGTGGTGGGCACCTGTAGTCCCAGCTACTTGGGAGGCTGAGGCAGGAGAATGGCGTGAACCCAGGAGGCAGAGCTGGTAGTGAGCCGAGATCGTGCCACTGCACTCCAGCCTGGGTGACAGAGCGAGACTCCATCTAAAACAAAACAAAACAAAACAAAAAAAGATTTCCTCTATGATGGTGTATTAGTTTGCTCCAGCTGCCATAAAAGTACCACAGACTGGGTGGCTAAAACAACAGAAATGTATTTTCTCACAGTTCTGGAGGCTTGAAGTCTGAGATTGAGGTGTTGGCAGGTTTGGTTTCTCCTGAGGCCTCTCTCCTTGACTTGCAGATGGCTGCCTTCTCTCTCTGTCCTCACGTGGCCTTTCCTCTGTGTTCCCACATTTCTGGTATCTCTTATGTGTCCTAATCTCCTCTTAAAAGGACAGCAGTCAGATTGGATTAGGGTCCACCACGGAAACGGCCTCATTTTAACTTAATCACCCTTTTAAAGGCCTTATCTCTGGGTACAGTCACATTTTGAGGTTAAGGTTTCAACATATGAATTCTAAGCGCCACAAAATTCAGTCAATAACAGATGGCTTTTTAAAGTATAAGGAAAGGGGTGGCCCCGGGGGGAGTTTTGAAGATAGTATAACTATAATTGAAGAGTGTAGAAGAAGGAGCTTACTAGAGAAATGTAGCCTTAGGGTCAGTTGAGGTTGAAGATCATTCATTTATATCTATTGGGCCCAATTATTCGAGCCTCCGCAGCAGCAGTCAGGTATATGTGTGGAGTAAAGAGGAGCCCTGCTTTGATGAGGCTGCTGGATGCTCACATGGGCTTATTAACCAGCCAAATGACCACCTCTCGTGCACAAAATTGAACTGTAAATGAGTTTTATTCACATCCTTGGCACAAGTACAAATTACTATTTGTCATGGACCTTTTTGGCTGCTCTCAAGTTGTTGAAAACGTGGATGTTAAATCTATTACTGCTAAGATTTTGTTGCATTCACCAATGCACAAATTGGCTTGAACATTTTTTTCAATCTGTTCTAAAAATGGTCTTTCATGATTACTCACCACTCTCTTCCTCTTTCTCTGTCCCACTTTCTTTCTTCCTTTTTTTTCTCCATCTTCACTTATCAACAATTTATTGAGTACCTACTAGGTGTCTGGCACTAAGGATGAAGAGTCCACAATCTATCGTATGTCTATATGCAGGTATATATGTGTATAGTGTACATATATATGCAGATATGTATACTCTCTATATATCCTAAAGACCTGAGTGATAAGTGCTGTTACTAAAGTATTAATTCATTTGTTAATTTAATCCTATGAATATATTGAGTCCCTACTAAGTGCCAGACAGTGTGTTAGGCTTGGGATAGAGCCATGAGTAAGGTATAGTTTCTGCCCTTAAGAAATTTACAAGCTGGTATAGAAAAACAAGCAGGTAAGTACACAGAGACAATGCAATATGACTTTTGTAACATTACAAGATCTCAAAGAAAAAAGTGACTCTTGTCTCTGCTTTGCTGTGCATATTTGGGTACCTGTGGAAAGGAGCTATTGCTGCATTTTAATGAAAAGAGCTATAAAAAGAACATCCTTTCATTTCATAAACATTTTTGAATGCTTGTAATCATTGTGTAGTGATGGTTTTATAGCTCTTGAATTATGAGCAAGCCATTGAGTTGAGGGATTTGTGAGTTTTTTCCTCATTTGAACTTATTGTCCATACCCTGTACTATTATCAACTCCTTTACTTAGGTGATGGAATGATTAATGGTATTCCTGAAATACTCTACAGAAACTTGCTGAATATTAAAACTTGAGAAAAGTCACAGTAATGCTTCATTACTGTGACAGTGGGTGAGCAGACAGCATGTGCTGGCCTAGCATATATCTCGGATATTTGGAACTTGGAACTATGCATTAATGTGGGGATTTTCTTGTAGTATGGTTTTTGAAATATAATGAATAGCAGATCAAAAACACTGAGAAGGAAATGGACTTTTGTAGATTATGCAATCAAACTGTTTTCAAGTATCACCTATTATCTCAGGAAAAAAAGTTATTTACTACCAAATATTTATGGAGTTAATTGAGATGATGTTTATAAACTTATTGCTTTCTTTGGAGCTGATGTGTTACATAGACTCAAGGTATTATTATCTGCAATCTAGACTTATTTCTTTGGGAAAATGCTAACCATATTATGGAAATAGTTCAGGTAGTGGAAGAGAGAAAAGGCAAATCTGATAAATAGTGTATGTAGGATTTAGAATCAGTGATTAACCTGGTAACTTCTGGAAATTGCTTTGATGTCAAGCAATGGACGTTCACATTCATGTGGATGTCACGTTCACGTGGACATAATTTCAGAGTCATATTCTAGAGTGTGTCATAGTGGAAAGATCACTGGATTGGGATCAGGAAATCTAAGTACTAGTCTGGCTCTGCCATTGACCACCTATGTGCCTCATTTTCCCCATCTTTAAAAGGAAGTGGTTATGGGAAGAGGTCTCTAAGGTCCTTCCAGTTCTGATATTTTGTCGTTCTGTGCTTCTACGTCCCACACTTATCAAAAGGATTTTGAGTTAGAATGCATCCAGGAGCTTATTTCCGTGGGTTATTGGGAACAGCAGGCCTTGCTTCTCCAGGACTTGATATGTCTTCTGTTAACTGCTGACAGTGAGCCATACCACCTAAAAGGCTCCCTTAAAGATTGAAAGGACAAATGGACAGTGTTGAGAACTCTGTGGAAGAGGAGACCAGAGAGACGTTGATCATCATGGCTCCTTGGGATTTGCAAAGAGGAATGACTAGAACGGGGTCCTTCACTACAGCCAGGTCAAAGGTCAGGTCAGGAATGTGGACAATGCTGGTGACTCCAGGTAGGTCTAGGAGGGTAAATAAATCTATTGAGTCCCTCCTGAATCTTGAGAAGATCTGGGCAGCCAAGCTCAGAAAGCTATTAGGAAGTCTCCTAATTTATGAGATTCTTTGGAAGAAAAATGTGACATTTATTTTTTACATTTTTATTAGTGCACAATCATTGTATTCTTACTTAACACTCATCATGTTAATCTACTCTTAACATATTCTCACAGCTAAAGCATTTACTAAACACACTTTCATGATCACATGTTGAGTTAATAATCTGACTTCAATTGATGCCATTGTGCAATGGAACTCCCTATATTTTAGGATTTTTTGAGTGTTGTAGAAAGACTTTTCAGTTTTCTCCTTCAGTTTTAGTTAAGCAACATTAAATGTAATTCCTTGGCAAAGACTTATATCTATTATTATTTTGCTAATAATAAGCCAACTTGGGGGTGATTAGAAAACAATTTGGAGTACTGCTTTTCTTAGTGATAAAAACAAGCAATAGATAATTTGTGAATAGGATATTAAACCAGAAAACTAAGAATAATTTTGTGTGCCGAATACAATTAAAAGAAATTAAAAGTTTTTTTGTAATTGTTTCTATCATGGAATTCTATTAAAAATTTACTTATGTTTCTTAAAATACTGATTAAATTCTTGTTTGTAATCATTTTTAAAAATGACTGTATGCCTAATACATATTACAAGATGATTCTTCTCTTTCTTTTTCTTCTTCCTTTTTTTTTTTTTTTTTTTTTTTTTTTTTTGCTTTTATCTAGTTGCTTCCAAGATCCGGTACTTGCAGGAATATCATAACCGGGTTCTCCACAACATTTATCCTGTACCATCAGGAACAGATATTGCAAACACCTTGAAATACTTTTCTCAGACCTTGTTAAGGTAAGCTTTACAATATCCTCTACTTTGAGAGAATTATTAGGTAGTATTGCTGAATTTATTGGGATCTAAATTTTTATTGAATTGCAAGTTTTAAAGGGCCTATGTTTTCTAGTGCTCTGTCAGAAGAGTCTGTGCTCAAGTTCTCTGGGTGTATGTAGCAAATTGGATCCCAGGCCCAGCTGAAAAAGATTGGTTGCCTGGCTACTGCCTGCTTTCCCGCATTGAACATCTTTTCAGGGCATCTTTAAAATGATACAGTTCTATATTTGGCACTAATATAGAGTGGGATTAAAAGGATAGCCTACAATTGCTTAAAATTAATAATTGGAAACACTTTTGGTCTAAAAGCAATTCAGAATTATGTGGCATTTTAGGTTCATCATTAGCATTTTCTATTTCCCTAAGTGTAATATACAGTGATAATAGTTATTTTTAATCTGGGTAACACTTCACATGTTCAACATGCTTTGCCTTGATAATGAAATTCTATGAAGGACAAGGAAAAAAAATAGGGCTCTTTTTCTTTTGTCTACTTTTACTGTAAGGTAGAGATAGGAGGGCCCTATTTGCTCCACGTATCTTGATTAAGAAAACAGAGCAAAGAAAGCTGAACTGTTCAAGTAAAGGCTCAGTTGTTTTCAGAAATAACATTGAAGAATTCAGAAGAACCTCTCACGTTCCATTAAATTCCAAGATGTGGTTTCTCCATTACCACGGTCTTCTCACTTCAAATCTGATTTTGGCAACACATAAATTGGCTTGGTACTGTTTCTTTTAGCTGTACAGAAGCAAAAATTTTGTAAGACAGATATTAGGAGAACACAAATTTGCAAAGACTAGTGGCACTGGAGTTTCTAGCAGTCGAAAGCTTTGCCACGGGAAAAGCTGAATGCTTTGCGGATGGAAGCTTCATGCGATCAAGTCAGCTACGAATCTTTTGCAGTCCTCCTATCTTTCTGTTCTTATTTTTTGAAATATCTTTCCTTCTTTAGAGTCCTTAGTGATCCTGTTCTATATTGAAGGGCTCCTGCTTATCAGATTCATACATTTCATACTTGCACGGTAAGGTTAGGACCTCTTACAGGATATTTTCCTTCTTCTCAAATTGTAGTGGAATAATTAGCCCAATTTTCATAGTGATCATCAGAAAAATTTATGAATCAAGGCATCCAATTCTGTTCTCTTGAATTCTTCTTTTGTCTTTGAGGTCCAAGTTCTCAATGGAAAACAGTTTCCTTTATGACAAATTCTGAAAGTTCTCAAAGCGAGAGACACTTTTCAGTAGGAAGCATGCTGAATTCCATTTGCCAGGAAACTGTAATATCCTAGTTGGCACCTCAGAGCTTGCTGCTTAGGTCTTAGTGATTGTGCCCAAGAGTTAAGGAATTTAAAATATTGAAAAGTCACGTTTGCAAGACGTAAAGATTCCATTTTCTTGAGCAGTGGACCATTAGAATATGATCATAGGTGGTAGTATTTTAGTGGTAAAACTGGTAGTTTGTTCAAGTGGCTTGTTGGAGAAGATCCTATGCAACTGAGCTGAGTTCATTTTCAAACGGAGGCAACATCAACATGTACTGCTAATGGTAATAGTAACAATTGCAACCATTTTTTTTAAAACTAGAAGTACAGAACTGTTGATATGTACATCTATAACAATCGTATTTGTACTTCTTCATTTTATTTATGCTATTAGAAAGTTCAAGACAGCCAGACATGGTGGCTGGCATCTATAATCCCAGCTGCTTGGGAGGCTGAGGTGGCAGATTAAAGGAAGTGCTTAGCACCAAGATTTGTCATCTTTTCAGAATTTAAGTGAATTTAAGTGGAGATAATGTTAGCAACCAGAAGTCTCAAACTTCAAGTTTGAGACCAGCCACAAGTTTGAGATCAGCCTGGACAACATAGTAAGACCCCATCTCTAAAAAAATTCTTTTAACAATTAGCCAGGTGTGGTGGCATGCACCTTTAGTCCAAGCTCCTCAGAAGCTGAGGGAGGAGGACTGCTTGACCCTAGGAGTTTGAAGCTGCAGTGAGCCTTGATTGCACCACTGTACTCCAGCCTGGGTGACAGAGCGACACCCTATCTCTAAGATAAATAAATAAATAAATTCAAAGACAAATAATATGGTCTAAGCATTTGGTGTCCAAGATTAGTGGCAGTAAGATTTTCTACTACAAACAAGATTTTCTACTGCAAAATTATTATATATTGTTTAATATTATTAAAGCATTTAATATGATCTTTATGTTCAGAAGCACTTCTTGCTTTCAGAACTCAGGTTCTTGGGGGAAAAATAACAAGAAGAAAGAATTAGAGATGAATTCTCACGAAGTAACTATTTGTCTTTCTATGTGGATATTCTCAATGAAGTTAAAATGGTTTTTTTTTGGTTAAAATATGCAACTTGAAATTTCAGCAGCTTCACTTGAGTCAGGGTTGCATTTTTGGAGCAATAGTTCGTGGTATTTGTGCATGCATACAACTCTCATGATTTTAGTAGAGTTTCGTACCTATTTCAAAAGGCAGAAATTAGCTTAGACATTTAACTTCGATTTATTTAATTTGTAGGAGGGGAGAGATTGTATGTTACCATAGTTGACTATAAAATCAGTTGAAGAGTCCACATATGTCCACTTAGCTCATAATTAGACTCAAATTTGTGTTCATGGGCATTCCTTAAACTCTAGTAGTGGAAGGTGAGTCCTACATGTTATTTAGCTTGCTAGCCCTTGTGTCTGGAGCAGTGTTTAACCCAGAGAAGGGGATCAGTAAATGTTTGTTGAATTGAATTGAGTTGACTTTAGTCCAAATTTCATCCAGCGTTGGAATCCTTCTAGTTAATGCTATTTACTTAATCTAGTGGTGACCTGGGGTCTGGTAAAGTTACATCTGAGTGCCGAGTTGTACTCATTTTAATTTAGCAGATACCTAAGTTTGGCAGTGAGCAACACACAACTTCAGAGTTTAGTTCTTTGTTTGCTTTTAGCATTAGAAGTAACTACCAAGACCATCCAGTTTAATCTCCCCTCACTGCTACATGGGAGGGAGTCTGTTCTTTTTATATTGGAAACATCCTGTGGCCATATTTTCAACAGCGAAGGTCTTTAAGAATCTTGCTTTTTACCTGGCAGGACATTTAAAGGATCCTAGTCTTCTTCCTATGTCAAACATTCTTTTGGAATTTCTTCCCCCAGATCTCTCTTCTGGTGCTGTTTAGGCTGCTAGCATGTAAAATCTTTTAACGAAATTACATTTGGGGAAAGCTGCTTGCTGCTATTTAGAAAATGCCTAATATGTTATAAAAATGGATTGTAGATGCAGCATAATAATCTTAATTGAATTGTAATTTCCAGTTGCTTAGGAAGAATATATGTATATATCCTCCATGTTATTGGTTAAGTCATGGAGTAACTTTAGAGCATTGCATAATGAAGTAAATTTTGTTAAGTACATAGATTCAACTCAAATGTCAACATTCCTAATCTTAAAGGAAGTTTGTTTGACATATTAATTTTCTGTGCTATACATACCTCAGGGCAACTTCTCATCTTTCCTCACACCAACAGAGGTCTTCCTCTCTTGATGCTGAAAGTCAATGTTTGATAAAGAGAATCTCAGGAGGAAAAGGGAAAGGTGAAAAGCTGGCTGCAGAGTCAAACTCTTCTGAGCAGGGCATTCTTAATATTCATTTTGGTTGGGTTTACAGAACTGTGGGAAAGAATTTCAGGTGGGGAAAATGGTTTTATCAGCTCCCAAGTTAGGCAGTTTGGTTGGGGAAATACTTTTTTTTTTTTCTGAATAAACTTCACAAAACATCATAAAATCACAATGCATTGTACATTTATTCATGAGCCCTTCTTAAGTTTTTCCACAAATGAAAACATTTCCTTACATTGAGACATGAATGGTAATTTAAAACTGGTTTCATGGATGACTCATTTTCAGCCATTTTTTTTCTCAACCTCACCGAATTCTCAAATCTAAAGGCAGTGAGAGAGAAGTTTTACTGTTTTCATGCTGACATTCTTCCCTCCCTGCATGTATGAAGCTGTTGTTGCTATCGTTTGGGAACCCCACATATACAGGAAGGGAAAAATATCAAAGTAGAGTCTCCAAAGTATTTGTTAACTGACATCATACTTTGGAAAAATACTAAGGTATATTTGAAAAAATAATGTGTTTATTTCCCCCACCAAGAAGTTTGATCAGAGCATTGCACTTAATTTAAAGCATAGCATTAATTTATGGTATTCAGCTATTTTTATTTTCTAAGGCAAAATGTTGTTCTCCTTATACCACTTCTATAAGATTCACATTTTGTAATTTTGAAAAGATGCCAATAGTAGGTTAATTTAGGGCCGAAGTTTGGGAAATAATATCTCTGACTTATAGCCATTGTGATTCTAGAGGAATTTTCAGTGGGATTAGAATCCTACAGGATTAAAACAGATTTTTGGTGACTGGGTTTATCAAGAATATAACATTAATAAAGGTGGTATTCTTAGGAATAATTGAGTCATGTGAGAAAAGTATAAAGTCTGATGAAAAATCTGATGGCATTTATAATAGATACAGTCAGGTGGTAACTGGAATATTGATATTATCCCATTGTAAAGTATAAGCTTACAAAGTCAAATACATCACACACAAAAAGGTAAATTAAATCCCTTTAAATTACAAAAAAAAATCTTAAGTTATTTATTGATAAGAAGTATTACATAAGTATTCTGAAATTATTTTTATTATTATCAATTGTTTTCCCCTGGACATTGGGTAACAGAAGACAAAGGAAATCGAGGTAAATTAGGCACATGGAAAATACAAAGCATGTAGTCATTTTTCTTACATTGTAACATATTTTGCACTAAGAGCAAATAATAAAAATAAATGCAAACTTGATAGAGCAAGCATGCTTGACACTAACCAATTCTTGACATCACTGTAAAATTGTAAATGTAATATCATTAACTAAGAACTTAGTAATGTTTGATGCACATAGAGCAACTGTAAAACAAGGTTATTTTTATGTAATGAACCATTTATAAACTGTTATCTACTTGGACTAACATAAGTGTACTATATAAAAGCACTTTGCAAGTGCGCAGATATTATCATTCTAATGTATAGCTATTGTCTTTAATGCTAAATAGTATAACCTAATTTTACAAAACCTAAACATTTTGCTAAGCAGTAACTTCTTCTATTTTTAAATTAACAACTTTTCTGCTTTATCACTTTTACCAAAAAGGTTTTTATTTTAAAATTAAGGCTAAAAGAAAACCAATTTATTTTTAGAATTTATTTTTATTCCCATTAATTTTTTTTAACTTTCTAAATTATCTTTCCTTTAGTCTTTAGTGAGTTTTGTTGAATAATAACGTAAGTAGCAGCAGTAATATATGAAATCTTACTGTATGATGTGCAGCTATATGACAGATACTGCTTGCTTAGTCGTTAGGATTTTGAAGGTAACTATTTAATAAACCACTGTTTGTATTCATAAAATAAAATGTTTCCTCCCCAACATGCAAAATTTAAAAAACACACATAAATAACCATTATCATTAGTTCACAAACATATGCTATGGACCATCAACTATATATTATTTTATAGCTTTTCCAATGTAGTTTAGCTAACATTTTAGAAATATGTATTATTTCTAAATTCATATGCCTGTTTAAACTTCATTATCTCAAATGATACTGACAGAATGTCATGAAACAGTATCATAATATACATATAGACATTATTTTGATGCAATAAACATGTGATTTTTAAGACTTTCTTAATAAACACACATGTTTATTCTTTGCTGAAACATGTTTCTGCAAGTGCCATACCTATATTTTGCAAGTTCCTATTTACCTGATGAAGACAGTCTTGCTGAAAATGTCTTTTCCTTTGAAAGCTCCTTGTAATTAGGAATAAGAGCCCTTACTCATTAGACAAAGCCGTTGTTTTTTTCTCCCAGGAAACCTCTCCTTCACCAAATTGCTAAACTGTAAAACATGGGTTTGGCACTGAAACATGCATTTTTATATTTTTGCTCCTTACTAACCAGATAACACATGAGATGCAATGAGACTTCCACAAAGTAAACCTTGTATTATTGGTACCTCTGAGCACGAAGCTATGTGACCAGTACTAGACTGGTAGACCCTGCTGGCGTGGCAATTGCATCTTATGTGGAATGTATCTGGTGTTTTATTATTTGTTTTAGAGTGTCATTTCAATGTAATGTGCTGTTCTTTGTGTCTTTGTTGTCTCTTTTTTTTCTTTGTCCCCCCAACAGCATTTTGTCCCGCACAGGGAAGAAGGAAAACCAAGATGCCTCCAATTTGACAGTGCCCATGACCATGTGTCTTTTTCCTGTGCCATTCCCACTCACCCCATCTCTAAGACCGCAGGTCAGTTCCATCAACCCTACTGTTACTCGCTCCCTCCTTTACAGCGTCCTGCGAGATGCTCCCTCAGAACGCGGCCCGCAAAGTCGTGATGCTCAGTTGTCAGACTACCCTTCTTTGGACTACCAAGGCCTCTACGTGACTTTGGTGACCCTCCTGGATCTAGTTCCTTTACTACAGCACGGCCAACACGGTGAGCACTTAGCTGAAACCTTTGGAAATGTACGTGGATGCTTATGAATGTATATGATGCTGAGCAAGGGGCTTGGAGATGGTCACTGTTGTAATCAATCACCTGAAAGGGCTTTGTGTGGCTAGAAGCACTACACTGAAACTTCATTATGGTGCTTCCCATACTATTATTTTACACTGTTTTATTGCCAGAGGGATGTTATCCAAGTGGAGTATTGGGGGAGAATGGGGCTGGAGAAAGGAGGAAGATGTATAACAAGAAATTTTCTCTTCTTTCCTGATCAGTTATCATGAGGACTCTTGTTGAAATTATGAGTGGGGAGATAAGATTTTAAAACTGTCACCCAGAAAATTAAGAAGTAGAGCATGAAGAGCAGGCTATAATCCACTGACTGATTCGGTAATTTTTGAGGGAGCAAATTCTCTAGGACCCATTTTTTCCTGTCTCTTTAATAAAGTCAGGAGGTTAGATGAGAAGTAATCTCTAACAACTCTTCCAAATGTAAACAACAATCAATAGTTATTACAAAATGTTGTATCAAAATGTAGATATAGTATATAGTGGCGCTGTATGCTGTATTCAGCATATGGTATTAGTGGTGCTATGTGCTATTTGCAGTATGTATACAATATATGATATTAGTGGTGCTTAGAATAGAAGTCTAAGAGCCTGCTTCTTTTCTTAACTCTTCCCCCTTTCTACTCTGTGTCCTTAGCCAGTTTCATTATCTTGGTTGCTTACCAAATTCTCCTAACCTGTAAAAATGGGAGAATCAAATGAAAAACAATGCAATAAGAAAAGGGATTTCTGCAGGTAATGCACTTTAAAACATTAGTTATTTTAACTTCAAAACTCTGATAATTTGGTCCCTGAAAGTATGATAACCAAAGTTTCACTGTACAGAAAAATTTGAATTTTGGAAAATAAGTGGGTAGTGGGGGTTATTTTGTCTTTTAGTTATGGCTAACTCCCCTAAGAGAATTCTTGATGGTTTATTTAGTACAACGTGTTCATAATATTAAAAGTTTAAAAATCTACGGAGATAAAAATGATGAAATAATGACTATTGGATTTGTTTTTTCTTACATTTACAATTCTGTGTTATGGTGAATGTAAAAGGTATAGAAATTCGTAAAGTTGCTTTTTGTATAATTCTGTAGCCGTCTTAAATCTAGCCACTTCTGCTGTGATCCTCTGCCAGCTCTGAACTTAAATGAGAGGATTCTTAACATAAGACTGCCAGAGCTTACTATGCTGATGAGCTTGTCAGTGCGTCTCCTTCGTGACTACTAGTCCTGAACTCACCTGGGACTTGCCTGGTCCTGGGTTGGTCCACTGTGTTAGGGGAGCTGCCCGTTATCTTCAAAGCCCCTTGATTAAGATAAAGACATTAAATTTGGTAAATTGCAATCTGTGTAATTGCAATTAATGTGTAAATTGTGACGATTTCAGGGGAGATGATTTGTATTTTTGCTCTTGTACCTGCGGCTGTTTTGTGACTTTGTGACATTGTTATTTAGCTATCGTGTTCTTGTTCTGCATGATAGAGCTTAGAAGGTAGGAAAAAACTCAGTAGATCAATCTAATGAATGGTTCAGAGAAACAATACGGCATTGTTTCTTGAAGCATGGTCTGAAAAACATCGGAATCACTGAGGGAGTTTGTAACATGGAATTCTGGTCCCACCCGGGGACTAGTTACTAAGAATCACTGAGAGGTGGGGCCTGAGGATCTGAATTTTTAGCAAGATCCTTGTGGACGCTTCTTTTGCATAGACTTTGAGAGCCGCTGCACTAAGACCGGAGGCTGTGTCTTGCTGCTGGGTCTGGGTGGAGCACAGGAAGAGCACTAGGCAACGGTTTTGTCGCAGTTCAACTGCTAACTCTCAGGTGATCCTGAACAATCACCTCTCTCCGGACCTCAGTTTCCTTATATGAAAAATACTCCAGTTGGGCTCCTTTCAGTGCTAATGTTCTGTAATTAGGCTAAAAGGCTCAGCAAAAGGAGCTGAGGTGTCTTGTATGCACAGCTTCGGTTAATTCTTAGTAAAACACCTGTGGATTTTCCATTTCATTCATTTGAGCTCAAGGTTGACTGACTCTGGCCCTCTAGTGTGCACTGTGGCCACATCCTTTCTGTTGTTAGCTGATGTGCCTGTTAAGATGGCATATTAATTCTAACGACAATCAGAAATAACATTAGGAATCCAAAGAAGGTTCATCTGCTGCAAAACAAAGAAGAGTCTAGTACTTTTCTGTTATAATGAATACAAAAGTGATCCAAGTCTTCATCATCAAACCTTGGCTGATGGCCTATATTTTGGGAAGTCCAGGAATATACAAATGTACATTTAGTGTAATGGGATTTGGCCTACATGCATTCTAAAGCTAAATAGTTATGGTTTTGTTGCATCTCCTTTATTTTTATTCTTGTGCAGGTAATAATAATAGTAACTGTTAATATTAGTAATAACAGCTAATATTTGTGGAGCACACAGTATGTGCTATGCTAAGGACTTTACATTTATCTCATTAAAACCTCCTAACAATCCTTCTAATGAAGTGAGGTAGGTATTGTTATGATCCCTGTTTAAAGATGTTGTTAGAAAGATTATTATTAGGTAGCACTTCCTCCCATGATCATTGATGACTCAATGCACATGGTCATGTAGCACCAGCTTACGGCTTCCCTTGTTTGGTGCTTGCTGAAATTGCTGCTCGGCTGAAGGTTGCAAATTACCTCATTGCCCGACACTCCAGATGGTTTGATTGATGGAGCAGAAATAGCCCGGTTTTATTTCTGATACTGCCCTTGACTTTTCTAAAACTTCCATTGGGCAAATCATCTAACTTCTTGTGCCTCAGTTATCTTGTGTAGAATGTAGTAATACAAATACCAAGTATTATTGAAGATTGAGAAAGTGTGGAGGAAAAATGCATGTAATGGATATTTATATTTCTTAACATATTCATTCATCAGTCATTTATTGACCAATTACTGTATAAATAGTACCCTATCAAACATTATGTTTCATAACACTTAATAGAGATGGAGCACTAGTTGCTTATAACTTAAACCAGTTCATTAAAGCTTAAAATGTAAAGTTAGCCTATTTTGTTAATTGCAAAATATTCAGTGACTGATTACTCAATTTTGTTTTGTAGATCTTGGACAGTCGATATTTTATACAACTACATGTTTGCTACCTTTTCTCAATGATGATATTCTGAGTACTTTGCCCTACACGATGATATCAACGTTGGCTACCTTTCCTCCATTTCTGCACAAGGATATCATTGAATATCTTAGCACATCTTTTCTACCAATGGCTATATGTAAGTCCAATCTTACCTAATACTAGATTATTTTTATGTATGATATGAATGGAAATTGCTTTTGCTGTTATAGGCTCTAGTTTTTCGAGATTATAATGGAATCACTTGATATATACAGGAGCTATGATTTCAATTCAGTCACTTTAGCATGGATATTATGGCGAAAGTCAAAGAAATGAAAGGCGTTAGGGCTTAAAATTGTTTTATTCAGACTGTTTGATCTTATAGAATAGAAAAAAAGAACATATCAAGGCAGTCTAGATTTCCTATGTATAAGTTACAGTATCTTTTACCACTTTAGAAAAAAGATGGGGAAAGTATTGTCTCAGATGCAGAAATTCCTATCTTTTGGCTTTGAAGGCAGTAGGATCTAATAGAAAGAGCATTAGATAGTCAGGATGTGTAAATTCTGGTCCCAGCTCTGCCTCTAATCTGGGCAGCTCACATAGTTGAAACATCATCTACAGAGTGACGAATCCATCAGCTTTCCCTTATAGAGGTATCGTGATGATAAAGTGACTCGAAATTTATGAAAGCACTGAAAAAAGCTAAAGCTTCCAAGTCATGTGCAATGTATGATTATAAACATAAAACTGATTTGAATCCTGTTTCATTTCTGTAGACTTAATCTTACAGGCTTTCCAGACATGCGCACAAAGAGAAAAAAATATTGCATTGTGGTTTTTATGATCAAAATCATTTTCAAGTATTTTTTAAAGAAATGGATTATGGATTAATCTATGTTTCAGTGGGAAATCCGAAAAGATTGTGGATTTAGGAGTCAAACGTTGGGATCCAAATCACAGCTCTTCCACCTACTAGCTATATGACTTTAGGCAAATTACCCAACTTTCTGTTTCTTTCTTATAAAATAATAATAATAATAATAGCTGCCTCATGAAGTTGTGGGATAATTAAGATGGTTAACTTGGAACATTGGTAAAATGCTAGCACAATGCCTGGTATGCAATAAGTGTCAGCTTGCTTCTCGCCTTCTCTCAACTATTGTTTTAGAAAAATACTTTCGTTGGTTACATTCAACTCCTAGTGATCATTATTCACATTTTAATTTTATGTACTTACGATCTTATTAAAGTTGTTGCTCTGTAATAACAATTGGTAACCATATATATCTTTTGAGCTACATTTGCTTATTTTTACAATCAAGTTTAATGTTAGCTATGGAATTGTACTTTTCATGTCTTTCAGCAAAGAGTTTGACTTCTCCCTAAATTATATAGCAATTCAAAAAAATTAGCAGACTGATCATACCATTCAAGTAATACAATATTTGATCATTTTCTTCTTTTGTTCTTACTGACAAGTACTCATTTCTTGATATCGTTTTAGAATTGCATAGTCATATCTTTAAAATAAGTGATGTTAACTGTTAAACTTAGGCATAAGAATTTTTGGTTTTTTGAAGCATAACAGATGAGGCTGTTTCCTTCCTTCCTTCCTTCCTTCCTTCCTTCCTTCCTTCCTTCCTTCCTTCCTTCCTTTCCTTCCTTCCTCCTTCCCTCCCTTTCTCCCTCCCTCCATTCTTCCCTTCCTCCCTTCGTCCCTTCTTTCTTTCTTTAGTTTTTTGAGATGAAGTAACACTCTGTCACCCAGGCAGAAGTGCAGTGGTGCAGTTTTGGCTCACTATAACCTCTGCCTCCTGAGTTCAAGTGATTCTCCTGCCTCAGCCTCCCAAATAGCTGGGACTACAGGCACCAGCCACCACGCCCAGCTAATTTTTGTATTTTTAGTAGAGATGGGGTTTTGCCATGTTGGCCAGGCTGGTCTCAAACTCCTGACCTCAGGTGATCCACCCGCCTCAGCCTCCCAAAGTGCTGGGATTACAGGCGTGAGCCACTGCACCTGGCTTCCTCCTTCCCTTCCTCCCTTCCTCTCTCTCTCTCTCTCTTTTCTTTTCTTTTTTGATATAGGGTCTTATTCTGTTGCCTGGGCTGGAGTGCAGTGGCACAGTCATAGCTCACTGCAGCCTCAAACTCCTCGGCTTAAGCGATCCTTTTGCCTTAGGCTCCCAAGTAGGGTGTGAAGGCCTCTACCACCATGCCCAGCTAATTAAAAAAATTTTTTTGTAGAGATGGGGTCTCACTATGTTTCCCAGGCTGATCTGGAATTCCCAGCCTCAAGTGATCCTCTTGCCTCAGGCTCCAAAGTGCTGGGAGGCGATGGTGGGATTAATGAGGAGGCTGTAGCTTTCTAACAATTAATCTAATTCACTAAATCCCTCCTTCTTAGGAATAAGTTAATAATTATGGGAGAGGTGTTGAAAATATCAGGCCTCTGAAGTTACATTTAAGATTGATCAAGTATTGTGATAGCTGACAATTTGTTTCTTTACACTTAATTATTAATTTCTACTTAATTAGAAACACAGATCCCAAAACATGCCATGTAGTCACGTTAGAATTCTTACTTACATAAATGTACAAACCTTGGCAACTGAGGAGAATAAAACAGTAAGTTGAGTTTACAAAATTTGTGTATATTTTAATGTTTATTAGAGGAGTAACTTGGCATTTATTTGAAGGTATGAACAAGTCACTTCATGTTCCCAAGGTCCCATTTTTTTTAACTATAAAGAAGGGGTTTGAAAAAAATGTTCAGTCTCGCAGATTACTTCTGGCGTACTAATTCTAGTTTAAGTAACATCAATATTATTTTATGTAAGAGGCACGTATTGTCCTCTAACCTAGTTGTTGGTCTACTTCATGTGTTTATTTTGTTGCTCTGGTTTTAGTCTTTTGGCTTTGACTTTCCTTTCTCATAATCATTCCTGTGGTTCAATAATAGCCAATATTTGTCATCTTTAAGTCTTTGAAAATAAATTGTAATACCAACCTTTACAGCCAAATTCGATTACACCATTCAGGTGTTTCCTTTGTACTTGTTATTTCATGAGTATACAAAGACATAGATCCAAAACCAGAAGGATATAGTTTCAGATTAATCATGTTAAAATGGACTGATGTGAGAATGTGTGTCCGTGTGTCGTATTCATGTTTTTTCTATTTTTTTGGTAGTTGTTTTGGTGTCTAGAAATTGTGACCAAAACAAGACAAGAACGCATAACTTCTTGCAGAATATTTTTATTTCAGGACTGAGATGTTAGGATGAAGGATATTGTATGTCCTGAGTACTTGATAAAGTCTTTAAGACAAAAAGGCTTTTTGGTGTGGTGTTCCTAATGTCAGATGGAAAACATGAACTGCTTTTCAGGTATAAAATGATTCTATCCTTAAGGACCTAGAAGATAAAGTTCTGATCTTTGAAGTGGACCTAATGAGGTATTGCAGCTCTTCAGAGTAAGAGGCCAGCATGTATATCAGAGATTTCCTCCTTACCATCCTTGTCAATAAACCAAGTGCTGGACTTTTATTTTAGAATGAGTCCTTTTAAGGTTCTGCAGAGCAAACTTCAACTTACTTATTGTGAAATTTTCCTTTGACATAGCTTTTCTTTTTAACTCCTTCCATAAATAAAATATATTTCTCTTTATTCCAAATGTGCTCAATATGCTTTGTTTATAAAAAATATATTAAAGGAGTTACTAAGAATTGAGAAAGTCATTTGCATGTCACCATGGAAACCTCTCTTTTTCCAATAAAGGATCTGTGATTTGTGGACTGAATTGAAATATGGAGATTTGGGAGATGATGGCTTTGGCAGAGAAGAGAAAGAGCTGATTCCAAGTGAACATTGACTGATGCAGGCTATGTTATTGTAAAGATGATAATAAAGCTGAACAATTATATCAGCTTAAGATATAATTGTTTAAGATTATTCTAACGTATCCTAGTATCCCAGACTATGCGGTCTCATCTAGTTCCCTTTCCACCTTAAATTTTCTCAAAAAGTCACTTACCTTCAGGAAAAATAAAGGTTCATTTAAATCTTAAGGGCATTATCTTAAAGGCAATTGCGTGACTTACCATTTTTTGTTCTATTCCTACTACTACAGAGGGTGCATGTTATGTTTCTATAACCTTCCAAAGACTAATAACACATAGAAAAAACAGTAAAAATGCAAAATATTAATGATATTTAAATAATCTTTAATATATGCAGTCTGTTTTATTAGCTACTGGTTGTTTTTCTAAGATAGGTTTCCCTATATACTTTGAGAGTTTTATTGCCGAGTCATGGGAAATGTTTTGAAATAGAAATCCAGAAGAGCTGAGTTATAATCCTTCAACTATTGGCAAATCTCCTAACCTCATGGAACTTTGGTTTCCTTAGCTGTAAAATGGTGATTAAGGATAACTTCCTGTGTCTACATCCCATGTTTGTTGTGAAGACCATGGAATAATGTATGAGAATAGCCTTAAAATATCATGTGATATTATGCACGTGTATATCAGGCCAAATGCATAGTCAAATCACAGACCTGTTAAATCCCATTGCAACTCATTCCAATACTTAGTTGAAATTCACACACTGTCCTGAAATTTCATCATCTTAAATATTGCTTGAGGTAAGAGGCCATCTGCTGGGGCTTGGCAACTTTTTCTTCTAGAGTTTGTTGTATAATAAAAATAATGATTGTAGCAGTTTTTGGATTCACAGAATCTGACAGACCACTTCCACAGTGTTAATGGGCATTCTGTCCATGACTTTTCATTAATCTATAATTCTGCAAATATTTTAATGCTGTGTAGGCTTCCAGGTCACGTTGTCTTGGTCTTCCCTTTATGTTTAACTGATAATGCCCTTCTGAAGGGATGGACATCTTATGCTTAAACCCTATCTCATGGAACACAATTACCTCTGCTCACACAAGTAGGAGGCCCGCGTAGAGGTGAGACCGCTTTTTAATCCAGGCAGTGCAGTCTGGCAGAATACAGGAAATGGTTCTGTCACATTGAAAAACTTACACCATAATGTGTTTCTTCCTGCCAGGTGTCTCCTTTACCTTCACCCTTTAGACAAGTATAAAGCCACTGGAATTCATTTCAGTATATCCCCATTCAGGCCACTTCTTACCACCAGCTTTCATTGGGGCCAGTCCAGTAGCTTCCGAACTGGTCTCCCTGCTTCCCTTTTTAGCCCTCCTACCTTCTGCTCTCCATCAAAAAGCCAGAGCTATCCTCCAAACATGTAAATCAGATCATGCCACTTCCTTCAGCAAAACCGTCTAGCTTCCCGTTACTCTTACAAATCAAATTCAGTGCCCTTCCTTAGCTCACAGGCCCTCTATGACCTGACCCTTGACTACCTTCCTGTTTCAATTACTACATCTCCTTGTCTTCACTCTGCTCCAGGAGCCTTGGCCTTTCTGCAGTTTCACAAAGGCACCACACTTTTGCTTTTGCTCCATGCTTTATTCTCTGTCTTCAAAGTCCTTCTCCCAAATGGTCTCATGATTATTTGCTTCCTTACATTCTTTAGGTTCAAGCTCAAGTACATCTTTCAAGATGCCCTTCCTTACCCTCTGGCTAAAACAGGACCTTCCATCGCTTTCTCTTTATTCCCTTGCACTGCTTCCATTTTGCCACAAGTACCTGTTTGCCCTTTCTTGTAGAATAGCGCTGTCTACAGAACTTCCTGTAATGATGGAATGTTCCATAAAAACATTAAAAATTTTGTGCTGTCCAGTAGAGTAGCCACTAGCCCCATGTGGCTACTAAGCTCTTAAAATGTGTTCAGTGAGACTGAGGAATGGAATTTTTAATATTATTTAATTTTAATTAAATTTAAATAGCCACGTGTGACTAGTGGTCACCATATCAGGTAACACAGCTCTAGCATCTAGGATCCATAAGGACAAAGACCTGTCTGTCTTTTTTTTTTTTTTAATTATACTTTAAGTTCTAGGGTACATATGCACAATATGCAGGTTTGTTACATATGTATACATGTGCCATGTTGGTGTGCTGCCATGTTGGAGTCCCATTAACTCATCATTTACATTAGGTATATCACCTAATGCTATCCCTCCCCCCTCCCCCAACCCCACGACACATGAGAGGCCCCTGTGTGTGATGTTCCGCATCCTGGGTCCAGGTGTTCTCAGTGTTCAATTCCCACCTATGAGTGAGAACATGCGGTGTTTGGTTTTCTGTCCTTGCGATAGTTTGCTCAGAATGATGGTTTCCAGCTTCATCTATGTCCCTACAAAGGGCATGAACTCATCCTTTTTTATGGCTGCATAGTATTCCATGGTGTATATGTGCCACATTTTGTTAATCCAGTCTATCATTGATGGACATTTGGGTTGGTTCCAAGTCTTTGCTATTGTGAATAGTGCCACAACAAACATACCTGTGCATGTGTCTTTATAGCAGCATGATTTATAATCCTTTGGGTATATACCCAGTAATGGGATCAGGGATTTCTAGTTCTAGATCCTTGAGGAACCACCACACTGTCTTCCACAATGGTTGAACTAGTTTACAGTCCCACCAACAGTGTAAAAGTGTTCCTATTTCTCCACATCCTCTCCAGCACCTGTTGTTTCCTGACTTTTTAATGATGACTTGTCTGTTTTTAGCACTGTATCCCCAGGACCTAGAACAATGTTTAGTATACAGGAAGTACTGACCAAAAAAGTTGTTGAATTTAATAAGTGACTAGAGCATTAGCTATGAAATCAAGTGACTTGGCCTGCAGTCCCAATGATTAGGTTGGTGCTGTCATGCAAATAACTTGATGATCTCTCTTTCATAAAATGGCTTTTCCTATATAACTCCTCTTTTGGATGATAGTCATATAAGAGCTGTACATAATAATATATTCAGAACTACAAAATGCAGGAACATATTAAGGCATTGTTACTATTTCTGGAGGGAGGAGATCATGGTAATGATTGTTCTGGTGATGCTGGGAGGATAGGGAATAGGACTGAGAACTTTTAATTGTATTTCCTGAGCACAATATTAAATGCAAAATTTTCTTATTTTGATTAATTATCTTCTCCCTTCTATTGTTTATAGTCTTGGCTTTTTACACCCTCATGGGGACAAGCTGCACATCTGTTTACATCATGCCTTTTTAACAAGATTCAATAAATGATGTGTGCCTGTGCATGTTTATTAAATTAGAATTGCAATGATTTTATTCAGTCTGTTAGAAGGCTAGGAAATTGTAAGGCACCGTCTGTTTATGTAAGTATTGCAGCCAGTTTTCTAGGGCTTGAGCCAGGGGAATGCTTTTGGCCTCCTGGCTGGTCATTCTTGAGGGAGAGTATGGATTTGTTGGAATAGGAGGGACATCCAGAGGTGGCTGAGCCATTTGGGCCATTCTGCAAATAGGCTTCGCCTAAATCATCTGAGACATGTGGGCATCTTTCCTACTTTTAAAGGCCTCCATTTACAGTGACTCTCAGCCTTCCTTAATAGCAGTTTTCATTGTTGAGAAATACATATTATTAAATGCATATTATTAAAAAGTTTGAGATGAATTTAAACAAAGGTGAAACACTTGTCCCAAAACAAGAATATATATATGTATATATATGTGTATATATATGTGTATATATATATATGTATATATATACGTGTGTGTGTGTGTGTGTGCGTGTGTGTATTTCTTGAATACATCTGAGACAAGAATTTCTCTTTTCTTTTTTTTAACAAAGGGCACAGGGTGTGCAATTATTCTTCCTGCACCTGGACACCTTACTGGGCATTTTCTTTCTTATTTCTCGTCCCTCTAATAGTACTTCTCAAAGAGTGGTCCAAAGCCAGCTTGCATCAGAATCACCTGATGTGCTTATTAATTAAACAGGTACTTTCCTGGAAACATGTAGTTTCCAAGCTGACTCTCCAGAAGCATCTTCTTTGGCCCCAAAGAAGCTGAATTTGAACAAGCTGCTTGGCTACAGTTTGAGAGCAGCCAGCGTGCACTTTGTTCCTTAGCATTTGGCTGAAAGTTCTTCTTTCTTGATTAATCACATTTGATTAATCAACTTGACATCTAAGAGCAGTGAATTGTTCTCCAATCTTTGTCTAATTATTAATACTTATTTATTAATAAGTTGTGGAGCCAAACTAGTTTATCTCCCTGAGTATCACCGGCGTAGGCAGCTGGGTTAGCAGCTGCCTAGCTGCAAGTGATTAATAAAAGCCAACTTAAGTAAATGGAACTTAGTGATAGATATGTTTTGTTTGTTTATTTCTGTAAAATTGTTTTAAAGGCCACTGTCTACTTTGGTGCCCAAATTCCTTTATGTAAAAAGAAAAGAATTGTGTTAATTTTTTTTATCTCCTCTGATTTATTGTATGACAAATTTTTATTAGTGTTTTGATGATTCTATTATACATGTGTTCTATTAGAAGTTATCTATCCTTTTTGGATGTAGGTGAGATATAATCCACACCTATTGTACTTTAATATAAAATAAAATAAAGCAGATTTTGAGGTTATTTGCTTTTTGTTGTTGCCTGTGGCAGTGGTCTTCTCTATTATGTTTAGAAATCTAAGGGTTGACTTTTTGAGGGTTTTATGCTGTCTGCACCATTCTGTTCATGCTTGACACTCTGCCACACAAGCCCAAGTGTAAGGCGAGGTTTCTTCTACTTCTGCAATTTTCCCTGAGAAAAAGAGGAATTTATTTTATATTTGAGTCCTAATAAAGTTTCTCCTGTGGTGGGTCCTCTCTCAATTACTGTGTTTGAAATAAGAAAGTCCTCTTGGGGCCAGGCACAGTGGCTCACGCTTGTAATCCCAGCACTCTGGGAGGCCGAAGTGGGTGGATCACGAGGTCAGGAGTTCAAGACTAGCCTGGCCAAGATGGTGAAACCCATCTCTTCTAAAAATACAAAAATTAGCCGGGTGTGGGGGCAGGCGCCTGTAATCCCAGCTACTCGGGAGGCCGAGGCAGGAGAATCGCTTGAACCCAGGGGTTGGAGGTTGCAGTGAGCTGAGATTGTGCCACTGCACTCCAGCCTGGGCAACAAGAGTGAGACTCTGTCTAAGGAAAAAAAAAAAAAAAAAAAAAGAAAGAAAGTCCTCTTGGGAGACCATGTATTTCCCCAAATGACTTCCATCAGTGCTACTTTTGAATACTTAAAGGGGTGACTGGATACACTCTCTTAAACATGAGAAACAAAGAAATTTAATATGGTATTTGATGTCATCTTAAACAAGCCACTTAAAGATGTCTTAAAAGCAGTTTGTGAGTGGAGACCATGATTATACAGCGGTAAGATGGATTTTAAAGAAGCCAATTTGCTTTGTGATTTTATGCTTGTTGGTGTAGGATAAAATGCCCAGCAACTGTGTTATTCACAGATTCACAAATTGCTTTATTTCAAACAACTCAGATGAATATGAAGATGGTAAGCTCTGGAAAACTAAAAAAATGGTTCTCATGGTAATGAAGACATTGATGATGAAGTTACACGTGAAGGTTTGAATAAAACTGTTTAATGATATGTGAAAATTGAAAATCTTTAAATTAATATATCATTATTTTTTATAATATGTGATTTAGAATTTGTATTGTAACTAAATTAATGTTATACATTATAATTAAACTATTATTTCATCTGCATCTCTAAAAATTAATACATTCAATTTGAGTTTAAAAACCTTTCCTTTTTATTTTCTCATTGGGATACCCTTCAATATGTCTTTATCTTTGGGCACACAGAGGATTCTGTTTTTTCTTTCTTTTCCATCTAAATACAAACATCATGGGGGTAGAGATCCCATCTAAGTACAACTCAGATAAAGCCATTACATCACTTTCTGACACTGTTCTGTCTCCTTATAGATTCTCACTCAATTTTCCTATGGAGATGACAACTGTAGCATTTGTATGCCAGGACACATTTTGTGGTTTCATTTGTGCAAAACTTCCATTAGCTTTATTGGAGCTATTTTTTTTTTTAAAGTTCCTTCTTATCTCTCATGCTCTGTGCAAAGTAACAGGTATATGTAGAGATTAAATTGTGTCTAATCAAAGAACTTTTGGTTGCAGTGGGCTCCTCAAGGAGAGAAGGTGTACCTGCCCATGTTAACCTCTCTGCATCATCCATGCTAATGATTGCAATGCAGTACACATCCAATCCAGGTAAGTGGAAATTGGAATGGTTTGACTAATTCTAGTACCAATAATTAAACAAGACATCAAACAAGCAGGCTAGATGTTCTCATGTGAGAACGTCATCATCATAGAGATGTGTAGAAAACAGACTTTTGAGTTGGAATCAATTTATCTTGCCTATTGCTATTAGCAGTGATCCTGCAGGCTAGTGATATTTTTAGAATATTTGAGGACACAATTTTAGACATTGACTGGAAATGGATTGAATATAAGTATACAGAAATAGTAAAATTAGAAACATAAAAATCACCTGCAATTCTAAGAACAAAAGATAACCACTGTTAATATTTTGGTAAATTGGCTACCCCAATACACCCAAGTATCCTTAAACATAAACCTTTCACTATATTTCTGATTATTTCCTTAGAATAAACCAACAAAAGAGGGATTAATGAGTTAAAGGACTTGAGAAATTTTCAATATTTCCAATAGTATGTGAAAGTACTTGTCTCATTGTGATTTGTCATTATTATTATAAAATTTGTGTAGAGTTAGACAGATGAATATTAATATCTCTTTGTTTAGATTTGTAGTTCTTCCATTACTAGTGATGTTGGACAGATTTTCACATTTACTCTGTTTGATTTCCATTTGTCAGTATAATTGCAGATAACTTTGGAAAACTGACCAAAACATGTGCTAACATGTAAACTCATTTTTATTTTCATTTAGTGTTTATTTGGAAAGTAAACAAATCCAGTGACACTGTGGTTTTTTTTTGCTATCTACTTAATTACTTAATAAATAGTAATTGAACTTCTGACTCAGAATGAGGAAAAATTTTTTATTTCAAAATCTGAATGCTTCTTAGTTTGGAGTGTCATCTTCTGTCTTAGTCCGTTGGGTTGTAACAGAAATATAAACGGAGTGGCTGATAAGCAGTAAACATTTATTTTTCTCATTTCTGGAGGCTGGGAAGTCCATGATCAAGGTGCCAGCAGAGTTGATGTCTGGTGAGGGCCTGCTTTCTAGTTCATGGATGGCCATCTTGGTGTTGTGTCCTTAAATGGTGGGAAGGAAAGGGAATTCTCAGGGTCCTCCTTTATAAAGGCAGTAATCTCATACATAAGGGCTCTGCCCTAATGACCTAATTACTTCCTAAAGGCCCCAACTCTGAATACCATCACTTTGAGGGTTAGGGTTTAACATACTAATTTAAAAATTTTTTTAAGATACAGAGTCTTACTCTGTCACTCAGGCTAAAGTGCAGTGGTGCAATTATGGCTCACTGCAGCCTTGACCTACCTGGCTCAAGCGATTCTCCTTCCTCAGCCTCTTGAGTAGCTGGGACTACAGGCATGTGTTACCACATCTGGCTAATTTTTAAATTTTTTTAGAGACAGTCTCATTATGTTTCCCAGACTGGCCTCAAACTCCAGACCTCAGTGATCCTCCTGCCTTGGACTCCCAAAGTACTGGGATTACATGCATAAGCCACCATGTCTGGCAACATACAAATTTTGAGAGGACACAAGCATTTAGTCTATAGTATTCCACCCTATTTTCTGAAATTCATGTTATTCTCATATGCAAAACATTCATTCCATCCCAATAGCCCCAAAAATCGTAACTCATTTCAGCATGAACTCAAAAGTCCAAAGTCTCATGTGAATACCATCTAAATCAGATATGGGTGAGGCAATTTCCTCTCCAGCTGTGAGCCTATGAAATCAAACAAGTTATATGCCTCCAATATACAATGGTTGGACAGGCATAGCATAGACATTCCCATCCAAAAGGGAGAAATGGGAAAGAAAAAAGGTGTAACAGGTTCCAAGTAAGTCTAAAACCCAACTACATTATACCTTAAGGTTTGAAAATTACCTTTTTTGACTTGATGCTCCACCTTCCAGGCCCACTGGGGTGGAGGTCCCACCTTCCAAACCCATTGGGGTAAGAGTTCTGTCTTTTGGACCCACTGAGGTGGTGGCCCTGCATAGCAGCTTTGCCATGTAGGGGTTGGGCCCCCAAGACCCTGCCCCTGTGGCTTTGCGTGGCTCTATCTCCATGGCTTGCTGGGCATTGCCCTGGTGGGGGCTCTCTACAGTGATCCTGGCCCCCACAGTGGTTCCCTTCCTGGGCCCCACTCTGCAG